>NC_000004.12:49027499-49336924 GCF_000001405.40 Homo sapiens | reverse complement strand
GAATTCAGCAAAGTTTCCAGATACAAGATTAATGGACACAAATCAGTAGCTCTTCCATACATCAACAGCTACCAAGCAGAGAATCACATCAAGAACTCAACCCCTTTTACAATAGCTGCGACAAACAACAACAACAAAAAAACAAAACTTAGGAATATACCTAGCAAAGGAATCAAAGGACCGCTACAATGAAAATTACAAAACGCTACTGAAAGAAATCATAGATGGAGCCAAGCACGGTGGCACATGCCTATAATCCGAGCTACTCGGGAAGCTGAGGCAGGAGAATCGCTTGAACCCGGGAGGCAGAAGTTGTAGTGAGCCGAGATCACACCATTGCTCTCCCACCTCAGCGACAAGAGCGAAACTCCTTCTGAAAAAAAAAAAAAAAAAAAAAAAAAAAAAAAAACAAGAAAGAAAAGAAGTCATAGATGACACAAACAAATGGAAATGCATCCCCATGCTCATGGATGGGTAGAACCAATATTGTGAAAATTACCATTCTGTTAAAGGCAATCTACAAATTCAATGCAATCCCCATCTGAATGCCACCATCATTCTTCACAGAATTACAAAAACAATTCTAAAATTAATATGGAACCAAAAGAGAGCCATGTAACCAAACCAAGCCTAAGCAAAAAGAACCTGGAGGTATCACACTACTTGATTTCAAACTGTACAATAAGGCCATAGTTACCAAAACACCAACGTACTGGTTTAAAAATAGGAACATAGACCAATGGAACAGAAGAGAGAACCCAGAAATTAACCCAAATACTTACAGCCAACTGATCTTCGACAAAGTAAACAAAAACATAAAGTGGGGAAAGGACCCCCTTTTCAACACATGATGTTGGGATAATTGGCGAGCCACATGTAGGGGAATAAAACTGGATTCTCATCTCTCATCTTATACAAAAATCTACTCAAGATGGATTAAGAACTTAAATCTAATTCCTGAACTATAAAAATTCTAGAAGATAACACTGGATAAACCCTTCTAGACATTGACGTACGCAAGGATTTCATGACCAAGAACCCAAATTCAAATGAAATAAAAACAAAGATTAATAGCTGGGACTTAATTAAACTAAACAGCTTTTGCATGGCAAAAGGAACAGTCAGCAGACTAAATGGACAACTCAGAGTGGGACCCCTGAACCTGACCCTGACCCCTGACCCTGATCCCTAACCCCTGACCCTGACCCCTAACCCCTGACCCTAACCCTAACCCTTAACCGTAACCCCTAAGCCTAACCCCTAACCACAACCCTCACCCTCACACTAATCCAACCCTAACCCCTTATCCCTAACCCCTAACCTCTCTTAACCTCTAACTCTAAACGTTGACTCTTAACTCTTAACTCTGACCCCAACCCCTATCTCCAACCCCTAACCCTAAACTTAACCCCTAACCCCTAACCCTAACACCAACCTTAACCCTAGGTTCGTTACTACGTTTGTACTATGTCAATGTTGATTATTATGATCTCTGTCTTAGGACTGCATGGCAGCAAGGGGATTGCGGATCTTATATTAATATTTTTGTATTGAGGCAGTGCATTAGCATTACAGGTGCTTGTTACATGAGCAATGGGAGTGTCATAATTTGGGTGTCATGTCTGCATTAGGAATGCTGCATTTGTCTTCCGAGTCTGCGGTGTGGATCTCGCACTGTGGCCGCCTCGGCTTGGCTGGGGAGAACCTCGGTTGGCAGGATTCAGAGGGGCTTTTGGTTTCCCTTTTCCACACTGAGCCCTTCTAACTGGTCTCTGGCCCTGATTATTCAGGGCTGCAAAAGGGAAGGATTTTATTCACCGTCTATGCGGTCCCGAGTTGTCCCAAAGCGAGGCAGTGCCCCAAAGGTCTGTGCTGAGGAGAACGCTGCTCTGCCTTAGCGGTGTCCCCCGGGTCTGTGCTGAGCAGAACGCAGCTCCGCCCTCGCGGTGCCCCCGGCCCGCCTGGGTCTGTGCTGAGGAGAACACTGCTCCGCCTTCGCTGTATCTCTGAAGTCTGTGCAGAGGAGAACTCAGCTCCGCCCTGGCGATGCTCTCCTTGGCTGTGCTGGGAAGAACGCAGCTCCGCCCTCGCAAAGGCGCACAGCGCGGGCGAAAGGCGCAGAGAGGCCCACAGCGCCGGGGCAGGCGCAGAGAGGCCCACAGCGCCGGGGCAGGCGCAGAGAGGCCCACAGCGCCGGCGCAGGCGCAGAGAGGCAGAAGGCCCATGAGGGGAAGGTGAGACACCTGGGGCAAAGAAGAAAAAAAAATGCGCCGCGAAGCAGTGTCTGGGTCATCCAGGGACGAAAGTTTTTTCCCATCAGGCCTTGCGCTGGGCCCCAGGGACCCTGGCATCCCTGGTTCACGCCCGGGGTGTGCCTCAGGCGACTAGGGGTACCCCAACTTGGACAGAAGGCCCATGAGTGGAAGTTGAAGTTTGTGGGAGGAGAGGTGAGGCACCAGGGGCAGAAAAAATAAAAAAAGAGGACCGCGTCTCAGAGAAGCGGGGCCTGGGTCCCCCACGGATGAAAGTGCCTTCCCATCAGGCCCTATGCTGGGCCTGGTGGACCCTGGCGACCCTGGTTCGAGCCCAGGGTGCGCCTCGGGACAGCTTGGGGTACCACAAAGCAAAGAAAAGGTCCATGAGGGGAAGGTGAGGCACCTGAGGCAGAGAAAAAAAAAATGCTCAGCCGAGAAGCAGTGCCTGGGTCCCCCACGGATGAAAGTGCCATCCCATCAGCCCCTTCGCTGGGCCCTGGGGACCCTGGCGTCCCTGGTTTGACCCTGGGGTACGCCTCGGGACAGTAGGGGTACCCCAAGGTGGGCAGAAAGCCCCTAAGGGGAAGGTGAGGCACCTAGGGCAGAGAAAAAAAAAAACTTCACCACGGAGAAACACGGCCTGGGAGCCCCACAGACGAAAGTGTCTTCCCATCAGTCCCTGCACTGGGACCCAGGGACCCTGGTGTCCCTCGTTCGAGCTCAGGGTGTGCCTCGGCCGCTAAGTGCACCCCAAGGGGGCTTTGGGGACACAAAACCCGTGAGGGGAAGGTGAGTTTTGAGGGAGGAGAGGTGAGGCACCTGTCACAGAAAAAGAAAAAAAAGAAACCCGCACCGCGGAGAGGTGGGGCCTGGGTACCCCACGGATGAAAGTGCCTTCCCATCAGCCCCTGCGCTGGGCCCCGGGGAACCTAGAGTCCCTGGTTGGAGCTCAGGGAGAGTCTCGGGCCACTAGGGATACCCCAACACGGTGGAAAGCCCATGAGAGGAAGGTGAGCTGTGAGGGAGGAGAGGTGAGGCACTTGTGGCAGAAAAGAAAAAGAAACCGCGCCACGGAAAAGTGGGGCCTGGGTCTCCCATGGAAAAAAAGTGCCTTCCCATCAGTCCCTGAGCTGGGCCACGTGGACCCAGGCGACCCTGGTTCTAGGCCTGGGTGCACCTCGGGCCCGCTAGGTGTACCCCAAAACGGGCAGAAGGCCCATGAGGGGAAGGTGAGGTTTGAGGGAAGAGAGGTGAGGCACCTGCGGCAGAAAAAAAAAAAAACCGTGCGGAAGAGAAGCGGGGCCTGGGTCTCCCACGGACGAAAGTGCCTTCTCATCAGCCCCTGCGCTGGGCCCCCTGGACTCTGGCGACCCTAGTTCAAGGACCAGAAGAGACTCCGGCATGCTAGGGTACCCTAAGGAAGCCAGAAAGCCCATGAGGGGAAGGCGAGATTTAAGGGAGGAGAGGTGAGTCACCTGTGGCAGAAAAATATATATATATATATATATATATCAGCACCTCGGAGAAGCCGGGCCTGGGTCCCCACTGATGAAAGTGCCTTCCCATCAGCCCCTGCGCTAGCCCCGAGAACCTGGCGACCCTGATTGGAGACCCGGGAGCGCCTCGGGCCTGCTCGTGGTACCCCAAAGCAGGCAGAAGGCCAGTGAGGGGAAGGTGAGGCACCAGGGGCGGAGAAAAAAAACCGCAGCTTTGAGAAGCGGGGCCTGGGTACCCACGGATGAAGGTACATTCCCATCAGCCCCTGCGCTAGGCCCCGGCGACCCTGGCATCCATGGTTCGAGTCCAGGGAGAGCCTTGGGCCGGAAGGGGTACCCCAAGTAGAGCAGAAAGCCCATGATGGGAAGTTGACGTTTGAGGGAGGAGAGGTGAGGAAACTGTGGCAGAAAAAAAAAAAGAAAACAAGCCGCGCCTAGGAGAAGCTGGGCCTGGGTACCCCAAGGATGAAAATGCCTTCCCATCAGTCCCTGCGCTGGGCCCTGTGGACGCTGGAGACCCCAGTTCGAGCCCCGGGTGCGCCCCGGGCCTGCTAGGGGTATCACAAGGAGGGCAGAAATCCCATGAGGGGCAGTTGAGGTTTGAGGAAGGAGAGGTGAGGCACCTGTGGCAGAAAAAAAAAAACTGCACCACGGAGAAGCGGAGCCTGGATCCCCAACGGAAGAAAGTGTCTTCCCATCAGCCCTTGCGCTGGGCACAGGGGACCCTGGCATTCCTGGTTCGAGACCAGGGTGCGATTCAGGCCGCTAGGGGTACCCCAAGACAGACAGAAGGCCCATGAGGGAAAGGTGAGACACCTGGGGCAGAGAACAAAATAAAAAACTGCGCCCACCAGAAGTGGGGCCTGGGTTCCCCATGGACGAACGTCCCTACCCATAAGCCCTACACTGGGCCCCGGAGACCCTAGCATCCCTGGCTCAAAACAAGGGTGCGCCTCGGGCCGGCTAGGGGTACCTCAAGGCGGGCAGAAAGCCCATGACGGGAAAGTGAGGCACCTGTGGAAAAGAAAAGAAAAAAAAACGCCACAGAGAAGCAGAGCCTGGGTCCCCGAGGAAGAACGTGTCTTATCATCAGCCACTGCGCTTGACCCTGTGGAACCTGGCTTCCATGGTTCAAGCCCAGGGTATGCCTTGGGCCGCTAGGGGTACCCCAAAGCTTGCAAAAAGCACAAGAGGGGAAGGTGAGGCACCTGGGGCAGAGAAAAACAAACACAGCCGCGGAGAAGCGGGGACTGGGTCCTCCAAACGGACGAAAGTATCTTCCCATCAGGCCTCGTGCTGGGCCTCAGGGACCCTGGAGTCCCTGGTTCGATCCCACAGTGCACCTCGGGCCGCTAGGTGTACCCCAAGGCAGACAGAAGCCACATGAGGGGAAGGTGAGATTTGAGGAAGGAGAGGAAAGGCATCTATCGTAGCAAAAAAAAAAAAAACCGCGCAAAGGAGAAGCAGGGAATGGGTCCCCCACAGACGAAAGTGCCTTCCCATCAGGCCCTGAGGGATTGAAACAGAATGAGGAGTGACTAATGTCTACAGAGTTTTTCTCTGGTCGGGGGTGATAAGACGTTCTACAATGGATTGCGAATTAAAATTGAATGTGCACAACCACAGGTATACTAAAAGCCACTCAATTCATGACTTTTAATGGGGGAATCTTATGTGGCGCACTCTCATGGAGACCACGGCAGACATAGTGAGAGAGAAAAAGGTGAGTAAATATCTGAAACGGAGGCAGAAACAGAGAGAATGAAAAGCCCTGTGAATGGAAGGGAGAGCGAAAAGGGAAAATGGTCCTATTTACAAATGACAGATGTGAAACTGGGGTTCACATCAACAGTGTCAATGCCAGGAAGGAGGGTGATGCTAGCCATGTCACGGGCAGTGTGTCCCACAGGGACGCCGACCTGCTGGAGCGTCTTGCCAGCATGGGCTCTGGCAGCCACGTGGGCCAGCAGGAGGGTCCCGCTGCACAGCTGTGGGGTGAGGATAGACTGGGTGGTGATATCGGCCATGACAGGGGCCTCTTCTGCTGGCAAGAGTGTGCCAGTAGCAAGTAGATGGACAGGCCTGCGTGTGAGGACGGAATGCAGGAGGGGCTCTTGTGAGGCTGGGTGTGGGGCCCTCACGGGAACCGTGGAGTAATGGCCAGGTAACTGCGTCATGTGGGCTAGTAGATTGGCCAGGACTTCGAACTGAAGGACAATAACGGGGAGTAGCTGTCAGGCCCTGGGAGTGTCTGAGTGTAAGTGGAGATGGGTTTTGTGTCACTGAGGGATGCGTGGGAGCCATCCCTGTATAGGTACAGGTCATAGGGAGATACTCTCGTGAGGCCTGTGAGTGTCTAGGGTTGTCCTGGGTGCCTGGGGCTGACTGTGGCAGAAATCTGGGGAAGGCTGGAGAGAAGCTGGGAGACCCAGGAGAGTCCCTGAAGGCAGGGGGTGAAGAGGTGAAAGAAATGGTGGAGGGTTGCAGTAAGGTCCGTGAGTTTGTAGGTGATTCCTGGGTGCAGGAAGCTGACTCCAGGTGATATCTGGAGATGGTTGGAGAGTAGCTGAGAGAGACAGAAGAGTCCCTGAGGGCTGGGGGTGAGAACATGAGGGAGACTGGGGAGTAAGTCAGTGAAATTCGTGAGTTCGGTGGTGTATCGTGGGTGCCTGGAACTGACTCCAGCTGGAATCTAGAGAAGTTTTGAGAGTAGCTGAAAGAGACACGAGAGTCCCTGTGGGCTGAGGGCAAAGACCTGAGAGAGACCAGGGAGGACCTCAGTGAAGTCTGTGAGTCCGTAGGTGATTCTGGAGTGTGGGAGGCTGACTCCCGCTGAAATCTGGGCGTGGTGGGAGAGTAGCTGGGACAGACAGGAGAGTCCCAGGGGGCTGGGGGTGAAGACATGAGAGAGACTGGAGAGTAACTCAGTGAAACTGCTGAGTTTGTAGGTGATACCTGGGTGCCTGGAACTGACTCCCGCTGAAATCTGGGCATGGTTGGAGAGTAGCTGGGACCCACCGGAGAGTCCCTGAGGGCTGGGGGTGAAGACATGAGAGAGACCGGGGAGTAACTGAGTGAAACTGGTGAGTTTGGTGGTGACTCCGGGGTGTCTGGAACTGACTCCAGCTGCAATGTGGGCGTGGTTGGAGAGTAGCTGGGACAGATGGGAGAGTCCCTGAGGGATGGTGAAGACATGAGAGAGACTGGGGAGTAACGCAGTGAAATTGGTGAGTTTGGTGGTGATTTCTGGGTGCCTGCAACGGACTCCCACTGAAGTGTGGGCGTGTTTGGAGAGTAGCTGGGACAGACAGGCGAGTCCCTGAGGGTTGGAGATAAAGACGTGCTAGAGACTGGGGAGTAACTCAGTGAAAGTGGTGGGCTTGGCGGTGATCCCTGGGTTCCTGGAACTGACCCGCGCTGAAATGTGGGCGTGGTTGGAGAGTAGCTGGGACAGACTGGAGGGTCCGTAAGGGCTGGGGGTGAAGACGTGAGAGAGACTGGCCAGGATCTCACTGAGGTCTGTGAGTTTGTAGGTGTTTCTGGGGTGTGGGGTACAGACTCCCGCTGAAATGTGGGCGTGGTTGGAGAGTAGCTGGGACAGACAGGAGAGTCATGGGTGGCTGGGGGTGAGCTGCTGGATGATGGCAGTAAGAACATATGGTATATTATTGATGAATGAGGTGACTGTGAAGAATCTCCAGAGGAGGACACGGGAGAACACAATGACATGAGTGACTGTCCTGCTTGGTTAGGAAATGGAAACGTAAAGCTGTGGAATTCTGTTGATGATGGATGTGAGAGTGGTGAAGCCCTGCGGGATGATGTAGAGTACTTCCACATCCCTGGTGAGGAGCTGCCCCTTGGGTCTGAGTTTCTGGGAGGGGAGAGGGAGAAGCTGGGTGAGGCAGGCATGAATCTTGAGGAGTCAGGGCTGGGGGACCGCTCATATTCTCCCGAGACCTGTGAGTCTCTGGGGGACTCCTGGGTGCATGCGACTGAATCCCGCAGGAACCTGGGGATGGCTGGATAGTAACTGGGAGCCACGGGAGAGTCCCTGAGGCCTGGGGGTGAAGAGATGAAAGACACAGGGGTGGAGCACCGTGAGGCTCGTGAGTTTGTAGGTGATTCCTGGGTGTGGGGGGCTGACTCCAGCTGAAATCTGGGGTTGTTTGGAGAGTAGCTGGGAGACACAGGAGACCCCCCGAGAGCTGGGGGTGAGCTGCTGGGTGATGGCAGTAAGAACATGTGGTATATTATTGATGAACCTGGGGACTCTGAGGAATCCTCAGAGGAGGACAGAGGAGAGCCCGATGACTTCATTGATTGCCCATCACGGTCAGGACAGGGAAATGGGAGCTTGTGGGATTCTGGTGATGACAGAGGTGAGTGTGGTGAAGCCCTAGGGGATGGTGAATGGTAGCTCCGGATCCCTGGTGAGGAGCTTCCCCTTAAGCCTGAGTTTCTGAGATGGGAGAGGGAGAAGCTGGGTGAGGCTCGCATGGACCTTGGGGAGTCCGGGCTGTGGGACCGTTCATAAGAAGAGCCAGACAAGACCCTACTGTTCTTAGGAGCAGACATGATTAGGAAACCTGCAGCTCCCAGGGGCCCCTACTAATTTTCTAACTCGCAGAAGGAAGGAGTGTGTGTGCGTGTGTGTGAGCGTGTGCGTGTGTGTGCGTGTGTGTGTGTCTGTGTGTGTGCGGTGTGAGGTATGTGCCCCTTAAGAAAATGGAAATCAACCAACCAATGGGACAGACACACAAACAGACAGACAGACAGACAGACAGACAGACAGACAGACAGAGATTCACTTGCCCAAGTGTTCTGTCCTGTCCTCGGAATCCGCTTCCAAGTCGCAAGACGCCGTGAGCTCCAAGTCGACGCAGAGTCCGCCAAAGGCTCCGGCCGCCGATCCCCTCCGCGAAGATCTGAGTACAGGCCAGCCAGGGTGGGTTTAAATAGCCTCCTGCGCAGCCTAGCAGCAGAAAGGGTGGAGCTTCACTCCTCCTTTCCGTCAGTCACCCCCAACTTTCCCAGGCGTAGGAAACTGTTCTCCTGCTTTGATTTCATGCGCCACCTTTGGGACAATCTAAGAACTTCCAAGTTTTCTTGGCCAGATATATTAGGAATTGTATGCACTGAAACACTGTAAACCAACTAGTGGTTCTGTGGTTCTCCACGTTGTGTTTTTGACACCAGCAGCATCCTTGCCACAATCAAACCCCGGAGATCCACAGATCTGTGTTGTAACAAGACCTCCCCCTGACCCTGATGCATGGCAGTTTAAGAAGTCTTTCCGTGTAAGCGAAAAGACTTTGAAGAAAAGGTGGAGATATGCGTTGTATAAACATTCTTTTGCTCTGGAACCACGTGGAGACTTGGGAGCCAGTTGGGTGGAGCATTCGTTGGATGAAGGTGCTTGGGTTCGGAATATCAAGGTGTGGCTCCAGATAATCCAATCATCTAATTAAGATTCCAGTTGTGCTCATCTGTTTTAAAATTCCGTTTGGGTAAATTCTTTTATTCAGACTGAGAATGGCAAAGCCTCAACCCCAATTTCCAGGGAGGGTTGAGAGCCTCAGGTGGAGTTGATCACCAATAGCCTATGGTTTAACCCATCATGCCTATAGAATTAGGTCTCCATAAAAACCCAAAAGGACTGGGTTCAGAGAGGTTCTGGATAACACTTCCTGGAAGGTAGTGCGCCCCTCCCCACATGCCGGGCCCCACATTTATTTCTGAACTTTTTGCAATGTCCGCTAAAATACAACGGCAAATGTAAGTGTTTCCCTGAGTGCCGTGAGCTCTTCCAGCAAATGAATGCAACTAAATCTGGGAGTGGTGGCAACCTGATTTATAGCCAGTTGCTGAGAAGCACAGGTAAAACAACGTAGGGCTTCCCGTTGTTATTAGTGTGGGAGGCCTGCCTGGCGGGACTCGGCCCTTTGGAATCTAATGCTATGTCCCGGTAGATAGCGTCACCATTGAATTAGAAGACACACATATGTTGAGAATAATCTTTCTGGTCATTTGCTGCATGTCTTATTTACAATATGTAATCAAATTCTTTATCCTGACCTTATGGCACCTGGGTTGAGAACCATGATTTGAACCAAACATTGGTCTGTCACTTTCTGAGTTTGAAACTTTATTTTGCCTTTAGCGTTTTGCTATTGCTTTTTCGTTTTCTTTTGTTTCGTTTCGTTTCTAAGTTCTGGGGTGTATGTGCAGGATGGGCAGATTTGTTACTAAGGTAAACGTGTGCCATGGTGGTTTGCTGCACCTGTCAACCCATCACCTAGGTATTAAGCCAAGCATGCAGTAGCTGTTTTCCTTAAGGCTCCGCCTCCCGAAAGGCCCCAGTGTGTGTTGTTCCCCTTCCTGTGTCCATGTGATCTCATTCTTCAGCTCCCATTATAAGTGAGAATGTGGCGTTTGGTTTTCTTTCCCTGGATTAGTTTGCTGAGGATAATGACCACACGTCACCTCTGTTTTTGTTTTTTAGTATAGAGTAGCATTTTATTGAATAAGATTTGCTCACAGAAAAATAGGCTTAAATCTACAATGAATGCCAGACTCTACAGCAGAAAGCAATTTTCTCACTTTTCCACACACAATGGTTCCTACTAAGTGAAAAAAAGCCATAAAATTTCATTCACAAATGTACTAATCTGTCTCAAAACATCTCACATAATCATGCACTGCACTAAAGCCATTAGATCAGTTCTTCAGTGAGGTTAAAGAAGTATCCCTCTAATAACTGACTTTTATAATGCTATCAATATCCACTCCCAATCAGTATGCCATTGTTAATGGTGTACAGCATTACTGTATACAATGGAATTGATGACACCCATATCCACGGACAAACCGTGACTTATGATGGTTTGATTCATGATTTTTCAACGTTATGATGGGTTTATTGGAATATGAGATGCGGTTCTGAGTTACACTGGGTTTATGAGTATGCGACCCTATACTCCAGAAACAGCTGTATAAGGAAAAACAGGTGTACCTAATAAAAATATGCTTAGTGACTTGGGATAAACCAATAGATGTTCACAACTGATGGAGAGCCGTGAAAGAGAGATAGCGGTAAATAGTTACAATAACACAATTTTCCTGCACCTGTCGAGGATTTCCCCAAAAAAACGCAGAATGTGTGATGCACCTAAGGCATATGAAAGAGAGAGGGCAGAAGGAGTAAGAGAGTAATAGGAGGAAGGAAGGAAGGAAGGAAAGAAGGAAGGTAGGAAGGAAGGAAGGAAGGAAGGAAGGAAGGAAGGAAGGAAAGAAGGACGAAAGGAAGGATAAAACACCCGGTGTTACTAAAACCCCCCAAAAATATGGTTTTCCCCTGTGGGTAAGCCTACAATGTGGATGAATCTTGAAAATATTGTGCTACGTGTTATGTCAGTCATAACAGCTCACCTATTGTGCAATTCTGTTTATAGGACATGTCCACAATATGGAAATCTATGCATATGGGGTTGATCGCACTAGGTAGTTGCTACCTAGGGCTGAGGGTCAGGGAGAGGGTTTGAGACAGAATGAGGAGTGACTAATGCCTACAGGGTTTTTCTCTGGTCGGGGGTGATAAGACGTTCTACAACGGATTGCTAATTAAAATTGAATGTGCACAACCACTGGTATACTAAAAGCCACTCAATTCATGACTTTTAATGGGGGAATCTTATGTGGCGCACTCTCATGGAGACCACGGCAGACATAGTGAGAGAGAAAAAGGTGAGTAAATATCTGAAACGGAGGCAGAAACAGAGAGAATGAAAAGCCCTGTGAATGGAAGGGAGAGCGAAAAGGGAAAATGGTCCATTTACAAATGACAGATGTGAAACTGGGGTTCACATCAACAGTGTCACTGCCAGGAAGGAGGGTGATGCTAGCCATGTCACCGGTAGTGTGTCCCGCAGGGACGCCGACTTGCTGGAGCGTCTTGCCAGCATGGGCTCTGGCAGCCACGTGGGCCAGCAGGAGGGTCCCGCTGCACAGCTGTGGGGTGAGGATAGACTGGGTGGTGATATCGGAAATGACAGGGGCCTCTTCTGCTGGCAAGAGTGTGACAGTAGCAAGTAGGTGGACAGGCCTGCGTGTGAGGACGGAATGCAGGAGCGGGTCTTGTGCGGCTGGGTGTGGGGCCCTCACGGGAACCGTGGAGTAATGGCCAGGTAACTGCGTCATGTGGGCTACTAGACTGGCCAGGGCTTCGTACTGAAGGACAATAACGGGGAGTAGCTGTCAGGCCCTCGGAGTGTCTGAGTGTAAGTGGAGATGGGTTTGGGGTCACTGAGGGATGCGTGGGAGCCATCCCTGTATAGGTACAGGTCATAGGGAGATAGTCTCGTGTGGCCTGTGAGTTTCTAGGGTTATCCTGGGTGCCTGGGGCTGACTGTGGCAGAAATCTGGGGAAGGCGGGAGAGAAGCTGGGAGACCCAGGAGAGTCCCTGAAGGCAGGGGGTGAAGAGGTGAAAGAAATGGTGGAGGGTTGCAGTAAGGTCCGTGAGTTTGTAGGTGATTCCTGGGTGCGGGAAGCTGACTCCAGGTGAAATCTGGAGATGTTTGGAGAGTAGCTGAGAGAGACAGAAGAGTCCCTGAGGGCTGGGGGTGAGAACATGAGGGAGACTGGGGTGTAAGTCAGTGAAATTCGTGAGTTCGGTGGTGTATCGTGGGTGCCTGGAACTGACTCCAGCTGGAATCTAGAGAAGTTTTGAGAGTAGCTGAAAGAGACACGAGAGTCCCTGTGGGCTGAGGGCAAAGACCTGAGAGAGACCAGGGAGGACTTCAGTGAAGTCTGTGAGTCCGTAGGTGATTCTGGAGTGTGGGAGGCTGACTCCCGCTGAAATCTGGGCGTGGTGGGGGAGTAGCTGGGACAGACAGGAGAGTCCCAGGGGGCTGGGGGTGAAGACATGAGAGAGACTGGGGAGTAACTCAGTGAAACTGCTGAGTTTGTAGGTGATACATGGGTGCCTGGGACTGACGCCCGCCGAAATCTGGGCATGGTTGGAGAGTAGCTGCGACACACAGGAGAGTCCCTGAGGGTTGAAGATAAAGACGTGCTAGAGACTGAGGTGTAACTGAGTGAAATAGGTGAGTTTGGTGGTGATTCCGGGGTGCCTGGAACTGACTCCAGCTGCAATGTGGGCGTGGTTGGAGAGTAGCTGGGACAGATGGGAGAGTCCCTGAGGGATGGTGAAGACATGAGAGAGACTGGGGAGTAACGCAGTGAAATTGGTGAGTTTGGTGGTGATTTCTGGGTGCCTGCAACGGACTCCCACTGAAGTGTGGGCGTGTTTGGAGAGTAGCTGGGACAGACAGGCGAGTCCCTGAGGGTTGGAGATAAAGACGTGCTAGAGACTGGGGAGTAACTCAGTGAAAGTGGTGGGCTTGGCGGTGATCCCTGGGTTCCTGGAACTGACCCTCGCTGAAATGTGGGCGTGGTTGGAGAGTAGCTGGGACAGACTGGAGGGTCCCTGAGGGCTGGGGGTGAAGACATGAGAGAGACCGGGGAGTAACTGAGTGAAACTGGTGAGTTTGGTGGTGACTCCGGGGTGCCTGGAACTGACTGCAGCTGAAATGTGGGCATGGTTGGAGAGTAGCTGGGACAGACAGGAGAGTCCCTGAGGGCTGGTGAAGACATGAGAGAGACTGGAGAGTAATTGAGTGAAATTGGGGAGTTTGGTGGTGATTCCTGGGTGCCTGGAACTGACTCCTGCTGAAATCTGGGCATGGTCGGAGAGTAGCTGGGACCCACAGGAGAGTCCCTGAGGGCTGGGGGTGCAGACATGAGAGAGACCGGGGAGTAACTGAGTGAAACTGGTGAGTTTGGTGGTGACACTGGGGTGCCTGGAACTGACTCCAGCTGAAATGTGGGCGTGGTTGGAGAGTAGCTGGGACAGACAGGAGAGTCCTTGAGGGCTGGGGGTGCAGACATGAGAGAGACCGGGGAGTAACTGAGTGAAACTGGTGAGTTAGGTGGTGACTCCGGGGTGCCTGGAACTGACTCCAGCTGAAATGTGGGCGTGGTTGGAGAGTAGCTGGGACAGACAGGAGAGTCCCTGAGGGTTGGAGATAAAGACGTGCTAGAGACTGGGGAGTAATGGAGTGAAATTGGTGAGTTTGGAGGTGATTCCGGGGTGCCTGTAACTGACTCCAGATGCAAAGTGGGCGTGGTTGGAGAGTAGCTGGGACAGACGGGAGAGTCCCTGAGGGATGGTGAAGACATGAGAGAGACTGGGGAGTAACGCAGTGAAATTGGTGAGTTTGGTGGTGATTTCTGGGTGCCTGCAACGGACTCCCGCTGAAGTGTGGGCGTGTTTGGAGAGTAGCTGGGACAGTCAGGCGAGTCCCTGAGGGTTGGAGATAAAGACGTGCTAGAGACTGGGGAGTAACTCAGTGAAAGTGGTGGGCTTGGCGGTGATCCCTGGGTTCCTGGAACTGACCCGCGCTGAAATGTGGGCGTGGTTGGAGAGTAGCTGGGACAGACTAGAGGGTCCGTAAGGGCTGGGGGTGAAGACGTGAGAGAGACTGGCCAGGATCTCATTGAGGTCTGAGAGTTTGTAGGTGTTTCTGGGGTGTGGGGTACAGACTCCCGCTGAAATGTGGGCGTGGTTGGAGAGTAGCTGGGACAGACAGGAGAGTCATGGGTTGCTGGGGGTGAGCTGCTGTATGATGGCAGTAAGAACATATGGTATATTATTGATGAATGAGGTGACTGTGAAGAATCTCCAGAGGAGGACACGGGAGAACACAATGACATGAGTGACTGTCCTGCTTGGTTAGGAAAGGGAAACGTAAAGCTGTGGAATTCTGTTGATGATGGATGTGAGAGTGGTGAAGCCCTGCGGGATGATGTAGAGTACTTCCACATCCCTGGTGAGGAGCTGCCCCTTGGGTCTGAGTTTCTGGGAGGGGAGAGGGAGAAGCTGGGTGAGGCAGGCATGAATCTTGAGGAGTCAGGGCTGGGGGACCGCTCATATTATCCCGAGACCTGTGATTCCCTGGGGGACTCCTGGGTGCATGGGGCTGACTCCCGCAGGAACCTGGGGATGGCTGGAGAGTAACTGGGAGCCACAGGAGAGTCCCTGAGGCCTGGGGGTGAAGAGATGAAAGACACAGGGGTGGAGCACCGCGAGGCTCGTGAGTTTGTAGGTGATTCCTGGGTGTGGGGGACTGACTCCAGCTGAAATCTGGGGTTGTTTGGAGAGTAGCTGGGAGACACAGGAGACCCCCCGAGAGCTGGGGGTGAGCTGCTGGGTGATGGCAGTAAGAACATGTGGTATATTATTGATGAACCTGGGGACTCTGAGGAATCCTCAGAGGAGGACACGAGAGAGCCCGATGGCTTCATTGATTGCCCATCACGGTGAGGACAGGGAAATGGGAGCTTGTGGGATTCTGGTGATGACAGAGATGAGTGTGGTGAAGCCCTAGGGGATGGTGAATGGTAGCTCCGGATCCCTGGTGAGGAGCTTCCCCTTAAGCCTGAGATTCTGAGAGGGGAGGGGGAGAAGCTGGGTGAGGCTAGCATGGACCTTGGGGAGTCCAGGCTGGGGGACCGTTCATAAGAAGAGCCAGACAAGACCCTACTGTTCTTAGGTGCAGACATGATTAGGAAACCTGCAGCTCCCAGGGGCCCCTACTAATTTTCTAACTCGCAGAAGGAAGGAGTGTGTGTGCGTGTGTGTGCGTGTGTGTGTGTGTGTGCGTGTGTGTGTTTCTGTGTGTGCGGTGTGAGGTATGTGCCCCTTAAGAAAATGGAAATCAACCAACCAATGAGACAGACAGACAGACAGACAGACAGACAGACAGACAGACAGAGATTCACTTGCCCAAGTGTTCTGTCCTGTCCTCTGAATCCGCCTCCAAGTCGCAAGACGCCGTGAGCTCCAAGTCCACGCAGAGTCCGCCAAACGCTCCGGCCGCTGATCCGCTCCGCGAAGATCTGAGTATAGGCCAGCCAGGGTGGGTTTAAATTGCCTCGGGCGCAGCCTAGCAGCAGAAAGGGCGGAGCTTCACTCCTCCTTTCCATCAGTCACCCCTAACTTTCCCAGGCTACACCTGGTAGGAAACTGTTCTCCTGCTTTGATTTCATGCGCCAACTTTGGGACAATCTAAGAACTTCCAAGTTTTCTTGGCCAGATATATTAGGAATTGTATGCACTGAAACACTGAAAACCAACCAGTGGTTCTGTGGTTCCCACGTTGTGGTTTCGACACCAGCAGCATCCTTGCCACAATCAAATCCCGGAGATCCACAGATCTGTGTTGCAACAAGACCTCCCCCTGACCCTGATGCATGGCAGTTTAAGAAGTCTTTCCGTGTAAGCGAAAAGACTTTGAAGAAAAGGTGGAGATATGCGTTGTATAAACATTCTTTTGCTCTGGAACCACGTGGAGACTTGGGAGCCAGTTGGGTGGAGCATTCGTTGGATGAGGGTGCTCGGGTTCGGAATATCAAGGTGTGTGTCCAGACGATCCAATCATCTAATTAAGATTCCAGTTTTGCTCATCTGTTTTAAAATTCCGTTTGGGTAACTTCTTTTATTCAGACTGAGAATGGCAAAGCCTCAACCCCAATTTCCAGGGAGGGTTGAGAGCCTCAGGTGGAGTTGATCACCAATAGCCTATGGTTTAACCCATCATGCCTATAGAATGAGGTCTCCATAAAAACCCAAAAGGACTGGGTTCAGAGAGCTTCTGGATAACACTTCCTGGGAGGTAGTGCGCCCCTCCCCACATGCCGGGCCCCACATTTATTTCTGAACTTTTTGCAATGTCCGCTAAAATACAACGGCAAATGTAAGTGTTTCCCTGAGTGCCGTGAGCTCTTCCAGCAAATGAATGCAACTAAATCTGGGAGTGGTGGCAACCTGATTTATAGCCAGTTGCTGAGAAGCACAGGTAAAACAACGTAGGGCTTCCCGTTGTTACTAGTGTGGGAGGCCTGCCTGGCAGGACTCGGCCCTTTGGAATCTAATGCTATGTCCCGGTAGATAGCGTCACCATTGAATTAGAAGACACACATATGTTGAGAATAATCTTTCTGGTCATTTGCTGCATGTCTTATTTACAATATGTAATCAAATTCCTTATCCTGACCTTATGGCACCTGGGTTGAGAACCATGATTTGAACCAAACATTGGTCTGTCACTTTCTGAGTTTGAAACTTTATTTTGCCTTTAGCGTTTTGCTACTGCTTTTTCGTTTTCTTTTGTTTCGTTTCGATTCTAAGTTGTGGGGTATATGTGCAGGATGGGCAGATTTGTTACTAAGGTAAACGTGTGCCATGGTGGTTTGCTGCACCTGTCAACCCATCACCTAGGTATTAAGCCCAGCATGCAGTAGCTGTTTTTCTTAACGCTCTGCCTCCCGAAAGGCCCCAGTGTGTGTTGTTCCCCTTCCTGTGTCCATGTGATCTCATTTTTCAGCTCCCATTATAAGTGAGAATGTGGCGTTTGGTTTTCTTTCCCTGGATTAGTTTGCTGAGGATAATGACCACACATCACCACTGTTTTTGTTTTTTAGTATAAAGAGTAGCGTTTTATTCAATAAGATTTGCTCACAGAAAAATAATCTTAAATCTACAATGAATGCCAGACTCTACAGCAGAAAGGAATTTTCTCACTTTTCCACACACAATGGTTCCTACTAAGTGAAAAAAAGCCATAAAATTTCATTCACAAATGTACTACTCTGTCTCAAAACATCTCACATAATCATACACTGTACTAAAGCCATTAGATCAGTGCTTCAGTCAGGTTAAAGAAGTATCCCTCTAATAACTGACTTTTATAATGCTATCAATATGCACTCCCCATCAGTCTGCCATTGTTAATGGTGTACAGCATTACTGTATACAATGGAATTGATGACACCCATATCCACGGACAAACCGTGACTTATGATGGTTTGATTCATGATTTTTCAACGTTATGATGGGTTTATTGGAATATTAGATGCGTTTCTGAGTTACACTGGGTTTATGAGTATGCGACCCTATACTCCAGAAACAGCTGTATAAGGAAAAACAGGTGTACCTAATAAAAATATGCTTAGTGACTTGCGATACACCAATAGATGTTCACAACTGATGGATAGCCGTGAAAGAGAGATAGCGGTAAATAGTTACAATAACACAATTTTCCTGCACCTGTTGAGGATTTCCCCAAGAAAACGCAGAATGTGGGATGCACCTAAGGCATGTGAAAGTGAGAGGGCAGAAGGAGTAAGAGAGAAATAGGAGGAAGGAAGGAAGGAAGGAAAGAAGGAAGGTAGGAAGGAAGGAAGGAAGGAAGGAAAGAAGGAAGGAAGGACGGAAAGAAGGACGAAAGGAAGGAGAAAACACCCGGTGTTACTAAAACCCCCCAAAAATATGGTTTCCCCCTGTGGGTAAGCCTACAATGTGGAGGAATCTTGAAAATATTGTGCTACGTGTTATGTCAGTCATAACAGCTCACCTATTGTGCAATTCCGTTTAAAGGAAATGTCCACAATATGGAAATCTCTGCATATGTGGTTGATCGCACTAGCTAGTTGCTACCTAGGGCTGAGGGTCAGGGAGAGGGTTTGAGACAGAATGAGGAGTGACTAATGTCTACAGGGTTTTTCTCTGGTCGGGGGTGATAAGACATTCTACAATGGATTGCGAATTAAAATTGAATGTGCACAACCACAGGTGTACTAAAAGCCACTCAATTCATGACTTTTAATGGGGGAATCTTATGTGGCGCACTCTCATGGAGACCACGGCAGACATAGTGAGAGAGAAAAAGGTGAGTGAATATCTGAAACGGAGGCAGAAACAGAGAGAATGAAAAGCCCTGTGAATGGAAGGGAGAGCGAAAAGGGAAAATGGTCCTATTTCCAAATGACAGATGTGAAACTGGGGTTCACATCAACAGTGTCACTGCCAGGAAGGAGGGTGATGCTAGCCATGTCACCGGTAGTGCGTCCCGCAGGGACGCCGACCTGCTGGAGCGTCGTGCCAGCATGGGCTCTGTCAGCCACGTGGGCCAGCAGGAGGGTCCCGCTGCACAGCTGTGGGGTGAGGATAGACTGGGTGGTGATATCGGCCATGACGGGGGCCTCTTCTGCTGGCAAGAGTGTGACAGTAGCAAGTAGATGGACAGGCCTGCGTGTGAGGACGGAATGCAGGAGCGGCTCTTGTGCGGCTGGGTGTGGGGCCCTCACGGGAACCGTGGAGTAATGGCCAGGTAACTGCGTCATGTGGGCTAGTAGATTGGCCAGGGCTTCGAACTGAAGGACAATAACGGGGAGTAGCTGTCAGGCCCTGGGAGTGTCTGAGTGTAAGTGGAGATGGGTTTGGGATCACTGAGGGATGCGTGGGAGCCATCCCTGTATAGGTACAGGTCATAGGGAGATACTCTCGTGAGGCCTGTGAGTGTCTAGGGTTGTCCTGGGTGCCTGGGGCTGACTGTGGCAGAAATCTGGGGAAGGCTGGAGAGAAGCTGGGAGACCCAGGAGAGTCCCTGAAGGCAGGGGGTGAAGAGGTGAAAGAAATGGGGGAGGGTTGCAGTAAGGTCCGTGAGTTTGTAGGTGATTCCTGGGTGCGGGAAGCTGACTCCAGGTGAAATCTGGAGATGGTTGGAGAGTAGCTGAGAGAGGCAGAAGAGTCCCTGAGGGCTGGGGGTGAGAACATGAGGGAGACTGGGGAGTAAGTCAGTGAAATTCGTGAGTTCGGTGTTGTATCGTGGGTGCCTGGAACTGACTCCAGCTGGAATCTAGAGAAGTTTTGAGAGTAGCTGAAAGAGACACAAGAGTCCCTGTGGGCTGAGGGCAAAGACCTGAGAGAGACCAGGGAGGACCTCAGTGAAGTCTGTGAGTCCGTAGGTGATTCTGGAGTGTGGGAGGCTGACTCCCGCTGAAATCTGGGCGTGGTGGGGGAGTAGCTGGGACAGACAGGAGAGTCCCAGGGGGCTGGGGGTGAAGACATGAGAGAGACTGGGGAGTAACTCAGTGAAACTGCTGAGTTTGTAGGTGATACCTGGGTGCCTGGAACTGACTCCCGCTGAAATCTGGGCATGGTTGGAGAGTATCTGGGACACACAGGAGAGTCCCTGAGGGCTGGGGGTGAAGACATGAGAGAGTCCGGGGAGTAACTGAGTGAAACTGGTGAGTTTGGTGGTGACTCCGGGTTGCCTGGAACTGACTCCAGCTGAAATGTGGGCGTGGTTGGAGAGTAGCTGGGACAGACAGGAGAGTCCCTGAGGGCTGGTGAAGACATGAGAGAGACTGGAGAGTAATTGAGTGAAATTGGTGAGTTTGGTGGTGATTCCTGGGTGCCTGGAACTGACTCCCGCTGAAGTGTGGGCGTGGTTGGAGAGTAGCTGGGACACACAGGAGAGTCCCTGAGGGTTGGAGATAAAGACGTGCTAGAGACTGAGGAGTAACTGAGTGAAACTGGTGAGTTTGGTGGTGATTCCGGGGTGCCTGGAACTGACTCCAGCTGCAATGTGGGCGTCGTTGGAGAGTAGCTGGGACAGACGGGAGAGTCCCTGAGGGATGGTGAAGACATGAGAGAGACTGCGGAGTAACGCAGTGAAATTGATGAGTTTGGTGGTGATTTCTGGGTGCCTGCAACGGACTCCGGCTGAAGTGTGGGCGTGTTTGGAGAGTAGCTGGGACAGACAGGCGAGTCCCTGAGGGTTGGAGATAAAGACGTGCTAGAGACTGGGGAGTAACTCAGTGAAAGTGGTGGGCTTGGCGGTGATCCCTGGGTTCCTGGAACTGACCCGCGCTGAAATGTGGGCGTGGTTGGAGAGTACCTGGGACAGACAGGAGAGTCATGGGTGGCTGGTGGTGAGCTGCTGGATGATGGCAGGAAGAACATGTGGTATATTATTGATGAATGAGGTGACTGTGAAGAATCTCCAGAGGAGGACACGGGAGAACACAATGACATGAGTGACTGTCCTGCTTGGTTAGGAAAGGGAAACGTAAAGCTGTGGAATTCTGTTGATGATGGATGTGAGAGTGGTGAAGCCCTGCGGGATGATGTAGAGTACTTCCATATCCCTGGTGAGGAGCTGCCCCTTGGGTCTGAGTTTCTGGGAGGGGAGAGGGAGAAGCTGGGTGAGGCAGGCATGAATCTTGAGGAGTCAGGGCTGGGGGACCGCTCATATTCTCCCGAGACCTGTGAGTCTCTGGGGGACTCCTGGGTGCATGTGGCTGACTCCCGCAGGAACCTGGGGATGGCTGGAGAGTAACTGGGAGCCACAGGAGAGTCCCTGAGGCCTGGGGGTGAAGAGATGAAAGACACAGGGGTGGAGCACCGTGAGGCTCGTGAGTTTGTAGGTGATTCCTGGGTTTGGGGGGCTGACTCCAGCTGAAATCTGGGGTTGTTTGGAGAGTAGCTGGGAGACACAGGACACCCCCTGAGAGCTGGGGGTGAGCTGCTGGGTGATGGCAGTAAGAACATGTGGTATATTATTGATGAACCTGGGGACTCTGAGGAATCCTCAGAGGAGGACAGAGGAGAGCCCGATGGCTTCATTGATTGCCCATCACGGTGAGGACAGGGAAATGGGAGCTTCTGGGATTCTGGTGATGACAGAGGTGAGTGTGGTGAAGCCCTAGAGGATGGTGAATGGTAGCTCCGGATCCCTGGTGAGGAGCTTCCCCTTAAGCCTGAGTTTCTGAGATGGGAGAGGGAGAAGCTGGGTGAGGCTCACATGGACCTTGGGGAGTCCAGGCTTGGGGACCGTTCATAAGAAGAGTCAGACAAGTCCCTACGGTTCTTTGGTGCAGACATGATTAGGAAACCTGCAGCTCCCAGGGGCCCCTACTAATTTTCTAACTCGCAGAAGGAAGGAGTGTGTGTGCGTGTGTGTGCGTGTGTGTGTGTGTGCGTGTGTGTGTTTCTGTGTGTGCGGTGTTAGGAATGTGCCCCTTAAGAAAATGGAAATCAACCAACCAATGAGACAGACACACAGACAGACAGACAGACAGACAGAGATTCACTTGCCCAAGTGTTCTGTCCTGTCCTCTGAATCCGCTTCCAAGTCGCAAGACGCCGTGAGCTCCAAGCCCACGCAGAGTCCGCCAAACGCTCCGGCCGCTGATCCGCTCCGCGAAGATCTGAGTACAGGCCAGCCAGGGTGGGTTTAAATAGCCTCGGGCGCAGCCTAGCAGCGGAAAGGGCGGAGCTTCACTCCTCCTTTCCATCAGTCACCCCCAACTTTCCCAGGCTACACCTCTAGGAAACTGTTCTCCTGCTTTGATTTCATGCGCCACCTTTGGGACAATCTAAGAACTTCGAAGTTTTCTTGGCCAGATATATTAGGAATTGTATGCACTGAAACACTGAAAACCAACCAGTGGTTCTGTGGTTCCCACGTTGTGGTTTCGACACCAGCAGCATCCTTGCCACAATCAAACCCCGGAGATCCACAGATCTGTGTTGCAACAAGACCTCCCCCTGACCCTGATGCATGGCAGTTTAAGAAGTCTTTCCGTGTAAGCGAAAAGACTTTGAAGAAAAAGTAGAGATATGCGTTATATAAACATTCTTTTGCTCTGGAACCAGGTGGAGACTTGGGAGCCAGTTGGGTGGAGCATTCGTTGGATGAGGGTGCTCCGGTTTGGAATATCAAGGTGTGTGTCCAGACGATCCAATCATCTAATTAAGAGTCCAGTTATGCTCATCTGTTTTAAAATTCCGTTTGGGTAAATTCTTTTAGTCAGACTGAGAATGGCAAAGCCTCAACCCCAATTTCCAGGGAGGGTTGAGAGCCTCAGGTGGAGTTGATCACCAATAGCCTATGGTTTAACCCATCATGCCTATAGAATGAGGTCTCCATAAAAACCCAAAAGGACTGGGTTCAGAGAGCTTCTGGAAAACACTTCCTGGAAGGCAGTGCGCCCCTCCCCACATGCTGGTCCCCACATTTATTTCTGAACTTCTTGCAATGTCCGCTAAAATACAACGGCAAATGTAAGTGTTTCCCTGCGTGCTGTGAGCTCTTCCAGCCAATGAATGCAACTAAATCTGGGAGTGGTGGCAACCTGATTTATAGCCAGGTGCTGAGAAGCACAGGTAAAACAACGTAGGGCTTCCCGTTGTTATTAGTGTGGGAGGCCTGTCTGGCGGGACTCGGCCCTTTGGAATCTAATGCTATGTCCCGGTAGATAGCGTCACCATTGAATTAGAAGACACACATATGTTGAGAATAATCTTTCTGGTCATTTGCTGCATGTCTTATTTACAATATGTAATCAAATTCTTTATCCTGACTTTATGGCACCTGGGTTGAGAACCATGATTTGAACCAAACATTGGTCTGTCACTTTCTGAGTTGGAAACTTTATTTTGCCTTTAGCGTTTTGCTATTGCTTTTTCGTTTTCTTTTGTGTCGTTTCGTTTCTAAGTTCTGGGGTAGATGTGCAGGATGTGCAGATTTGTTACTAAGGTAAACGTGTGCCATGGTGGTTTGCTGCACCTGTCAACCCATCACCTAGGTATTAAGCCCAGCATGCAGTAGCTGTTTTTCTTAACGCTCTGCCTCCAGAAAGGCCCCAGTGTGTGTTGTTCCCTTTCCAGTGTCCATGTGATCTCATTCTTCAGCTCCCATTATAAGTGAGAATGTGGCGTTTGGTTTCCTTTCCCTGGATTAGTTTGCTGAGGATAATGACCACACATCACCACTGTTTTTGTTTTTTAGTATAAAGAGTAGTATTTTATTGAATAAGATTTGCTCACAGAAAAATAAGCTTAAATCTACAATGAATGCCATACTCTACAGCAGAAAGCAATTTTCTCACTTTTCCACACACAATGGTTCCTACTAAGTGAAAAAAAGCCATAAAATTTCATTCACAAATGTACTACTCTGTCTCAAAACATCTCACATAATCATGCACTGTACTAAAGCTATTAGATCAGTTCTTCAGTCAGGTTAAAGAAGTATCCCTCTAATAAATGACTTTTATAATGCTATCAACATCCACTCCCAATCAGTCTGCCATTGTTAATGGTGTACAGCATTACTGAATACAATGAAATTGATGACACCCATATCCACGGACAAACCGTGACTTATGATGGTTTGATTCATGATTTTTGAACGTTATGATGGGTTTATTGGAATATTAGATGCGTCTCTGAGTTACACTGGGTTTATGAGTATGCGACCCTATACTCCAGAAACAGCTGTATAAGGAAAAACAGGTGTACCTAATAAAAATATGCTTAGTGACTTGCGATAAACCAATAGATGTTCACAACTGACGGAGAGCCGTGAAAGAGAGATAGCGGTAAATAGTTACAATAACACAATTTTCCTGCACCTTTCGAGGATTTCCCCCAAAAAACGCAGAATGTGGGATGCACCTAAGGCATATGAAAGAGAGAGGGCAGGAGTAAGAGAGAAATAGGAGGAAGGAAGGAAGGAAGGAAAGAAGGAAGGTTGTAAGGAAGGAAGGAAGGAAGGAAGGAAGGAAAGAAGGACGAAAAGAAGGAGAAAACACCCGGTATTACTAAAAGACCCCAAAAACATGGTTTCCCCCTGTGGGTCAGCCTACAATGTGGATGAATCTTGAAAATATTGTGCTACGTGTTATGTCAGTCATAACAGCTCACCAATTGTGCAATTCCGTTTGTAGGAAATGTCCACAATATGGAAATCTGTGCATATGGGGTTAATCGCACTAGCTAGTTGCTACCTAGGGCTGAGGGTCAGGAAGAGGGTTTGAGAGGGAATGAGGAGTGACTAATGTCTACAGGGTTTTTCTCTGGTCGGGGGTGATAAGACGTTCTACAATGGATTGCGAATTAAAATTGAATGTGCACAACCACAGGTATACTAAAAGCCACTCAATTCATGACTTTTAATGGGGGAATCTTATGTGGCGCACTCTCATGGAGACCACGGCAGACATAGTGAGAGAGAAAAAGGTGAGTGAATATCTGAAACGGAGGCAGAAACAGAGAGAATGAAAAGCCCTGTGAATGGAAGGGAGAGCGAAAAGGGAAAATGGTCCTATTTACAAATGACAGATGTGAAACTGGGGTTCACATCAACAGTGTCACTTCCAGGAAGGAGGGTGATGCTAGCCATGTCACGGGTAGTGTGTCCCGCAGGGACGCCGACCTGCTGGAGCGTCGTGCCAGCATGGGCTCTGGCAGCCACGTGGGCCAGCAGGAGGGTCCCGCTGCACAGCTGTGGGGTGAGGATAGACTGGGTGGTGATATCGGCCATGACAGGGGCCTCTTCTGCTGGCAAGAGTGTGACAGTAGCAAGTAGATGGACAGGCCTGCGTGTGAGGACGGAATGCAGGAGGGGCTCTTGTGCGGCTGGGTGTAGGGCCCTCACGGGAACCGTGGAGTAATGGCCAGGTAACTGCGTCATGTGGACTAGTAGATTGGCCAGAGCTTCGAACTGAAGGACAATAACGGGGAGTAGCTGTCAGGCCCTGGGAGTGTCTGAGTGTAAGTGGATATGGCTTTGGGGTCACTGAGGGATGCGTGGGAGCCATCCCTGTATAGGTACAGGTCATAGGGAGATAGTCTCATGAGGCCTGTGAGTGTCTAGGGTTGTCCTGGGTGCCTGGGGCTGACTGTGGCAGATATCTGGGGAAGGTTGGAGAGAAGCTGGGAGACACAGGGGAGTCACTGAAGGCAGGGGGTGAAGAGGTGGAAGAAACGGGGGAGGTTTGCAGTAAGTTCCGTGAGTTCGTAGGTGATTCCTGGGTGCGGGAAGCTGACTCCAGGTGAAATCTGGAGATGGTTGGAGAGTAGCTGAGAGAGACAGAAGAGTACCTGAGGGCTGGGGGTGAGAACATGAGGGAGACTGGGGAGTAAGTCAGTGAAATTCGTGAGTTCGGGGGTGTATCGTGGTTGCCTGGAACTGACACCAGCTGGAATCTAGAGAAGTTTTGAGAGTAGCTGAAAGAGACACAAGAGTCCCTATGGGCTGAGGGCAAAGACCTGAGAGAAACCAGGGAGGACCTCAGTGAAGTCTGTGAGTCCGTAGGTGATTCTGGAGTGTGGGAGGCTGACTCCGGCTGAAATCTGAGCGTGGTGGGAGAGTAGCTTGGAGAGACAGGAGAGTCCCAGGGGGCTGTGGGTGAAGACATGAGAGAGACTGGGGAGTAACTCAGTGAAACTGCTGAGTTTGTAGGTGATACCAGGGTGCCTGGAACTGACTCCCGCTGAAGTCTGGGCATGGTTGGAGAGTAGCTGGGAAACACAGGAGAGTCCCTGAGGGTTGG
The DNA here is from genome assembly GCF_000001405.40 of Homo sapiens. Taxonomy (NCBI): domain Eukaryota; kingdom Metazoa; phylum Chordata; class Mammalia; order Primates; family Hominidae; genus Homo; species Homo sapiens. The sequence continues at coordinate 49,310,927 of NC_000004.12, read as the reverse complement.
AGATAAAGACGTGCTAGAGACTGAGGAGTAACTGAGTGAAACTGGTGAGTTTGGTGGTGTTTCCGGGGTGCCTGGAACTGACTCCAGCTGCAATGTGGGCGTGGTTGGAGAGTAGCTGGGACAGACGGGAGAGTCCTTGAGGGATGGTGAAGACATGAGAGAGACTGGGGAGTAACGCAGTGAAATTGGTGAGTTTGGTGGTGATTTCTGGGTGCCTGCAACGGACTCCGGCTGAAGTGTGGGCGTGTTTGGAGAGTAGCTGGGACAGACAGGCGAGTCCCTGAGGGTTGGAGATAAAGACGTGCTAGAGACTGGGGAGTAACTCAGTGAAAGTGGTGGGCTTGGCGGTGATCCCTGGGTTCCCGGAACCGACCCGCGCTGAAATGTGGGCGTGGTTGGAGAGTAGCTGGGACAGACTGGAGGGTCCGTAAGGGCTGGGGGTGAAGACGTGAGAGAGACTGGCCAGGATCTCCCTGAGGTCTGTGAGTTTGTAGGTGTTGCTGGGGTGTGGGGTACAGACTGCCGCTGAAATGTGGGCGTGGTTGGAGAGTAGCTGGGACAGACAGGAGAGTCATGGGTGGCTGGGGGTGAGCTGCTGGATGATGGCAGTAAGAACATATGGTATATTATTGATGAATGAGGTGACTGTGAAGAATCTCCAGAGGAGGACACGGGAGAACACAATGACATGAGTGACTGTCCTGCTTGGTTAGGAAAGGGAAACGTAAAGCTGTGGAATTCTGTTGATGATGGATGTGAGAGTGGTGAAGCCCTGTGGGATGATGTAGAGTACTTCCACATCCCTGGTGAGGAGTTGCCCCTTGGGTCTGAGTTTCTGAGAGGGGAGAGGGAGAAGCTGGGTGAGGCAGGCATGAATCTTGAGGAATCAGGGCTGGGGGACCGCTCATATTCTCCCGAGACCTGTGAGTCTCTGGGGGACTCCTGGGTGCATGGGGCTGACTCCTGCAGGAACCTGGGGATGGCTGGAGAGTAACTGGGAGCCACAGGAGAGTCCCTGAGGCCTGGGGGTGAAGAGATGAAAGACACAGGGGTGGAGCACCGTGAGGCTCGTGAGTTTGTAGGTGATTCCTGGGTGTGGGCAGCTGACTCCAGCTGAAATCTGGGGTTGTTTGGAGAGTAGCTGGGAGACACAGGACACCCCCCGAGAGCTGGGGGTGAGCTGCTGGGTGATGGCAGTAAGAACATGTGGTATATTATTGATGAACCTGGGGACTCTGAGGAATCCTCAGAGGAGGACAGAGGAGAGCCCGATGGCTTCATTGATTGCCCATCACGGTGAGGACAGGGAAATGGGAGCTTGTGGGATTCTGGTGATGACAGAGGTGAGTGTGGTGAAGCCCTAGGGGATGGTGAATGGTAGCTCCGGATCCCTGGTGAGGAGCTTCCCCTTAAGCCTGAGTTTCTGAGAGGGGAGAAGGAGAAGCTGGGTGAGGCTCGCATGGACCTTGGGGAGTCCGGGCTGGGGGACCGTTCATAAGAAGAGCCAGACAAGACCCTACTGTTCTTAGGTGCAGACATGATTAGGAAACCTGCAGCTCCCAGGGGCCCCTACTAATTTTCTAACTCGCAGAAGGAAGGAGTGTGTGTGCGTGTGTGTGAGTGTGTGCGTGTGTGTGCGTGTGTGTGTGTCTGTGTGTGTGTGGTGTGAGGTATTTGCCCCTTAAGAAAATGGAAATCAACCAACCAATGAGACAGACACACAGACAGACAGACAGACAGACAGACAGAGATTCACTTGCCCAAGTGTTCTGTCCTGTCCTCTGAATCCGCCTCCAAGTCGCAAGACGCCGTGAGCTCCAAGTCCACGCAGAGTCCGCCAAAGGCTCTGGCCGCTGATCCCCTCCGCGAAGATCTGAGTACAGGCCAGCCAGGGTGGGTTTAACACCGGGTGTTTTCTACTTCCTTTCGTCCTTCTTTCCTTCCTTCCTTCCTTCCTTCTTTCCTTCCTTCCTTCCTACCTTCCTTCTTTCCTTCCTTCCTTCCTTCCTCCAATTTCTCTCTTACTCCTTCTGCCCTCTCTCTTTCATATGCCTTAGGTGCATCCCACATTCTGCGTTTTTTTGGGGAAATCCTCCACAGGTGCAGGAAAATTGTGTTATTGTAACTATTTACCGCTATCTCTGTTTCACGGCTCTCCATCAGTTGTGAACATGTATTGGTTTATCGCAAGTCACTAAGCATATTTTTATTAGGTACACATGTTTTTCCTTATACAGCTGTTTCTGGAGTAGAGGGTCGCATACTCATAAACCCAGTGTAACTCAGAAACGCATCTAATATTCCAATAAACCCATCATAACGTTGAAAAATCTTGAATCAAACCATCATAAGTCACGGTTTGTCCGTGGATATGGGTGTCATCAATTCCATTGTATACAGTAATGCTGTACACCATTAACAATGGCAGACTGATTGGGAGTGCATATTGATAGCATTATAAAAGTCAGTTATTAGAGGGATACTTCTTTAACCTGACTGAAGCAGTGATCTAATGGCTTTAGTACAGTGCATGATTATGTGAGATGTTTTGATACAGAGTAGCACATTTGTGAATGAAATTTTATGGCTTTTTTTCACTTAGTAGGAACCATTGTGTGTGGAAAAGTGAGAAAATTCCTTTCTTCTGTAAGGTCTGGCATTCATTGTAGATTTAAGCTTATTTTTCTGTGAGCAAATCTTATTCAATAAAATACTACTCTTTATACTAAAAAACAAAAACAGTGGTGATGTGTGGTCATTATCCTCAGCAAACTAATCCAGGGAAAGAAAACAAAACGCCACATTTTCACTTATAATGGGAGCTGAAGAATGAGATCACATGGACACAGGAAGGGGAACAACACACACTGGGGCCTTTCGGGAGGCAGAGCATTAAGAAAAACAGCTACTGCATGCTGGGCTTAATACCTAGGTGATGGGTTGACAGGTGCAGCAAACCACCATGGCACACGTTTACCTTAGTAACAAATCTGCCCATCCTGCACATATACCCAACAACCTAGAATCGAAACGAAACAAAAGAAAACGAAAACGAAAAAGCAGTAGCAAAACGCTAAAGGCAAAATAAAGTTTCCAACTCAGAAAGTGACAGACCAATGTTTGGTTCAAATCATGGTTCTCAACCCAGGTGCCATAAGGTCAGGATAAAGAATTTGATTACATATTGTAAATAAGACATGCAGCAAATGACCAGAAAGATTATTCTCAACATATGTGTGTCTTCTAATTCAATGGTGACGCTATCTACCGGGACATAGCATTAGATTCCAAAGGGCCGAGTCCCGCCAGGCAGGCCTCCCACACTAGTAACAACGGGAAGCCCTACGTTGTTTTACCTGTGCTTCTCAGCAACTGGCTATAAATCAGGTTGCCACCACTCCCAGATTTAGTTGCATTCATTTGCTGGAAGAGCTCACGGCACTCAGAGAAACACTTACATTTGCCGTTGTATTTTAGCGGACATTGCAAAAAGTTCAGAAATAAATGTGGGGCCCGGCATGTGGGGAGGGGCGCACTACCTTCCAGGAAGTGTTATCCAGAAGCTCTCTGAACCCAGTCCTTTTGGGTTTTTATGGAGACCTCATTCTATAGGCATGATGGGTTAAACCATAGGCTATTGGTGATCAACTCCACCTGAGGCTCTCAACCCTCCCTGGAAATTGGGGTTGAGGCTTTGCCATTCTCAGTCTGACTAAAAGAAGTTACCCAAACGGAATTTTAAAACAGATGAGTACAACTGGAATCTTAATTAGATGATTGGATTATCTGGAGCCACACCTTGATATTCCGAACCCGAGCACCCTCATCCAACGAATGCTCCACCCAACTGGCTCCCAAGTCTCCACCTGGTCCCAGAGCAAAAGAATGTTTATACAACGCATATCTCCACCTTTTCTTCAAAGTCTTTTCGCTTACACGGAAAGACTTCTTAAACTGCCATGCATCAGGGTCAGGGGGAGGTCTTGTTACAACACAGATCTGTGGATCTCCGGGGTTTGATTGTGGCAAGGATGCTGCTGGCGTCAAAACCACAACGTGGGAACCACAGAACCACTAGTTGGTTTTCAGTGTTTCAGTGCATACAATTCCTAATATATCTGGCCAAGAAAACTTGGAAGTTCTTAGATTGTTCCAAAGGTGGCGCATAAAATCAAAGTAGGAGAACAGTTTCCTACGAGGTGTAGCCTGGGAAAGTTGGGGGTGACTGACGGAAAGGAGGAGTGAAGCTCCACCCTTTCCGCTGCTAGGTTGCGCCCGAGGCTATTTAAACCCACCCTGGCTGGCCTATACTCAGATCTTCGCGGAGCGGATCAGCGGCCGAGCCTTTGGCGGACTCTGCGTGGACTTGGAGCTCACGGCGTCTTGCGACTTGGAGGCGGATTCAGAGGACAGGACAGAACACTTGGGCAAGTGAATCTCTGTCTGTCTGTCTGTCTGTGTGTCTGTCTCATTGGTTGGTTGATTTCCATTTTCTTAAGGGGCACATACCTCACACCGCACACACACAGACACACACACACGCACACACACGCACACACTCACACACACGCACACACACTCCTTCCTTCTGCGAGTTAGAAAATTAGTAGGGGCCCCTGGGAGCTGCAGGTTTCCTAATCATGTCTGCACCTAAGAACAGTAGGGTCTTGTCTGGCTCTTCTTATGAACGGTCCCCCAGCCCGGACTCCCCAAGGTCCATGCGAGCCTCACCCAGCTTCTCCTTCTCCCCTCTCAGAAACTCAGGCTTAAGGGGAAGCTCCTCACCAGGGATCCGGAGCTACCATTCACCATCCCCTAGGGCTTCACCACACTCACCTCTGTCATCACCAGAATCCCACAAGCTCCCATTTCCCTGTCCTCACCGTGATGGGCAATCAATGAAGCCATCGGGCTCTCCTCTGTCCTCCTCTGAGGATTCCTCAGAGTCCCCAGGTTCATCAATAATATACCACATGTTCTTACTGCCATCACCCAGCAGCTCACCCCCAGCTCTCGGGGGGTGTCCTGTGTCTCCCAGCTACTCTCCAAACAACCCCAGATTTCAGCTGGAGTCAGCTGCCCACACCCAGGAATCACCTACAAACTCACGAGCCTCACGGTGCTCCACCCCTGTGTCTTTCATCTCTTCACCCCCAGGCCTCAGGGACTCTCCTGTGGCTCCCAGTTACTCTCCAGCCATCCCCAGGTTCCTGCAGGAGTCAGCCCCATGCACCCAGGAGTCCCCCAGAGACTCACAGGTCTCGGGAGAATATGAGCGGTCCCCCAGCCCTGATTCCTCAAGATTCATGCCTGCCTCACCCAGCTTCTCCCTCTCCCCTCTCAGAAACTCAGACCCAAGGGGCAACTCCTCACCAGGGATGTGGAAGTACTCTACATCATCCCACAGGGCTTCACCACTCTCACATCCATCATCAACAGAATTCCACAGCTTTACGTTTCCCTTTCCTAACCAAGCAGGACAGTCACTCATGTCATTGTGTTCTCCCGTGTCCTCCTCTGGAGATTCTTCACAGTCACCTCATTCATCAATAATATACCATATGTTCTTACTGCCATCATCCAGCAGCTCACCCCCAGCCACCCATGACTCTCCTGTCTGTCCCAGCTACTCTCCAACCACGCCCACATTTCAGCGGCAGTCTGTACCCCACACCCCAGCAACACCTACAAACTCACAGACCTCAGGGAGATCCTGGCCAGTCTCTCTCACGTCTTCACCCCCAGCCCTTACGGACCCTCCAGTCTGTCCCAGCTACTCTCCAACCACGCCCACATTTCAGCGCGGGTCGGTTCCGGGAACCCAGGGATCACCGCCAAGCCCACCACTTTCACTGAGTTACTCCCCAGTCTCTAGCACGTCTTTATCTCCAACCCTCAGGGACTCGCCTGTCTGTCCCAGCTACTCTCCAAACACGCCCACACTTCAGCCGGAGTCCGTTGCAGGCACCCAGAAATCACCACCAAACTCACCAATTTCACTGCGTTACTCCCCAGTCTCTCTCATGTCTTCACCATCCCTCAAGGACTCTCCCGTCTGTCCCAGCTACTCTCCAACCACGCCCACATTGCAGCTGGAGTCAGTTCCAGGCACCCCGGAAACACCACCAAACTCACCAGTTTCACTCAGTTACTCCTCAGTCTCTAGCACGTCTTTATCTCCAACCCTCAGGGACTCTCCTGTGTTTCCCAGCTACTCTCCAACCACGCCCACACTTCAGCGGGAGTCAGTTCCAGGCACCCAGGAATCACCACGAAACTCACCAATTTCACTCAATTACTCTCCAGTCTCTGTCATGCCTTCACCAGCCCTCAGGGACTCTCCTGTCTGTCCAAGCTACTCTCCAACCACGCCCACATTTCAGCTGGAGTCAGTTCCAGGCAACCCGGAGTCACCACCAAACTCACCAGTTTCACTCAGTTACTCCCCGGACTCTCTCATGTCTTCACCCCCAGCCCTCAGGGACTCTCCTGTGTGTCCCAGATACTCTCCAACCATGCCCAGATTTCAGCGGGAGTCAGTTCCAGGCACCCAGGTATCACCTACAAACTCAGCAGTTTCACTGAGTTACTCCCCAGTCTCTCTCATGTCTTCACCCCCAGCCCCCTGGGACTCTCCTGTCTGTCCCAGCTACTCCCGCACCACGCCCAGATTTCAGCGGGAGTCAGCCTCCCACACTCCAGAATCACCTACGGACTCACAGACTTCACTGAGGTCCTCCCTGGTCTCTCTCAGGTCTTTGCCCTCAGCCCACAGGGACTCTTGTGTCTCTTTCAGCTACTCTCAAAACTTCTCTAGATTCCAGCTGGAGTCAGTTCCAGGCACCCACGATACAACACCGAACTCACGAATTTCACTGACTTACTCCCCAGTCTCCCTCATGTTCTCACCCCCAGCCCTCAGGGACTCTTCTGTCTCTCTCAGCTACTCTCCAACCATCTCCAGATTTCACCTGGAGTCAGCTTCCCGCACCCAGGAATCACCTACAAACTCACGGACCTTACTGCAACCCTCCCCCATTTCTTTCACCTCTTCACCCCCTGCCTTCAGGGACTCTCCTGGGTCTCCCAGCTTCTCTCCAGCCTTCCCCAGATTTCTGCCACAGTCAGCCCCAGGCACCCAGGACAACCCTAGACACTCACGGGCCACACGAGACTATCTCCCTATGACCTGTACCTATACAGGGATGGCTCCCATGCATCCCTCAGTGACCCCAAACCCATCTCCACTTACACTCAGACACTCCCAGGGCCTGACAGCTACTCCCCGTTATTGTCCTTCAGTTCGAAGCCCTGGCCAATCTACTAGCCCACATGACGCAGTTACCTGGCCATTACTCCACGGTTCCCGTGAGGGCCCCACACCCAGCCGCACAAGAGCCGCTCCTGCATTCCGTCCTCACACGCAGGCCTGTCCATCTACTTGCTACTGTCACACTCTTGCCAGCAGAAGAGGCCCCCGTCATGGCCGATATCACCACCCAGTCTATCCTCACCCCACAGCTGTGCAGCGGGACCCTCCTGCTGGCCCACGTGGCTGACAGAGCCCATGCTGGCACGACGCTCCAGCAGGTCGGCGTCCCTGCGAGACACACTACCGGTGACATGGCTAGCATCACCCTCCTTCCTGGCAGTGACACTGTTGATGTGAACCCCAGTTTCACATCTGTCATTTGGAAATAGGACCATTTTCCCTTTTCGCTCTCCCTTCCATTCACTGGGCTTTTCATTCTCTCTGTTTCTGCCTCCGTTTCAGATATTCACTCACCTTTTTCTCTCTCACTATGTCTGCCGTGGTCTCCATGAGAGTGCGCCACATAAGATTCCCCCATTAAAAGTCATGAATTGAGTGGCTTTTAGTACACCTGTGGTTGTGCACATTCAATTTTAATTCGCAATCCATTGTAGAATGTCTTATCACCCCCGACCAGAGAAAAACCCTGTAGACATTAGTCACTCCTCATTCTGTCTCAAACCCTCTCCCTGACCCTCAGCCCTAGGTAGCAACTAGCTAGTGCGATCAACCACATATGCAGAGATTTCCATATTGTGGACATTTCCTTTAAACGGAATTGCACAATAGGTGAGCTGTTATGACTGACATAACACGTAGCACAATATTTTCAAGATTCCTCCACATTGTAGGCTTACCCACAGGGGGAAACCATATTTTTGGGGGGTTTTAGTAACACCGGGTGTTTTCTCCTTCCTTTCGTCCTTCTTTCCTTCTTTCCTTCCTTCTTTCTTTCCTTCCGTCCTTCCTACCTTCCTTCTTTCCTTCCTTCCTTCCTTCCTCCTATTTCTCTCTTACTCCTTCTGCCCTCTCACTTTCACATGCCTTAGGTGCATCCCACATTCTGCGTTTTCTTGGGGAAATCCTCGACAGGTGCAGGAAAATTGTGTTATTGTAACTATTTACCGCTATCTCTCTTTCACGGCTCTCCATCAGTTGTGAACATCTATTGGTTTATCGCAAGTCACTAAGCATATTTTTATTATGTACACCTGTTTTTCCTTATACAGCTGTTTCTGGAGTATAGGGTCGCATACTCATAAACCCAGTGTAACTCGGAACCGCATCTAATATTCCAATAAACCCATCATAACGTTGAAAAATCATGAATCAAACCATCATAAGTCACGGTTTGTCCATGGATATGGGTGTCATCAATTCCATTGTATACAGTAATGCTGTACACCATTAACAATGGCAGACTGATTGGGAGTGCATATTGATCGCATTATAAAAGTCAGTTATTAGAGGGATACTTCTTTAACCTGACTGAAGCACTGATCTAATGGCTTTAGTACAGTGCATGATTATGTGAGATGTTTTGAGACAGAGTAATACATTTGTGAATGAAATTTTATGGCTTTTTTTCACTTAGTAGGAACCATTGTGTGTGGAAAAGTGAGAAAATTCCTTTCTGCTGTAGAGTCTGGCATTCATTGTAGATTTAAGATTATTTTTCTGTGAGCAAATCTTATTCAATAAAATGCTACTCTTTATACTAAAAAACAAAAACAGCGGTGATGTGTGGTCATTATCCTCAGCAAACTAATCCAGGGAAAGAAAACCAAACGCCACATTCTCACTTACAATGGGAGCTGAAAAATGAGATGACATGGACACAGGAAGGGGAACAACACACACTGGGGCCTTTCGGGAGGCAGAGCGTTAAGAAAAACAGCTACTGCATGCTGGGCTTAATACCTAGGTGATGGGTTGACAGGTGCAGTAAACCACCATGGCACACGTTTACCTTAGTAACAAATCTGCCCATCCTGCACATATACCCCACAACTTAGAATCGAAACGAAACAAAAGAAAACGAAAAAGCAGTAGCAAAACGCTAAAGGCAAAATAAAGTTTCAAACTCAGAAAGTGACAGACCAATGTTTGGTTCAAATCATGGTTCTCAACCCAGGTGCCATAAGGTCAGGATAAGGAATTTGATTACATATTGTAAATAAGACATGCAGCAAATGACCAGAAAGATTATTCTCAACATATGTGTGTCTTCTAATTCAATGGTGACGCTATCTACCGGGACATAGCATTGGATTCCAAAGGGCCGAGTCCCGCCAGGCAGGCCTCCCACACTAGTAACAACGGGAAGCCCTACGTTGTTTTACCTGTGCTTCTCAGCAACTGGCTATAAATCAGGTTGCCACCACTCCCAGATTTAGTTGCATTCATTTGCTGGAAGAGCTCACGGCACTCGGGGAAACACTTACATTTGCCGTTGTTATTTAGCGGACATTGCAAAAAGTTCAGAAATAAATGTGGGGCCCGGCATGTGGGGAGGGGCGCACTACCTTCCAAGAAGTGTTATACAGAAGCTCTCTGATCCCAGTCCTTTTGGGTTTTTATGGAGACCTCATTCTATAGGCATGATGGGTTAAACCATAGGCTATTGGTGATCAACTCCACCTGAGGCTCTCAACCCTCCCTGGAAATTGGGGTTGAGGCTTTGCCATTCTCAGTCTGAATAAAAGAATTTACCCAAACGGAATTTTAAAACAGATGAGCACAACTGGAATCTTAATTAGATGATTGGATTATCTGGAGCCACACCTTGATATTCCGAACCCGAGCACCCTCATCCAACGAATGCTCCACCCAACTGGCTCCCAAGTCTCCACCTGGTCCCAGAGCAAAAGAATGTTTATACAACGCATATCTCCACCTTTTCTTCAAAGTCTTTTCGCTTACACGGAAAGACTTCTTAAACTGCCATGCATCAGGGTCAGGGGGAGGTCTTGTTACAACACAGATCTGTGGATCTCCGGGGTTTGATTGTGGCAAGGATGCTGCTGGCGTCAAAACCACAACGTGGGAACCACAGAACCACTAGTTGGTTTTCAGTGTTTCAGTGCATACAATTCCTAATATATCTGGCCAAGAAAACTTGGAAGTTCTTAGATTGTTCCAAAGGTGGCGCATGAAATCAAAGTAGAACAGTTTCCTACGAGGTGTAGCCTGGGAAAGTTGGGGGTGACTGACGGAAAGGAGGAGTGAAGCTCCGCCCTTTCCGCTGCTAGGTTGCGCCCGAGGCTATTTAAACCCACGCTGGCTGGCCTGTACTCAGATCTTCGCGGAGCGGATCAGCGGCCGGAGCCTTTGGCGGACTCTGCGTGGACTTGGAGCTCACGGCGTCTTGCGACTTGGAGGCAGATTCAGAGGACAGGACAGAACACTTGGGCAAGTGACTCTCTGTCTGTCTGTCTGTCTGTCTGTCTGTCTGTGTGTCTGTCTCATTGGTTGGTTGATTTCCATTTTCTTAAGGGGCACATACCTCACACCGCACACACACAGACACACACACACGCACACACACTCCTTCCTTCTGCGAGTTAGAAAATTAGTAGGGGCCCCTGGGAGCTGCAGGTTTCCTAATCATGTCTGCACCTAAGAACAGTAGGGTCTTGTCTGGCTCTTCTTATGAACGGTCCCCCAGCCCGGACTCCCCAAGGTCCATGCGAGCCTCACCCAGCTTCTCCTTCTCCGCTCTCAGAAACTCAGGCTTAAGGGGAAGCTCCTCACCAGGGATCCGGAGCTACCATTCACCATCCCCTAGGGCTTCACCACACTCACCTCTGTCAGCACCAGAATCCCACAAGCTCCCATTTCCCTGTCCTCACCGTGATGGGCAATCAATGAAGCCATCGGGCTCTCCTCTGTCCTCCTCTGAGGATTCCTCAGAGTCCCCAGGTTCATCAATAATATACCACATGTTCTTACTGCCATCACCCAGCAGCTCACCCCCAGCTCTCAGGGGGTCTCCTGTGTCTCCCTGCTACTCTCCAAACAACCCCAGATTTCAGCTGGAGTCAGCCCCCCACACCCAGGAATCACCTACAAACTCACGAGCCTCACGGTGCTCCACCCCTGTGTCTTTCATCTCTTCACCCCCAGGCCTCAGGGACTCTCCTGTGGCTCCCAGTTACTCTCCAGCCATCCCCAGGTTCCTGCGGGAGTCAGGCACATGCACCCAGGAGTCCCCCAGAGACTCACAGGTCTCGGGAGAATATGAGCGGTCCCCCAGCCCTGACTCCTCAAGATTCATGCCTGCCTCACCCAGCTTCTCCCTCTCCCCTCCCAGAAACTCAGACCCAAGGAGCAGCTCCTCACCAGGGATGTGGAAGTACTCTACATCATCCCGCAGGGCTTCACCACTCTCACATCCACCATCAACAGAATTCCACAGCTTTACGTTTCCATTTCCTAACCAAGCAGGACAGTCACTCATGTCATTGTGTTCTCCCGTGTCCTCCTCTGGAGGTTCTTCACAGTCACCTCATTCATCAATAATATACCATATGTTCTTACTGCCATCATCCAGCAGCTCACCCCCAGCCACCCATGACTCTCCTGTCTGTCCCAGCTACTCTCCAACCACGCCCACATTTCAGCGGCTGTCTGTACCCCACACCCCAGCAACACCTACAAACTCACAGACCTCAGTGAGATCCTGGCCAGATTCTCTCACGTCTTCACCCCCAGCCCTTACGGACCCTCCAGTCTGTCCCAGCTACTCTCCAACCACGCCCACATTTCAGCGCGGGTCGGTTCCGGGAACCCAGGGATCACCGCCAAGCCCACCACTTTCACTGAGTTACTCCCCAGTCTCTAGCACGTCTTTATCTCCAACCCTCAGGGACTCGCCTGTCTGTCCCAGCTACTCTCCAAACACGCCCACACTTCAGCTGGAGTCCGTTGCAGGCACCCAGAAATCACCACCAAACTCACCAATTTCACTGCGTTACTCCCCAGTCTCTCTCATGTCTTCACCATCCCTCAGGGACTCTCCCGTCTGTCCCAGCTACTCTCCAACCACGCCCACATTGCAGCTGGAGTCAGTTCCAGACACCCCGGAATCACCACCAAACTCACCTGTTTCACTCAGTTACTCCTCAGTCTCTAGCACGTCTTTATCTCCAACCCTCAGGGACTCTCCTGTGTGTCCCAGCTACTCTCCAACCACGCCCACATTTCAGCTGGAGTCAGTTCCAGGCAACCCGGAGTCACCACCAAACTCACCAGTTTCACTCAGTTACTCCCCGGACTCTCTCATGTCTTCACCCCCAGCCCTCAGGGACTCTCCTGTGTGTCCCAGATACTCTCCAACCATGCCCAGATTTCAGCGGGAGTCAGTTCCAGGCACCCAGGTATCACCTACAAACTCAGCAGTTTCACTGAGTTACTCCCCAGTCTCTCTCATGTCTTCACCCCCAGCCCCCTGGGACTCTCCTGTCTGTCCCAGCTACTCCCGCACCACGCCCAGATTTCAGCGGGAGTCAGCCTCCCACACTCCAGAATCACCTACGGACTCACAGACTTCACTGAGGTCCTCCCTGGTCTCTCTCAGGTCTTTGCCCTCAGCCCACAGGGACTCTTGTGTCTCTTTCAGCTACTCTCAAAACTTCTCTAGATTCCAGCTGGAGTCAGTTCCAGGCACCCACGATACAACACCGAACTCACGAATTTCACTGACTTACTCCCCAGTCTCCCTCATGTTCTCACCCCCAGCCCTCAGGGACTCTTCTGTCTCTCTCAGCTACTCTCCAACCATCTCCAGATTTCACGTGGAGTCAGCTTCCCGCACCCAGGAATCACCTACAAACTCACGGACCTTACTGCAACCCTCCCCCATTTCTTTCACCTCTTCACCCCCTGCCTTCAGGGACTCTCCTGGGTCTCCCAGCTTCTCTCCAGCCTTCCCCAGATTTCTGCCACAGTCAGCCCCAGGCACCCAGGACAACCCTAGACACTCACGGGCCACACGAGACTATCTCCCTATGACCTGTACCTATACAGGGATGGCTCCCACGCATCCCTCAGTGATCCCAAACCCATCTCCACTTACACTCAGACACTCCCAGGGCCTGACAGCTACTCCCCGTTATTGTCCTTCAGTTCGAAGCCCTGGCCAATCTACTAGCCCACATGACGCAGTTACCTGGCCATTACTCCACGGTTCCCGTGAGGGCCCCACACCCAGCCGCACAAGAGCCGCTCCTGCATTCCGTCCTCACACGCAGGCCTGTCCATCTACTTGCTACTGTCACACTCTTGCCAGCAGAAGAGGCCCCCGTCATGGCCGATATCACCACCCAGTCTATCCTCACCCCACAGCTGTGCAGCGGGACCCTCCTGCTGGCCCACGTGGCTGACAGAGCCCATGCTGGCACGACGCTCCAGCAGGTCGGCGTCCCTGCGGGACACACTACCGGTGACATGGCTAGCATCACCCTCCTTCCTGGCAGTGACACTGTTGATGTGAACCCCAGTTTCACATCTGTCATTTGGAAATAGGACCATTTTCCCTTTTCGCTCTCCCTTCCATTCACTGGGCTTTTCATTCTCTCTGTTTCTGCCTCCGTTTCAGATATTCACTCACCTTTTTCTCTCTCACTATGTCTGCCGTGGTCTCCATGAGAATGCGCCACATAAGATTCCCCCATTAAAAGTCATGAATTGAGTGGCTTTTAGTACACCTGTGGTTGTGCACATTCAATTTTAATTCGCAATCCATTGTAGAATGTCTTATCACCCCCGACCAGAGAAAAACCCTGTAGACATTAGTCACTCCTCATTCTGTCTCAAACCCTCTCCCTGACCCTCAGCCCTAGGTAGCAACTACCTAGTGCGATCAACCACATATGCAGAGATTTCCATATTGTGGACATTTCCTTTAAACGGAATTGCACAATAGGTGAGCTGTTATGACTGATATAACACGTAGCACAATATTTTCAAGATTCCTCCACATTGTAGGCTTACCCACATGGGGAAACCATATTTTTGGGGGGTTTTAGTAACACCGGGTGTTTTCTCCTTCCTTTCGTCCTTCTTTCCTTCCTTCCTTCCTTCTTTCCTTCCTTCCTTCCTTCCTACCTTCCTTCTTTCCTTCCTTCCTTCCTTCCTCCTATTTCTCTCTTACTCCTTCTGCCCTCTCACTTTCACATGCCTTAGGTGCATCCCACATTCTGCGTTTTCTTGGGGAAATCCTCGACAGGTGCAGGAAAATTGTGTTATTGTAACTATTTACCGCTATCTCTCTTTCACGGCTCTCCATCAGTTGTGAACATCTATTGGTTTATCGCAAGTCACTAAGCATATTTTTATTAGGTACACCTGTTTTTCCTTATACAGCTGTTTCTGGAGTATAGGGTCGCATACTCATAAACCCAGTGTAACTCAGAAACGCATCTAATATTCCAATAAACCCATCATAACGTTGAAAAATCATGAATCAAACCATCATAAGTCACGGTTTGTCCATGGATATGGGTGTCATCAATTCCATTGTATACAGTAATGCTGTACACCATTAACAATGGCAGACTGATTGGGAGTGCATATTGATAGCATTATAAAAGTCAGTTATTAGAGGGATACTTCTTTAACCTCACTGAAGAACTGATCTAATGGCTTTAGTACAGTGCATGATTATGTGAGATGTTTTGAGACAGAGTAGTACATTTGTGAATGAAATTTTATGGCTTTTTTTCACTTAGTAGGAACCATTGTGTGTGGAAAAGTGAGAAAATTGCTTTCTGCTGTAGAGTCTGGCATTCATTGTAGATTTAAGATTATTTTTCTGTGAGCAAATCTTATTCAATAAAATGCTACTCTTTATACTAAAAAACAAAAACAGTGGTGATGTGTGGTCATTATCCTCAGCAAACTAATCCAGGGAAAGAAAACCAAACGCCACATTCTCACTTATAATGGGAGCTGAAAAATGAGATCACATGGACACAGGAAGGGGAACAACACACACTGGGGCCTTTCGGGAGGCAGAGCGTTAAGAAAAACAGCTACTGCATGCTGGGCTTAATACCTAGGTGATGGGTTGACAGGTGCAGTAAACCACCATGGCACACGTTTACCTTAGTAACAAATCTGCCCATCCTGCACATATACCCCACAACTTAGAATCGAAACGAAACAAAAGAAAACGAAAAAGCAGTAGCAAAACGCTAAAGGCAAAATAAAGTTTCAAACTCAGAAAGTGACAGACCAATGTTTGGTTCAAATCATGGTTCTCAACCCAGGTGCCATAAGGTCAGGATAAGGAATTTGATTACATATTGTAAATAAGACATGCAGCAAATGACCAGAAAGATTATTCTCAACATATGTGTGTCTTCTAATTCAATGGTGACGCTATCTACCGGGACATAGCATTGGATTCCAAAGGGCCAAGTCCCGCCAGGCAGGCCTCCCACACTAGTAACAACGGGAAGCCCTACGTTGTTTTACCTGTGCTTCTCAGCAACTGGCTATAAATCAGGTTGCCACCACTCCCAGATTTAGTTGCATTCATTTGCTGGAAGAGCTCACGGCACTCGGGGAAAGACTTACATTTGCCGTTGTAATTTAGCGGACATTGCAAAAAGTTCAGAAATAAATGTGGGGCCCGGCATGTGGGGAGGGGCGCACTACCTTCCAGGAAGTGTTATCCAGAAGCTCTCTGATCCCAGTCCTTTTGGGTTTTTATGGAGACCTCATTCTATAGGCATGATGGGTTAAACCATAGGCTATTGGTGATCAACTCCACCTGAGGCTCTCAACCCTCCCTGGAAATTGGGGTTGAGGCTTTGCCATTCTCAGTCTGAATAAAAGAATTTACCCAAACGGAATTTTAAAACAGATGAGCACAACTGGAATCTTAATTAGATGATTGGATTATCTGGAGCCATACCTTGATATTCCGAACCCGAGCACCCTCATCCAACGAATGCTCCACCCAACTGGCTCCCAAGTCTCCACCTGCTTCCAGAGCAAAAGAATGTTTATACAACGCATATCTCCACCTTTTCTTCAAAGTCTTTTCGCTTACACGGAAAGACTTCTTAAACTGCCATGCATCAGGGTCAGGGGGAGATCTTGTTACAACACAGATCTCTGGATCTCCGGGGTTTGATTGTGGCAAGGATGCTGCTGGCGTCAAAACCACAACGTGGGAACCACAGAACCACTAGTTGGTTTTCAGTGTTTCAGTGCATACAATTCCTAATATATCTGGCCAAGAAAACTTGGAAGTTCTTAGATTGTTCCAAAGGTAGCGCATGAAATCAAAGTAGGAGAACAGTTTCCTACGAGGTGTAGCCTGGGAAAGTTGGGGGTGACTGACGGAAAGGAGGAGTGAAGCTCCGCCCTTTCCGCTGCTAGGTTGCGCCCGAGGCTATTTAAACCCACGCTGGCTGGCCTGTACTCAGATCTTCGCGGAGCGGATCAGCGGCCGGAGCGTTTGGCGGACTCTGCGTGGACTTGGAGCTCACGGCGTCTTGCGACTTGGAGGCGGATTCAGAGGACAGGACAGAACACTTGGGCAAGTGAATCTCTGTCTGTCTGTCTGTCTGTGTGTCTGTCTCATTGGTTGGTTGATTTCCATTTTCTTAAGGGGCATATACCTCACACCGCACACACACAGACACACACACACGCACACACACGCACACACTCACACACACGCACACACACTCCTTCCATCTGCGAGTTAGAAAATTAGTAGGGGCCCCTGGGAGCTGCAGGTTTCCTAATCATGTCTGCACCTAAGAACAGTAGGGTCTTGTCTGGCTCTTCTTATGAACGGTCCCCCAGCCCGGACTCCCCAAGGTCCATGCGAGCCTCACCCAGCTTCTCCTTCTCCCCTCTCAGAAACTCAGGCTTAATGGGAAGCTCCTCACCAGGGATCCGGAGCTACCATTCACCATCCCCTAGGGCTTCACCACACTCACCTCTGTCATCACCAGAATCCCACAAGCTCCCATTTCCCTGTCCTCACCATGATGGGCAATCAATGAAGCCATCGGGCTCTCCTCTGTCCTCCTCTGAGGATTCCTCAGAGTCCCCAGGTTCATCAATAATATACCACATGTTCTTACTGCCATCACCCAGCAGCTCACCCCCAGCTCTCGGGGGGTCTCCTGTGTCTCCCAGCTACTCTCCAAACAACCCCAGATTTCAGCTGGAGTCAGCCCCCCACACCCGGGAATCACCTACAAACTCACGAGCCTCACGGTGCTCCACCCTTGTGTCTTTCATCTCTTCACCCCCAGGCCTCAGGGACTCTCCTGTGGCTCCCAGTTACTCTCCAGCCATCCCCAGGTTCCTGCGGGAGTCAGCCCCATGCACCCAGGAGTCGCCCAGAGACTCACACGTCTCGGGAGAATATGAGCGGTCCCCCAGCCCTGACTCCTCAAGATTCATGCCTGCCTCACCCAGCTTCTCCCTCTCCCCTCCCAGAAACTCAGACCCAAGGGGCAGCTCCTCACCAGGGATGTGGAAGAACTCTACATCATCCCGCAGGGCTTCACCAGTCTCACATCCATCATCAACAGAATTCCACAGCTTTACGTTTCCCTTTCCTAACCAAGCAGGACAGTCACTCATGTCATTGTGTTCTCCCATGTCCTCCTCTGGAGATTCTTCACAGTCACCTCATTCATCAATAATATACCATATGTTCTTACTGCCATCATCCAGCAGCTCACCCCCAGCCACCCATGACTCTCCTGTCTGTCCCAGCTACTCTCCAACCACGCCCACATTTCAGCGGCTGTCTGTACCCCACACCCCAGCAACACCTACAAACTCACAGACCTCAGTGAGATCCTGGCCAGATTCTCTCACGTCTTCACCCCCAGCCCTTACGGACCCTCCAGTCTGTCCCAGCTACTCTCCAACCACGCCCACATTTCAGCGCGGGTCGGTTCCGGGAACCCAGGGATCACCGCCAAGCCCACCACTTTCACTGAGTTACTCCCCAGTCTCTAGCACGTCTTTATCTCCAACCCTCAGGGACTCGCCTGTCTGTCCCAGCTACTCTCCAAACACGCCCACACTTCAGCCGGAGTCCGTTGCAGGCACCCAGAAATCACCACCAAACTCACCAATTTCACTGCGTTACTCCCCAGTCTCTCTCATGTCTTCACCATCCCTCAGGGACTCTCCCGTCTGTCCCAGCTACTCTCCAACCACGCCCACATTGCAGCTGGAGTCAGTTCCAGGCACCCCGGAATCACCACCAAACTCACCTGTTTCACTCAGTTACTCCTCAGTCTCTAGCACGTCTTTATCTCCAACCCTCAGGGACTCTCCTGTGTGTCCCAGCTACTCTCCAACCACGCCCACACTTCAGCGGGAGTCAGTTCCAGGCACCCAGGAATCACCACCAAACTCACCAATTTCACTCAATTACTCTCCAGTCTCTCTCATGTCTTCACCAGCCCTCAGGGACTCTCCTGTGTGTCCCAGATACTCTCCAACCATGCCCAGATTTCAGCGGGAGTCAGTTCCAGGCACCCAGGTATCACCTACAAACTCAGCAGTTTCACTGAGTTACTCCCCAGTCTCTCTCATGTCTTCACCCCCAGCCCCCTGGGACTCTCCTGTCTGTCCCAGCTACTCCCCCACCACGCCCAGATTTCAGCGGGAGTCAGCCTCCCACACTCCAGAATCACCTACGGACTCACAGACTTCACTGAGGTCCTCCCTGGTCTCTCTCAGGTCTTTGCCCTCAGCCCACAGGGACTCTTGTGTCTCTTTCAGCTACTCTCAAAACTTCTCTAGATTCCAGCTGGAGTCAGTTCCAGGCACCCACGATACACCACCGAACTCACGAATTTCACTGACTTACTCCCCAGTCTCCCTCATGTTCTCACCCCCAGCCCTCAGGGACTCTTCTGTCTCTCTCAGCTACTCTCCAACCATCTCCAGATTTCACGTGGAGTCAGCTTCACGCACCCAGGAATCACCTACAAACTCACGGACCTTACTGCAACCCTCCCCCATTTCTTTCACCTCTTCACCCCCTGCCTTCAGGGACTCTCCTGGGTCTCCCAGCTTCTCTCCAGCCTTCCCCAGATTTCTGCCACAGTCAGCCCCAGGCACCCAGGACAACCCTAGACACTCACGGGCCACACGAGACTATCTCCCTATGACCTGTACCTATACAGGGATGGCTCCCACGCATCCCTCAGTGACCCCAAACCCATCTCCACTTACACTCAGACACTCCCAGGGCCTGACAGCTACTCCCTGTTATTGTCCTTCAGTTCGAAGCCCTGGCCAATCTACTAGCCCACATGACGCAGTTACCTGGCCATTACTCCACGGTTCCCGTGAGGGCCCCACACCCAGCCTCACAAGAGACCCTCCTGCATTCCGTCCTCACACGCAGGCCTGTCCATCTACTTGCTACTGTCACACTCTTGCCAGCAGAAGAGGCCCCTGTCATGGCCGATATCACCACCCAGTCTATCCTCACCCCACAGCTGTGCAGCGGGACCCTCCTGCTGGCCCACGTGGCTGCCAGAGCCCATGCTGGCAAGACGCTCCAGCAGGTCGGCGTCCCTGCGGGACACACTGCCGGTGACATGGCTAGCATCACCCTCCTTCCTGGCAGTGACACTGTTGATGTGAACCCCAGTTTCACATCTGTCATTTGTAAATAGGACCATTTCCCCTTTTCGCTCTCCCTTCCATTCACAGGGCTTTTCATTCTCTCTGTTTCTGCCTCCGTTTCAGATATTTACTCACCTTTTTCTCTCTCACTATGTCTGCCGTGGTCTCCATGAGAGTGCGCCACATAAGATTCCCCCATTAAAAGTCATGAATTGAGTGGCTTTTAGTATACCTGTGGTTGTGCACATTCAATTTTAATTCGCAATCCATTGTAGAACGTCTTATCACCCCCGACCAGAGAAAAACCTGTAGACATTAGTCACTCCTCATTCTGTCTCAAACCCTCTCCCTGACCCTCAGCCCTAGGTAGCAACTACCTAGTGCGACCAACCCCATATGTATAGATTTCCACATTGTGGACATTTCCTATAAACAGAATTGCACAATAGGTGAGCTGTTATGACTGACATAACACGTAGCACAATATTTTCAAGATTCATCCACATTGTAGGCTTACACACAGGGGGAAACCATATTTTGGGGGGGGTTTGGTAACACCGGGTGTTTTATCCTTCCTTTCGTCCTTCTTTCCTTCCTTCCTTCCTTCCTTCCTTCCTTCCTTCCTTCCTTCCTACCTTCCTTCTTTCCTTCCTTCCTTCCTTCCTCCTATTTCTCTCTTACTCCTTCTGCCCTCTCTCTTTCATATGCCTTAGGTGCATCACACGTTCTGCGTTTTTTTGGGGAAATCCTCGACAGGTGCAGGAAAATTGTGTTATTGTAACTATTTACCGCTATCTCTCTTTCACGGCTCTCCATCAGTTGTGAACATCTATTGGTTTATCCCAAGTCACTAAGCATATTTTTATTAGGTACACCTGTTTTTCCTTATACAGCTGTTTCTGGAGTATAGGGTCGCATACTCATAAACCCAGTGTAACTCAGAACCGCATCTCATATTCCAATAAACCCATCATAACGTTGAAAAATCATGAATCAAACCATCATAAGTCACGGTTTGTCCGTGGATATGGGTGTCATCAATTCCATTGTATACAGTAATGCTGTACACCATTAACAATGGCATACTGATTGGGAGTGGATATTGATAGCATTATAAAATTCAGTTATTAGAGGGATACTTCTTTAACCTCACTGAAGAACTGATCTAATGGCTTTAGTGCAGTGCATGATTATGTGAGATGTTTTGAGACAGATTAGTACATTTGTGAATGACATTTTATGGCTTTTTTTCACTTAGTAGGAACCATTGTGTGTGGAAAAGTGAGAAAATTGCTTTCTGCTGTAGAGTCTGGCATTCATTGTAGATTTAAGCTTATTTTTCTGTGAGCAAATCTTATTCAATAAAATGCTACTCTTTATACTAAAAAACAAAAACAGTGGTGACGTGTGGTCATTACCCTCAGCAAACTAATCCAGGGAAAGAAAACCAAACGCCACATTCTCACTTATAATGGGAGCTGAAGAATGAGATCACATGGACACAGGAAGAAGAACAACACACACTGGGGCCTTTCGGGAGGCGGAGCCTTAAGGAAAACAGCTACTGCATGCTTGGCTTAATACCTAGGTGATGGGTTGACAGGTGCAGCAAACCACCATGGCACACGTTTACCTTAGTAACAAATCTGTCCATCCTGCACATATACCCCAGAACTTAGAAACGAAACGAAACAAAAGAAAACGAAAAAGCAATAGCAAAACGCTAAAGGCAAAATAAAGTTTCAAACTCAGAAAGTGACAGACCAATGTTTGGTTCAAATCATGGTTCTCAACCCAGGTGCCATAAGGTCAGGATAAACAATTTGATTACATATTGTAAATAAGACATGCAGCAAATGACCAGAAAGATTATTCTCAACATATGTGTGTCTTCTAATTCAATGGTGACGCTATCTACCGGGACATAGCATTAGATTCCAAAGGGCCGAGTCCCGCCAGGCAGGCCTCCAACACTAATAACAACGGGAAGCCCTACGTTGTTTTACCTGCGCTTCTCAGCAACTGGCTATAAATCAGGTTGCCACCACTCTCAGATTCAGTTGCATTCATTTGCTGGAAGAGCTCACAGCACTCAGGGAAGCACTTACATTTGCCGTTGTATTTTAGCGGACATTGCAAAAAGTTCAGAAATAAATGTGGGGCCCGGCATGTGGGGAGGGGCGCACTACCTTCCAGGAAGTGTTATCCAGAACCTCTCTGAACCCAGTCCTTTTGGGTTTTTATGGAGACCTCATTCTATAGGCATGATGGGTTAAACCATAGGCTATTGGTGATCAACTCCACCTGAGGCTCTCAACCCTCCCTGGAAATTGGGGTTGAGGCTTTGCCATTCTCAATCTGAATAAAAGAATTTACCCAAACGGAATTTTAAAACAGATGAGCACAACTGGAATCTTAATTAGATGATTGGATTATCTGGAGCCACACCTTGATATTCCGAACCCGAGCACCCTCATCCAACGAATGCTCCACCCAACTGGCTCCCAAGTCTCCACGTGGTTCCAGAGCAAAAGAATGTTTATACAACGCATATCTCCACCTTTTGTTCAAAGTCTTTTCGCTTACACGGAAAGACTTCTTAAACTGCCATGCATCAGGGTCAGGGGGAGGTCTTGTTACAACACAGATCTGTGGATCTCCGGGGTTTGATTGTGGCAAGGATGCTGCTGGCGTCAAAACCACAACGTGGGAACCACAGAACCACTAGTTGGTTTTCAGTGTTTCAGTGCATACAATTCCTAACATATCTGGCCCAGAAAACTTGGAAGTTCTTAAATTGTTCCAAAGGTGGCGCATGAAATCAATGTAGGAGAACAGTTTCCTAAGAGGTGTAGCCTGGGAAAGTTGGGGGTGACTGACGGAAAGGAGGAGTGAAGCTCCGCCCTTTCCGCTGCTAGGTTGCGCCCGAGGCTATTTAAACCCACCCTGGCTGGCCTGTACTCAGATCTTCGTGGAGCGGATCAGCGGCCGGAGCCTTTGGCGGACTCTGCGTGGACTTGGAGCTCACGGCGTCTTGCGACTTGGAGGCGGATTCAGAGGACAGGACAGAACACTTGGGCAAGTGAATCTCTGTCTGTCTGTCTGTCTGTCTGTCTGTGTCTCTGTCCCAATGGTTGGTTGATTTCCATTTTCTTAAGGGGCACATACCTCACACCGCACACACACAGACACACACACACGCACACACACGCACACACTCACACACACGCACACACACTCCTTCCTTCTGCGAGTTAGAAAATTAGTAGGGGCCCCTGGGAGCTGCAGGTTTCCTAATCATGTCTGCTCCTAAGAACAGTAGGGTCTTGTCTGGCTCTTCTTATGAACGGTCCCCCAGCCTGGACTCCCCAAGGTCCATGCGAGCCTCTCCCAGCTTCTCCCTCTCCACTCTCAGAATCTCAGGCTTAATGGGAAGCTCCTCACCAGGGATCCGGAGTTACCATTCACCATCCCCTAGGGCTTCACCACACTCACCTCTGTCATCATCAGAATCCCACAAGCTCCCATTTCCCTGTCCTCACCGTGATGGGCAATCAATGAAGCCATCGGGCTCTCCTGTGTCCTCCTCTGAGGATTCCTCAGAGTCCCCACGTTCATCAATAATATACCACATGTTCTTACTGCCATCACCCAGCAGCTCACCCCCAGTTCTCGGGGGGTCTCCTGTGTCTCCCAGCTACTCTCCAAACAACCCCAGATTTCAGCTGGAGTCAGCCCCCCACACCCAGGAATCACCTACAAACTCACGAGCCTCACGGTGCTCCACCCCTGTGTCTTTCATCTCTTCACCCCCAGGCCTCAGGGACTCTCCTGTGGCTCCCAGTTACTCTCCAGCCATCCCCCGGTTCCTGCGGGAGTCAGCCCCATGCACTCAGGAGTCCCCCAGAGACTCACAGGTCTCGGGAGAATATGAGCGGTCCCCCAGCCCTGACTCCTCAAGATTCTTGCCTGCCTCACCCAGCTTCTCCCTCTCCCCTCCCAGAAACTCAGACCCAAGGAGCAGCTCCTCACCAGGGATGTGGAAGTACTCTACATCATCCCGCAGGGCTTCACCACTCTCACATCCATCATCAACAGAATTCCACAGCTTTACGTTTCCCTTTCCTAACCAAGCAGGACAGTCACTCATGCCATTGTGTTCTCCCGTGTCCTCCTCTGGAGATTCTTCACAGTCACCTCATTCATCAATAATATACCATATGTTCTTACTGCCATCATCCAGCAGCTCACCCCCAGCCACCCATGACTCTCCTGTCTGTCCCAGCTACTCTCCAACCACGCCCACATTTCAGCGGGAGTCTGTACCCCACACCCCAGAAACACCTACAAACTCACAGACCTCAGTGAGATCCTGGCCAGTCTCTCTCACGTCTTCACCCCCAGCCCTTACGGACCCTCCAGTCTGTCCCAGCTACTCTCCAACCACGCCCACATTTCAGCGCGGGTCAGTTCCAGGAACCCAGGGATCACCGCCAAGCCCACCACTTTCACTGAGTTACTCCCCAGTCTCTAGCACGTCTTTATCTCCAACCCTCAGGGACTCGCCTGTCTGTCCCAGCTACTCTCCAAACACGCCCACACTTCAGTGGGAGTCCGTTGCAGGCACCCAGAAATCACCACCAAACTCACCAATTTCACTGCGTTACTCCCCAGTCTCTCTCATGTCTTCACCATCCCTCAGGGACTCTCCCATCTGTCCCAGCTACTCTCCAACCACGCCCACATTGCAGCTGGAGTCAGTTCCAGGCACCCCGGAATCACCACCAAACTCACCTATTTCACTCAGTTACACCTCAGTCTCTAGCACGTCTTTATCTTCAACCCTCAGGGACTCTCCTGTGTGTCCCAGCTACTCTCCAACCATGCCCAGATTTCGGCGGGCGTCAGTCCCAGGCACCCATGTATCACCTACAAACTCAACAGTTTCACTGAGTTACTCCCCAGTCTCTCTCATGTCTTCACCCCCAGCCCCCTGGGACTCTCCTGTCTGTCCCAGCTACTCCCCCACCACGCCCAGATTTCAGCGGGAGTCAGCCTCCCACACTCCAGAATCACCTACGGACTCACAGACTTCACTGAAGTCCTCCCTGGTCTCTCTCAGGTCTTTGCCCTCAGCCCACAGGGACTCTCGTGTCTCTTTCAGCTACTCTCAAAACTTCTCTAGATTCCAGCTGGAGTCAGTTCCAGGCACCCACGATACACCACCGAACTCACGAATTTCACTGACTTACACCCCAGTCTCCCTCATGTTCTCACCCCCAGCCCTCAGGGACTCTTCTGTCTCTCTCAGCTACTCTCCAAACATCTCCAGATTTCACCTGGAGTCAGCTTCCCGCACCCAGGAATCACCTACAAACTCACGGACCTTACTGCAACCCTCCACCATTTCTTTCACCTCTTCACCCCCTGCCTTCAGGGACTCTCCTGGGTCTCCCAGCTTCTCTCCAGCCTTCCCCAGATTTCTGCCACAGTCAGCCCCAGGCACCCAGGATAACCCTAGAAACTCACAGGCCACACGAGACTATCTCCCTATGACCTGTACCTATACAGGGATGGCTCCCACGCATCCCTCAGTGACCCCAAACCCATCTCCACTTACACTCAGACACTCCGAGGGCCTGACAGCTACTCCCCGTTATTGTCCTTCAGTACGAAGCCCTGGCCAGTCTAGTAGCCCACATGACGCAGTTACCTGGCCATTACTCCACGGTTCCCGTGAGGGCCCCACACCCAGCCGCACAAGACCCGCTCCTGCATTCCGTCCTCACACGCAGGCCTGTCCACCTACTTGCTACTGTCACACTCTTGCCAGCAGAAGAGGCCCCTGTCATTTCCGATATCACCACCCAGTCTATCCTCACCCCACAGCTGTGCAGCGGGACCCTCCTGCTGGCCCACGTGGCTGCCAGAGCCCATGCTGGCAAGACGCTCCAGCAAGTCGGCGTCCCTGCGGGACACACTACCGGTGACATGGCTAGCATCACCCTCCTTCCTGGCAGTGACACTGTTGATGTGAACCCCAGTTTCACATCTGTCATTTGTAAATGGACCATTTTCCCTTTTCGCTCTCCCTTCCATTCACAGGGCTTTTCATTCTCTCTGTTTCTGCCTCCGTTTCAGATATTTACTCACCTTTTTCTCTCTCACTATGTCTGCCGTGGTCTCCATGAGAGTGCGCCACATAAGATTCCCCCATTAAAAGTCATGAATTGAGTGGCTTTTAGTATACCAGTGGTTGTGCACATTCAATTTTAATTAGCAATCCGTTGTAGAACGTCTTATCACCCCCGACCAGAGAAAAACCCTGTAGGCATTAGTCACTCCTCATTCTGTCTCAAACCCTCTCCCTGACCCTCAGCCCTAGGTAGCAACTACCTAGTGCGATCAACCCCATATGCATAGATTTCCATATTGTGGACATGTCCTATAAACAGAATTGCACAATAGGTGAGCTGTTATGACTGACATAACACGTAGCACAATATTTTCAAGATTCATCCACATTGTAGGCTTACCCACAGGGGAAAACCATATTTTTGGGGGGTTTTAGTAACACCGGGTGTTTTATCCTTCCTTTCGTCCTTCTTTCCTTCCTTCCTTCCTTCCTTCCTTCCTTCCTTCCTTCCTACCTTCCTTCTTTCCTTCCTTCCTTCCTTCCTCCTATTACTCTCTTACTCCTTCTGCCCTCTCTCTTTCATATGCCTTAGGTGCATCACACATTCTGCGTTTTTTTGGGGAAATCCTCGACAGGTGCAGGAAAATTGTGTTATTGTAACTATTTACCGCTATCTCTCTTTCACGGCTCTCCATCAGTTGTGAACATCTATTGGTTTATCCCAAGTCACTAAGCATATTTTTATTAGGTACACCTGTTTTTCCTTATACAGCTGTTTCTGGAGTATAGGGTCGCATACTCATAAACCCAGTGTAACTCAGAACCGCATCTCATATTCCAATAAACCCATCATAACGTTGAAAAATCATGAATCAAACCATCATAAGTCACGGTTTGTCCGTGGATATGGGTGTCATCAATTCCATTGTATACAGTAATGCTGTACACCATTAACAATGGCATACTGATTGGGAGTGGATATTGATAGCATTATAAAAGTCAGTTATTAGAGGGATACTTCTTTAACCTCACTGAAGAACTGATCTAATGGCTTTAGTGCAGTGCATGATTATGTGAGATGTTTTGAGACAGATTAGTACATTTGTGAATGAAATTTTATGGCTTTTTTTCACTTAGTAGGAACCATTGTGTGTGGAAAAGTGAGAAAATTGCTTTCTGCTGTAGAGTCTGGCATTCATTGTAGATTTAAGCCTATTTTTCTGTGAGCAAATCTTATTCAATAAAATGCTACTCTATACTAAAAAACAAAAACAGAGGTGACGTGTGGTCATTATCCTCAGCAAACTAATCCAGGGAAAGAAAACCAAACGCCACATTCTCACTTATAATGGGAGCTGAAGAATGAGATCACATGGACACAGGAAGGGGAACAACACACACTGGGGCCTTTCGGGAGGCGGAGCCTTAAGGAAAACAGCTACTGCATGCTTGGCTTAATACCTAGGTGATGGGTTGACAGGTGCAGCAAACCACCATGGCACACGTTTACCTTAGTAACAAATCTGCCCATCCTGCACATACACCCCAGAACTTAGAAACGAAACGAAACAAAAGAAAACGAAAAAGCAATAGCAAAACGCTAAAGGCAAAATAAAGTTTCAAACTCAGAAAGTGACAGACCAATGTTTGGTTCAAATCATGGTTCTCAACCCAGGTGCCATAAGGTCAGGATAAAGAATTTGATTACATATTGTAAATAAGACATGCAGCAAATGACCAGAAAGATTATTCTCAACATATGTGTGTCTTCTAATTCAATGGTGACGCTATCTACCGGGACATAGCATTAGATTCCAAAGGGCCGAGTCCCGCCAGGCAGGCCTCCCACACTAATAACAACGGGAAGCCCTACGTTGTTTTACCTGTGCTTCTCAGCAACTGGCTATAAATCAGGTTGCCACCACTCCCAGATTTAGTTGCATTCATTTGCTGGAAGAGCTCACGGCACTCAGGGAAACACTTACATTTGCCGTTGTATTTTAGCGGACATTGCAAAAAGTTCAGAAATAAATGTGGGGCCCGGCATGTGGGGAGGGGCGCACTACCTTCCAGGAAGTGTTATCCAGAACCTCTCTGAACCCAGTCCTTTTGGGTTTTTATGGAGACCTAATTCTATAGGCATGATGGGTTAAACCATAGGCTATTGGTGATCAACTCCACCTGAGGCTCTCAACCCTCCCTGGAAATTGGGGTTGAGGCTTTGCCATTCTCAGTCTGAATAAAAGAATTTACCCAAACGGAATTTTAAAACAGATGAGCACAACTGGAATCTTAATTAGATGATTGGATTATCTGGAGCCACACCTTGATATTCCGAACCCAAGCACCTTCATCCAACGAATGCTCCACCCAACTGGCTCCCAAGTCTCCACGTGGTTCCAGAGCAAAAGAATGTTTATACAACGCATATCTCCACCTTTTCTTCAAAGTCTTTTCGCTTACACGGAAAGACTTCTTAAACTGCCATGCATCAGGGTCAGGGGGAGGTCTTGTTACAACACAGATCTGTGGATCTCCGGGGTTTGATTGTGGCAAGGATGCTGCTGGTGTCAAAAACACAACGTGGAGAACCACAGAACCACTAGTTGGTTTACAGTGTTTCAGTGCATACAATTCCTAATATATCTGGCCAAGAAAACTTGGAAGTTCTTAGATTGTCCCAAAGGTGGCGCATGAAATCAAAGCAGGAGAACAGTTTCCTACGCCTGGGAAAGTTGGGGGTGACTGACGGAAAGGAGGAGTGAAGCTCCACCCTTTCTGCTGCTAGGCTGCGCAGGAGGCTATTTAAACCCACCCTGGCTGGCCTGTACTCAGATCTTCGCGGAGGGGATCGGCGGCCGGAGCCTTTGGCGGACTCTGCGTCGACTTGGAGCTCACGGCGTCTTGCGACTTGGAAGCGGATTCCGAGGACAGGACAGAACACTTGGGCAAGTGAATCTCTGTCTGTCTGTCTGTCTGTCTGTCTGTCTGTCTGTCTGTTTGTGTGTCTGTCCCATTGGTTGGTTGATTTCCATTTTCTTAAGGGGCACATACCTCACACCGCACACACACAGACACACACACACGCACACACACGCACACGCTCACACACACGCACACACACTCCTTCCTTCTGCGAGTTAGAAAATTAGTAGGGGCCCCTGGGAGCTGCAGGTTTCCTAATCATGTCTGCTCCTAAGAACAGTAGGGTCTTGTCTGGCTCTTCTTATGAACGGTCCCACAGCCCGGACTCCCCAAGGTCCATGCGAGCCTCACCCAGCTTCTCCCTCTCCCATCTCAGAAACTCAGGCTTAAGGGGAAGCTCCTCACCAGGGATCCGGAGCTACCATTCACCATCCCCTAGGGCTTCACCACACTCACCTCTGTCATCACCAGAATCCCACAAGCTCCCATTTCCCTGTCCTGACCGTGATGGGCAATCAATGAAGTCATCGGGCTCTCCTCTGTCCTCCTCTGAGGATTCCTCAGAGTCCCCAGGTTCATCAATAATATACCACATGTTCTTACTGCCATCACCCAGCAGCTCACCCCCAGCTCTCGGGGGGTCTCCTGTGTCTCCCAGCTACTCTCCAAACAACCCCAGATTTCAGCTGGAGTCAGCCCCCCACACCCAGGAATCACCTACAAACTCACGAGCCTCACGGTGCTCCACCCCTGTGTCTTTCATCTCTTCACCCCCAGGCCTCAGGGACTCTCCCGTGGCTCCCAGTTACTATCCAGCCATCCCCAGGTTCCTGCGGGATTCAGTCGCATGCACCCAGGAGTCCCCCAGAGACTCACAGGTCTCGGGAGAATATGAGCGGTCCCCCAGCCCTGACTCCTCAAGATTCATGCCTGCCTCACCCAGCTTCTCCCTCTCCCCTCCCAGAAACTCAGACCCAAGGGGCAGCTCCTCACCAGGGATGTGGAAGTACTCTACATCATCCCGCAGGGCTTCACCACTCTCACATCCATCATCAACAGAATTCCACAGCTTTACGTTTCCATTTCCTAACCAAGCAGGACAGTCACTCATGTCATTGTGTTCTCCCGTGTCCTCCTCTGGAGATTCTTCACAGTCACCTCATTCATCAATAATATACCATATGTTCTTACTGCCATCATCCAGCAGCTCACCCCCAGCCACCCATGACTCTCCTGTCTGTCCCAGCTACTCTCCAACCACGCCCACATTTCAGCGGGAGTCTGTACCCCACACCCCAGAAACACCTACAAACTCACAGACCTCAGTGAGATCCTGGCCAGTCTCTCTCACGTCTTCACCCCCAGCCCTTACGGACCCTCCAGTCTGTCCCAGCTACTCTCCAACCACGCCCACATTTCAGCGCGGGTCAGTTCCAGGAACCCAGGGATCACCGCCAAGCCCACCACTTTCACTGAGTTACTCCCCAGTCTCTAGCACGTCTTTATCTCCAACCCTCAGGGACTCGCCTGTCTGTCCCAGCTACTCTCCAAACACGCCCACACTTCAGTGGGAGTCCGTTGCAGGCACCCAGAAATCACCACCAAACTCACCAATTTCACTGCGTTACTCCCCAGTCTCTCTCATGTCTTCACCATCCCTCAGGGACTCTCCCATCTGTCCCAGCTACTCTCCAACCACGCCCACATTGCAGCTGGAGTCAGTTCCAGACACCCCGGAGTCACCACCAAACTCACCAGTTTCACTCAGTTACTCCCCGGTCTCTCTCATGTCTTCACCCCCAGCCCTCAGGGACTCTCCGGTGGGTCCCAGCTACTCTCCAACCATGCCCAGATTTCAGCGGGAGTCAGTTCCAGGCACCCAGGTATCACCTACAAACTCAGCAGTTTCACTGAGTTACTCTCCAGTCTCTCTCATGTCTTCACCCCCAGCCCCCTGGGACTCTCCTGTCTGTCCCAGCTACTCTCCCACCACGCCCAGATTTCAGCGGGAGTCAGCCTCCCACACTCCAGAATCACCTACGGACTCACAGACTTCACTGAGGTCCTCCCTGGTCTCTCTCAGGTCTTTGCCCTCAGCCCACAGGGACTCTCGTGTCTCTTTCAGCTACTCTCAAAACTTCTCTAGATTCCAGCTGGAGTCAGTTCCAGGCACCCACGATACACCACCGAACTCACGAATTTCACTGACTTACTCCCCAGTCTCCCTCATGTTCTCACCCCCAGCCCTCAGGGACTCTTCTGTCTCTCTCAGCTACTCTCCAACCATCTCCAGATATCACCTGGAGTCAGCTTCCTGCACCCAGGAATCACCTACAAACTCACGGACCTTACTGCAACCCTCCACCATTTCTTTCACCTCTTCACCCCCTGCCTTCAGGGACTCTCCTGGGTCTCCCAGCTTCTCTCCAGCCTTCCCCAGATTTCTGCCACAGTCAGCCCCAGGCACCCAGGACAACCCTAGACACTCACAGGCCTCACGAGAGTATCTCCCTATGACCTGTACCTATACAGGGATGGCTCCCACGCATCCCTCAGTGACACAAAACCCATCTCCACTTACACTCAGACACTCCCAGGGCCTGACAGCTACTCCCCGTTATTGTCCTTCAGTTCGAAGTCCTGGCCAATCTACTAGCCCACATGACGCAGTTACCTGGCCATTACTCCACGGTTCCCGTGAGGGCCCCACACCCAGCCTCACAAGAGCCCCTCCTGCATTCCGTCCTCACACGCAGGCCTGTCCATCTACTTGCTACTGGCACACTCTTGCCAGCAGAAGAGGCCCCTGTCATGGCCGATATCACCACCCAGTCTATCCTCACCCCACAGCTGTGCAGCGGGACCCTCCTGCTGGCCCACGTGGCTGCCAGAGCCCATGCTGGCAAGACGCTCCAGCAGGTCGGCGTCCCTGTGGGACACACTGCCCGTGACATGGCTAGCATCACCCTCCTTCCTGGCATTGACACTGTTGATGTGAACCCCAGTTTCACATCTGTCATTTGTAAATAGGACCATTTTCCCTTTTCGCTCTCCCTTCCATTCACAGGGCTTTTCATTCTCTCTGTTTCTGCCTCCGTTTCAGATATTTACTCACCTTTTTCTCTCTCACTATGTCTGCCGTGGTCTCCATGAGAGTGCGCCACATAAGATTCCCCCATTAAAAGTCATGAATTGAGTGGCTTTTAGTATACCTGTGGTTGTGCACATTCAATTTTAATTCGCAATCCATTGTAGAACGTCTTATCACCCCCGACCAGAGAAAAACTCTGTAGACATTAGTCACTCCTCATTCTGTTTCAATCCCTCAGGGCCTGATGGGAAGGCACTTTCGTCTGTGGGGGACCCATTCCCTGCTTCTCCTTTGCGCGGTTTTTTTTTTTTTTGCTACGATAGATGCCTTTCCTCTCCTTCCTCAAATCTCACCTTCCCCTCATGTGGCTTCTGTCTGCCTTGGGGTACACCTAGCGGCCCGAGGTGCACTGTGGGATCGAACCAGGGACTCCAGGGTCCCTGAGGCCCAGCACGAGGCCTGATGGGAAGATACTTTCGTCCGTTTGGAGGACCCAGTCCCCGCTTCTCCGCGGCTGTGTTTGTTTTTCTCTGCCCCAGGTGCCTCACCTTCCCCTCTTGTGCTTTTTGCAAGCTTTGGGGTACCCCTAGCGGCCCAAGGCATACCCTGGGCTTGAACCATGGAAGCCAGGTTCCACAGGGTCAAGCGCAGTGGCTGATGATAAGACACGTTCTTCCTCGGGGACCCAGGCTCTGCTTCTCTGTGGCGTTTTTTTTTCTTTTCTTTTCCACAGGTGCCTCACTTTCCCGTCATGGGCTTTCTGCCCGCCTTGAGGTACCCCTAGCCGGCCCGAGGCGCACCCTTGTTTTGAGCCAGGGATGCTAGGGTCTCCGGGGCCCAGTGTAGGGCTTATGGGTAGGGACGTTCGTCCATGGGGAACCCAGGCCCCACTTCTGGTGGGCGCAGTTTTTTATTTTGTTCTCTGCCCCAGGTGTCTCACCTTTCCCTCATGGGCCTTCTGTCTGTCTTGGGGTACCCCTAGCGGCCTGAATCGCACCCTGGTCTCGAACCAGGAATGCCAGGGTCCCCTGTGCCCAGCGCAAGGGCTGATGGGAAGACACTTTCTTCCGTTGGGGATCCAGGCTCCGCTTCTCCGTGGTGCAGTTTTTTTTTTTCTGCCACAGGTGCCTCACCTCTCCTTCCTCAAACCTCAACTGCCCCTCATGGGATTTCTGCCCTCCTTGTGATACCCCTAGCAGGCCCGGGGCGCACCCGGGGCTCGAACTGGGGTCTCCAGCGTCCACAGGGCCCAGCGCAGGGACTGATGGGAAGGCATTTTCATCCTTGGGGTACCCAGGCCCAGCTTCTCCTAGGCGCGGCTTGTTTTCTTTTTTTTTTTCTGCCACAGTTTCCTCACCTCTCCTCCCTCAAACGTCAACTTCCCATCATGGGCTTTCTGCTCTACTTGGGGTACCCCTTCCGGCCCAAGGCTCTCCCTGGACTCGAACCATGGATGCCAGGGTCGCCGGGGCCTAGCGCAGGGGCTGATGGGAATGTACCTTCATCCGTGGGTACCCAGGCCCCGCTTCTCAAAGCTGCGGTTTTTTTTCTCCGCCCCTGGTGCCTCACCTTCCCCTCACTGGCCTTCTGCCTGCTTTGGGGTACCACGAGCAGGCCCGAGGCGCTCCCGGGTCTCCAATCAGGGTCGCCAGGTTCTCGGGGCTAGCGCAGGGGCTGATGGGAAGGCACTTTCATCAGTGGGGACCCAGGCCCGGCTTCTCCGAGGTGCTGATATATATATATATATATATATATATTTTTCTGCCACAGGTGACTCACCTCTCCTCCCTTAAATCTCGCCTTCCCCTCATGGGCTTTCTGGCTTCCTTAGGGTACCCTAGCATGCCGGAGTCTCTTCTGGTCCTTGAACTAGGGTCGCCAGAGTCCAGGGGGCCCAGCGCAGGGGCTGATGAGAAGGCACTTTCGTCCGTGGGAGACCCAGGTCCCGCTTCTCTTCCGCACGGTTTTTTTTTTTTTCTGCCGCAGGTGCCTCACCTCTCTTCCCTCAAACCTCACCTTCCCCTCATGGGCCTTCTGCCCGTTTTGGGGTACACCTAGCGGGCCCGAGGTGCACCCAGGCCTAGAACCAGGGTCGCCTGGGTCCACGTGGCCCAGCTCAGGGACTGATGGGAAGGCACTTTTTTTCCATGGGAGACCCAGGCCCCACTTTTCCGTGGCGCGGTTTCTTTTTCTTTTCTGCCACAAGTGCCTCACCTCTCCTCCCTCACAGCTCACCTTCCTCTCATGGGCTTTCCACCGTGTTGGGGTATCCCTAGTGGCCCGAGACTCTCCCTGAGCTCCAACCAGGGACTCTAGGTTCCCCGGGGCCCAGCGCAGGGGCTGATGGGAAGGCACTTTCATCCGTGGGGTACCCAGGCCCCACCTCTCCGCGGTGCGGGTTTCTTTTTTTTCTTTTTCTGTGACAGGTGCCTCACCTCTCCTCCCTCAAAACTCACCTTCCCCTCACGGGTTTTGTGTCCCCAAAGCCCCCTTGGGGTGCACTTAGCGGCCGAGGCACACCCTGAGCTCGAACGAGGGACACCAGGGTCCCTGGGTCCCAGTGCAGGGACTGATGGGAAGACACTTTCGTCTGTGGGGCTCCCAGGCCGTGTTTCTCCGTGGTGAAGTTTTTTTTTTTCTCTGCCCTAGGTGCCTCACCTTCCCCTTAGGGGCTTTCTGCCCACCTTGGGGTACCCCTACTGTCCCGAGGCGTACCCCAGGGTCAAACCAGGGACGCCAGGGTCCCCAGGGCCCAGCGAAGGGGCTGATGGGATGGCACTTTCATCCGTGGGGGACCCAGGCACTGCTTCTCGGCTGAGCATTTTTTTTTTCTCTGCCTCAGGTGCCTCACCTTCCCCTCATGGACCTTTTCTTTGCTTTGTGGTACCCCAAGCTGTCCCGAGGCGCACCCTGGGCTCGAACCAGGGTCGCCAGGGTCCACCAGGCCCAGCATAGGGCCTGATGGGAAGGCACTTTCATCCGTGGGGGACCCAGGCCCCGCTTCTCTGAGACGCGGTCCTCTTTTTTTATTTTTTCTGCCCCTGGTGCCTCACCTCTCCTCCCACAAACTTCAACTTCCACTCATGGGCCTTCTGTCCAAGTTGGGGTACCCCTAGTCGCCTGAGGCACACCCCGGGCGTGAACCAGGGATGCCAGGGTCCCTGGGGCCCAGCGCAAGGCCTGATGGGAAAAAACTTTCGTCCCTGGATGACCCAGACACTGCTTCGCGGCGCATTTTTTTTTCTTCTTTGCCCCAGGTGTCTCACCTTCCCCTCATGGGCCTTCTGCCTCTCTGCGCCTGCGCCGGCGCTGTGGGCCTCTCTGCGCCTGCCCCGGCGCTGTGGGCCTCTCTGCGCCTGCCCCGGCGCTGTGGGCCTCTCTGCGCCTTTCGCCCGCGCTGTGCGCCTTTGCGAGGGCGGAGCTGCGTTCTTCCCAGCACAGCCAAGGAGAGCATCGCCAGGGCGGAGCTGAGTTCTCCTCTGCACAGACTTCAGAGATACAGCGAAGGCGGAGCAGTGTTCTCCTCAGCACAGACCCAGGCGGGCCGGGGGCACCGCGAGGGCGGAGCTGCGTTCTGCTCAGCACAGACCCGGGGGACACCGCTAAGGCAGAGCAGCGTTCTCCTCAGCACAGACCTTTGGGGCACTGCCTCGCTTTGGGACAACTCGGGACCGCATAGACGGTGAATAAAATCCTTCCCTTTTGCAGCCCTGAATAATCAGGGCCAGAGACCAGTTAGAAGGGCTCAGTGTGGAAAAGGGAAACCAAAAGCCCCTCTGAATCCTGCCAACCGAGGTTCTCCCCAGCCAAGCCGAGGCGGCCACAGTGCGAGATCCACACCGCAGACTCGGAAGACAAATGCAGCATTCCTAATGCAGACATGACACCCAAATTATGACACTCCCATTGCTCATGTAACAAGCACCTGTAATGCTAATGCACTGCCTCAATACAAAAATATTAATATAAGATCCGCAATCCCCTTGCTGCCATGCAGTCCTAAGACAGAGATCATAATAATCAACATTGACATAGTACAAACGTAGTAACGAACCTAGGGTTAAGGTTGGTGTTAGGGTTAGGGGTTAGGGGTTAAGTTTAGGGTTAGGGGTTGGAGATAGGGGTTGGGGTCAGAGTTAAGAGTTAAGAGTCAACGTTTAGAGTTAGAGGTTAAGAGAGGTTAGGGGTTAGGGATAAGGGGTTAGGGTTGGATTAGTGTGAGGGTGAGGGTTGTGGTTAGGGGTTAGGCTTAGGGGTTACGGTTAAGGGTTAGGGTTAGGGTCAGGGGTTAGGGGTCAGGGTCAGGGGTTAGGGATCAGGGTCAGGGGTCAGGGTCAGGTTCAGGGGTCCCACTCTGAGTTGTCCATTTAGTCTGCTGACTGTTCCTTTTGCCATGCAAAAGCTGTTTAGTTTAATTAAGTCCCAGCTATTAATCTTTGTTTTTATTTCATTTGAATTTGGGTTCTTGGTCATGAAATCCTTGCGTACGTCAATGTCTAGAAGGGTTTATCCAGTGTTATCTTCTAGAATTTTTATAGTTCAGGAATTAGATTTAAGTTCTTAATCCATCTTGAGTAGATTTTTGTATAAGATGAGAGATGAGAATCCAGTTTTATTCCCCTACATGTGGCTCGCCAATTATCCCAACATCATGTGTTGAAAAGGGGGTCCTTTCCCCACTTTATGTTTTTGTTTACTTTGTCGAAGATCAGTTGGCTGTAAGTATTTGGGTTAATTTCTGGGTTCTCTCTTCTGTTCCATTGGTCTATGTTCCTATTTTTAAACCAGTACGTTGGTGTTTTGGTAACTATGGCCTTATTGTACAGTTTGAAATCAAGTAGTGTGATACCTCCAGGTTCTTTTTGCTTAGGCTTGGTTTGGTTACATGGCTCTCTTTTGGTTCCATATTAATTTTAGAATTGTTTTTGTAATTCTGTGAAGAATGATGGTGGCATTCAGATGGGGATTGCATTGAATTTGTAGATTGCCTTTAACAGAATGGTAATTTTCACAATATTGGTTCTACCCATCCATGAGCATGGGGATGCATTTCCATTTGTTTGTGTCATCTATGACTTCTTTTCTTTCTTGTTTTTTTTTTTTTTTTGTTTTTTTTTTTTTTTTTTTTTTTTTTTTTTTTTTTCAGAAGGAGTTTCGCTCTTGTCGCTGAGGTGGGAGAGCAATGGTGTGATCTCGGCTCACTACAACTTCTGCCTCCCGGGTTCAAGCGATTCTCCTGCCTCAGCTTCCCGAGTAGCTCGGATTATAGGCATGTGCCACCGTGCTTGGCTCCATCTATGATTTCTTTCAGTAGCGTTTTGTAATTTTCATTGTAGCGGTCCTTTGATTCCTTTGCTAGGTATATTCCTAAGTTTTGTTTTTTTGTTGTTGTTGTTTGTCGCAGCTATTGTAAAAGGGGTTGAGTTCTTGATGTGATTCTCTGCTTGGTAGCTGTTGATGTATGGAAGAGCTACTGATTTGTGTCCATTAATCTTGTATCTGGAAACTTTGCTGAATTCTTTTATCAGTTCTAGGAGGTTTCTAGAGGAGTCCGTAGGGTTTTCTAGGCAAAAGATTATATCATCAGCAACAAGTGACAGTTTGACTTCCTCTTTACCGATTTGGATTTCCTCTATTTCCTTCTTTTGTCTGATTGCTCTGGCTAGGATTTCCAGTACTATGTTGAAGAGGAGTGGTGAGAGTAGGCTCCTCGTCTTGTTCCAGTTCTCAAAGGGAATGCTTTCACCGTTTCCCCATTCAGTATTATGTTGGCTGTGGGTTTGTCATAGATGGCTTTTATTACATTAAGGTATGTCCCTTGTATGCCTATTTTGCTGAGAGCTTTAATCATAAAGCAATGCTAGATTTTGTCAAATGTTTTTTCTGCACCTGTTGATATAATCATATTAGATTTTTTTTAATTCTGTTTATTTGGTGTATCACACTTATTGACTTGCATATGTGAAACCACTCCTATATCATTGGTATAAAACCCACTTGATCATGGTGGATTATTTTTTGATATGTTGTCGGATTCAGTTAGATAGTATTTTGTTAAGGATTTTGGCATCTGCGTTCATCAAGGATATTGGTCTGTAGTTTTCTTTTTTGGTTATGTCCTTCCATGGTTTTGGTATTAGGGTGATGCTGGCTTCATAGAATGAATAAGGGAGGGTTTCTTCTTTCTCTGTCTTGTGGAATAGTATGAAAAGATTGGTATCATTTCTTCCTTGAATGAAAGAAGACATTCTTTGAATGTCTGGTAGAACTCTGCTGTGAATCTGTCTGGCCCTCAGCTTTTTTTGCTGGTAATTTTAAAATTACCATTTCAATCTTGCTGCTTGCTTTATTGGTCGGCTTGGGGTATCTAATTCTTCCTGATTTAAGCTAGGAGAGTTGTATTTTTCCAGGAATTTATCCAACTCTTCTAGGCTTTGTAGTTTATGTGCCAAAAGGTGTTCATAGTACCCTTGAATAATCTTTAATATTTCAGTGGTGTCAGTTGTAATATCCCCTGTTTCATTTCTTAGTGAGGTTATTTGGATTTTCTCTCTTCTTTTCTTGGTTAATCTTGCTAATGGTCTATCAATTTTATTTATCTTTTCAAATAACCAACTTTTTCTTTTATTTATGTTTTGTATTTGTTGTTGTTGTTGTTGTTGTGTCAATTTCATTTAGTTCTGCTCTGATCTTTGTTATTTCCTGTGTTTGCTGGGATTGGGTTTGGCTTGTTCCTGCTTCTCTAGTTCCCTGAGATGTGAACTTAGATTGTCTGTTTGTGCTCTTTCAGACTTTTTGATGTAGGTTTTTAGGACTACAAACTTTGCTCTTAGCAGTGCCTTTGCTGTATCCCAGAGGTCTTGATAGGTTGTGTCATCCAGTTCGAATAAATTTTTTACATTTCCATCTTGATTTCATTTTTCACCCAATGCTCATTCTGTGAGGAACAACCAAATTGTTTTCCGCAGCAAGGGCATCATTTTCTATTCCTAGCAGCCAAATCATGAGGGCTCCAACTTCTCCACCTCCTTAGCAACATTTATTTTCTGTGTCATTGTTATGAAAGCCTTACTTGTGGGTGCAGAGTGGCATGAATGTAGTCAATTAACACGTTTATTACCTCACAGAATCGTCACCTTTTTGTGTGCATGGGTGGGATAAGAAAACTTAACTCTATCCCCTGTGACGGAGTAGTGGCCATTCCAGCTGCTCCAGGCTCCAGCAGAGGAAGACCGGGGTATGTGGCCCCACCAGGGTGACCCTCAGGCCTGGCGCGCACGCATTCCAGAGGCCACCCAAACCATGCTCCGCCATCTGGGCGCCCAAGCTGCCGTCGCCCTCTGTGTGCAGGCAGCAGCTGCCTGGCAACCCCCGAGCCCGCTCGCGCTCCTAGCATCACAGAAGCAGGGCCACGTGTCCCAGTGGCTGCAGCCAAGCCAGGCATTCTGCCCTGCGGCAGCAGCTGCACAGGAGCGAGAACTGAGAACCCACCGCTCAACCCCACACGAGGTGACTGCCGAGTGCCCATACAAACGGCTCCGATCTCCCTCAGGTGGAGGAGTGGTCGGGAGGCACGGCCTGGGGGCCCTGAGGCTGGGCGCGCTGGCGATCCCAAGGCCGACCAGGCCATGCACTTCCAGCCCGCCTGGGCACCCGAGCTGCAGCCGCCTTCTGCGTGCAGGCAGCAGCCTCCAGGCAACTCCCGAGCTCGCCCACACTCCCCACATCTCGGAAGCAGGGCCAAATGTCCCTGTGGCTGTGGCCAAGCCAGGCGGTCTGTCCTGCAGCAGCTGCACAGGGGCGGGAACCGGCCCTCAGCCCCATCCCCGGTGGCTGCAGAGGGCCCCTGGATAGAGACCTGGAGCTCTGACAGAGGAGGAGCCGGGCCGGGGCAGGGTCTGGCAGGCTCTCAGGCCAGGGGCACCCGCGATCCAGAGGCGGCCCAGGGCATGCTCCACCACCTGGGCACCCAGCTACAGGCGCCGGGCGACTCCCAAGCTGGCTGGCGCGCCCAGCCTCGCAGAACTGGGGCTAGATGTCGCCGTGGCTGCGACCAAGCCAGGCGGTCTGCCCAGGGGCGGCTGCACCGGGGCAGGAACCGACCCTCAGCCCCATCCCCGGTGGCTGCAGACGGCCGCTGGGGCGGCCCCGATCTCTCTTCGGAGGAGGAGAGGGGCAGGAGTCACGGCCAGGCGGGCCCTCAGGCGGGAAGGAATGCGCGCCTGCGATTCCGGGACGTCCCGCGCCAGCCCAGGAGAACCTGCAAGCCAGCGGCGCCTGTTTCTCTGTGTGATTCTTTGAGGAACCACCAAACTCTTTTCCACAGCAAGTGCATCATTTTCTATTCCTAGCAGCCAGTTCATGAGGGCTCCAGTTTCTCCACCTCCTTAGCAACATTGATTTTCTGTGTCGTTGTTATGAAAGCCTTACTAGTGGATGCAAAGTGGCGTCTCATTTGGGTTTTGCCTTGCATTTTATTAATGAATAATGGTGTTTAGCATCTTTTCTTTTCCTTCTTAGACATTTGTGTATCTTCTTTGGAGAAATGTCTGTTCAAGTCCTTTGCCTATTTTTTTAATTGGGATCTTAGAAATTCTGTTGTTGAGTTGTGGGATATTAAGCTTTTATCAGATACACATTTTGATTTTATCAGATACATATTTTCTCACATATTATGGGTTGTCTTTTCACTCCCTTGATAGTATCCTTTGATGCATAAAGGGTTTTTTTATTTTGATTAAATCTAATTTTCGTGTATTTTCTTTTGTTATCTGTGCTTTTCTGTCATATTTCAAAATACACTTAAAACTCAAAGGTCATAAAGGTTTACCGTGTGTTTTCTTCTAAGAGTTACATATTTTTAGTCCTTACATTTAAGTCTTTTATTAATTTAGAATTAATTTTTGTATATACTGCAAGGTAGGGGTCTAACTTCTCTCTTGTGCACTGACATCCAGCTGTTGAAGAGACTGTTCTTTCCTCCCTTGACTAGACTTGGCCACCTTGTTGAACAGTCATTGACCATATATGTGAGGACTAACTTGTAGGATCTCAAATCTGTTCTATTGTATTTGTCTGAAAGTCTATTGGTCTTATTCCAGTACCACACTCTCTTGATTACTGTAGATTTGTAGTAGGCTGTGAAACTGAAAAATGTGAGTTTTCCAATGTTCTTTTTCAAGACTGTTTTGTCTGTCAGATCCTTTGAATTTTTGTATGATTTTAGAATGAGTTTCTTTGTTTCTGCAAAAATGCCTTTGGGATTTTGATGGTATTGCATTGAATCTGTAGATTACTTTAGATGGTATTGTCATCTTAACAATATTGTCTTACAACCCGTGAACACAGAATGTCTTTCCACTTATTTCCACTCTCTTTAGTTTTTTGCAGCAATGTTTTGTGTATACCACCATGGTTAGATTTATGCCTGAATAACGTATTCTTTGATGTCATTATAAATGGAATTTTTAAAATGTTTTCATAGTTCTTTACAACTATATAGAAATATAGCTCATTTGCCTATGTTTGTTTGCATCCTGCCTCTTTTATTAGTTATAATCGGTTTTGTGTTTTGTTTGGAGCTTTATACCTACAAGATCATGTGTAGATATAATTTTACACCTATTTTTTATTTCTAATTTAGATGCCTTTTATTTCTTTGTCTTGCCTAATTGCTCTGGCTAGAACTGCCAGTGCTACGTTGAATACAAGTGGCAAATGCACCATCCTTTTCTTCTAGATATTAGGAAAACAGCTCTCAGTGTTTCATCATTGATCATGATATTAACTGTTGGGTTTTTGTACATCCCATTGTCATGTTGCAGAAGATCCCTTCTATGCCTAGTTTATTGAGTATTTTTATTATAGAAGGGTGTTGTATTTCATCAATGTTTTCTCTGCATCAATTGAAATAATCACGTGCTTATTCATTTTACTGTTACAGCATATTACACTGATTGATTTTTTATATGTTGAACCACCCTTGCATTTTGGGGATAAATCTCAAAGGGTGATAGTTTACAATCCTTTGATTATACAGTATTGCTGCTAGTATTTTGCTAGTATTGCTAGTATTTTGCTGAGATTTTTGCTTATATATTCATAAGGGATATAGTGCTGTATTTCTCTCTTTTGTGCTCTCTTTGTCTTTGGTATAAGGATAATGCTGTTATCAAAAAATGAATTAGCAAGTATTCCTTCTTCATATATTTTGTCAGAAGAGTTTGAGAAGAAATGGTATTAATTCTTCTTTAAATGTTAGGTTGACTCACCAGTTAATGCAGCTATTTGGTCATAAATGTTTCTTTGTTAATCGCTTTCGATTACTAATTCAATCTCCTAGGTTATAGGTCTATTCAGATTTTCTCTTTCTTCTTGAGCCACCTTGGTAGTTTGTGTCTTTCTAGCGATTCATCCATTTCATCCAGGGCACCTAATTTGTTGCTAGACAGTTGTTCACAGTATACTCCTATAATCCTTTTGTATTTCTGTAAAGTTGGTAGTAATGGCTCTGCTTTCATTTATTATTTTAATAATTAGTCTTCCATCTTTTGCTCAGTCAATATAGTGAAAGGCTTGATCTTTCAAAGAATCTACATTTTTTCATTCTACTGCTCTCCAACCTTCTATTTGATTGATTTATGCTCTAATTATGCTCTTTATTATTTCTTTCCTTCTGCTAGCTTTGGATTTAGTCTTCCACCTGGATTTATTTTGGGAGTGATATTGATGTAACTTCATGGAAATAATACTAGATAGAAAGTTAGCAGATAGATTCTCTATCTGATGAGAGTTTGGGGCAAGTCGAGTACCAGGTTACCAAGTTTTATTTTTTTCTCTGACCCAAAAAACAATTTGGCAGCCGGTGAGAAACTCTCACAGCTCTGGATGTGAGTTTAGGACACTGCATTTCTACCATTCAATTTCTTACTACTTTTTTGCACAGGGATCATGGCACAAGTTGCAGTTTCCACCCTGCCCATGGAAGATGAGGAGTCCATGGAAGATGAGGAGTCTGTTGAAGATGATTCCGTGGAGAGCAGGATGGTGGTGACATTTCTCGTATCAGCTCTCAAGTCCACGGTGAGACCTTCTGTTCTAATATGATATAATTGGGTAGAACTGGGTGGTAGATAAGGTTGATTTGTTTTTGTAGAACTTATAATTTTATGATTTGTAGTTCTAATGAGTAGATCTTTTTCTGGAATAGTAGTTATGGTCAAACACTTCTAACCAAAAGTGCCATGTTGTCCAGTCTGGTCTCAAAATATGGGGCTCAAGAGACCTGCCCACCTTGGCCTCCCAAAATACTGGGATTACAGGTGTAAGCCCCTGAATCTGGCCAGATATTTTTCTTTTTATGGCTGAATAATACTCTGTGTATGTATATATTACATTTTCTTTATCTATTCACCTACTGATGGGCATTAGGTTTGGGCTACCTTTTGGCCACTGTGAATAATGCTGCTGTTAATCGGGTGTACAAATACCTGTTTGAGTCC
This sequence comes from Homo sapiens, assembly GCF_000001405.40. Classification (NCBI taxonomy): domain Eukaryota; kingdom Metazoa; phylum Chordata; class Mammalia; order Primates; family Hominidae; genus Homo; species Homo sapiens. The sequence continues at coordinate 49,267,335 of NC_000004.12, read as the reverse complement.
CTGCTCTCAGTTCTTTTGGGTATATACGCTTAAAGGGTGTTGATGGATCATATAATTCTATGCTTCATATTTTTAAGGAGCTGCTAAACCATTTTCCACAGTGGGCTGTACCATTTTACATTCCAAAAAGCAATGCATACAGCTTCCAATTTCTCTATAGCCTTGCTGACAGTTAATATTTTCTGTTTATGTATTGTATTTTTATAGTGTTTGAAATTAATCTGAGGCTTTTTGCTGATACCAAAATATTAGGAAAGGTTTTCCAAAAATAATACTGCTTATTATAAAGGATTTTACGTGTTACTTGATGCCCTGTGATCTGTTTTCTAAGTAAGAAGAGGAACTTCTTGGCTGGGCACAGCGGCTCATGCCTGTAATCCTAGCACTTTTGGAGGCCGAGGTGGGTAGATCACCTAAAGTCAGGAGTTCAAGACCAGCCTGGCCAACATAGCGAAACCCAGTCTCCACTAAAAAAAAAAAAAAAAAAAAAAAAAAAAAAAAAAAGAAATTAGCTGGGTGTGGTGGGGGGGTGACTCTAATCCCAGGTATTCGGAAGGCTGAGGCAGAGAATTGATTAAACCCATAAGGCAGAGGTTACAGGGACCGAGATTGCACCACTGCACCCCAGGCTGTGTGACAGAGCGAGAGTCCATCTCAAAAAAAAAAAAAAAAAAGGAAAGAAAGAAGAGGAACTTCTCTCCATCCAGCCTCATTCCACTGCACCAACTCTTCTGTGTCGGGTTGTGCACGGGAGAAAGGGAGCTTGGCAACTCTTTGCTGTGTTGAGTTGTGGTAGCCCATCACTGGGTTGTAAAGTGCCTTGCCTCCTTTCCTCCCCTCCTTTTTCTTTGAGACAGAGTCTCACTCTGTCATCCAGGCTGAGGTGCAGTGGTGTGATCTCTGCTCACTGCAACCTCAGCCTCCTGGGTTCAAGTGATTCTCCTGCCTCAGCCTCCCAAGAAGCTGGGACTACAGGCACATGCCACCACACCTGGCTAATTTTTTTTATTTTTAGTAGAGACAGGGTATCACCATGTTGGCCAGGCTGGTCTTGAACTCCTGACTTCAGGTGATCCACCCACCTTGGCCTCCCAAAGTGCTGGGGTTAAAGGCATGAGACACTGCGCCCGTCCACCTCCTCTTTTACTTGGGAGAAATGCACAGATTCTGGGTGCCATGTGCATTTGTTTTGGGAGTGATAATTGATCTAACTTATGGAAATAATACTAGATAGTTAGCGGATGGATTCTGTATCTGATGAGAGTTTTGGGCAAAACTCCTAGTTTCTGAGTCTTATTTTTCCCCTGATTCAAGAAAACTGTGAATTATCCAGCCAGTAAAAAACTCTCACAGCTCCGGATGTGAGTTTAGGACACTGGATTTCTACCACTCATTTTCTTACTACTTTTCTTGTGCAAGGATCATGGCACAAGTTGCAGTTTCCACCCTGCCCATTGAAGATGAGGAGTCTGTTGAAGATGAGGAGTCCTTGGAGAGCAGGATGATGGTGACATTCCTGTCAGCTCTCGACTCCATGGTCAGACCTTCTGTTCTCACATTCTGTAGTTCAGTAGGACTGGGCGGTAGATAAGGTTGATTTGTTTTTGTAGAACTTACAATTTTGTGATTTTTAGTTCTAATGAGTAGACCTTTTTCATGAATAGTAGTTACGGTCAAACACCTCTGACCAAATGTGCATGTGGAGTTTCTACACTGATTTTCAGACAATCTGGATCCCAACTGGGTATCCCACAATTCCATCCTGACACTCCCTGGAGTTAGTGCAGACCCCGCAGGATGGGAGCTCAGTCCCAGGAGTCTACCCTCACTCCACATGCCAATTGCAAGTCTTGGGTTGTTACATGTAGTTTTGACCAACCAGTTAGAAAACAGAGTTTCATGACCCCCATTGGTGGGTGGAATCATTTGCTCGGACAGCTTGCAGAACTCAGAAAAACAGATTGTTTTCTTTTTTTCTGAGATACAGGGTCTCAGTCTGTTGCCAGGCTGGAATGCAGTGGTGTGATCAAAGCTCACTGTAGCATGGGACTCCTGGGCTCAAGTGATCCTCCCACCTCAGCCTCCCAAATAGCTGAGATTATAGGCCTGTACCAGCATATCTGGCTATGTTCTCTTACTTTTTGTAGAGATGGGGGGGTCTTGTTATGTTGCCCAGGCTGGTCTCAAATTTCTGGGCTCACATGATCCTCCCACCTCAACTTCACAAAATGCTGGGATTATGGGCATGAACCACTGCATCTCACCAATTTATTTTCTTTTACTGGTTCATTTTAAAGGCTAAATCTCAGAAACAGCCAGTGAAAGAGATGTACATGCTGGGCACAGTGGCTCATGCCTGTAATTTCAGCACTTTGGGAGACTGAGGCGGGAGCATCGCTTAAGTGCTCAGGAGATTAAGACCAGCCTGGGTAACAAGGTGAAAATGCATCTCTACAAAAAGATTTTTCTAAAAATTAGCCAGGCACAGTTATCTATAGTTCTAGCTACTCAGTGCCTATAATTCTAGCTACTCAGGAGGCTGAGGTGAGAGGATGAGAGGATGGGGCTTGAGATAGGGAGGCATAGTTCGCAGTGAGCCACGATTGTGCCATGGCACTCTAGGCTGGGAGACAGAGCCAGACTCTGTCTCAAAAAAAAAAAAAAAACACACACAGGGCAAGGTATGTCGAGAGGGGTACAGAACTTCCATGTCCTCTATTGTGCATGTTACCTTCCTGGTATCTCCCTTGTGTTCAGCAACCCAGACATTCTCCAACTCCAGTTGTTAAGGGCGCTTATGAACGCTTCATTATGCAGGCATGATTGATGAAATCATTGACCATTGGTAATTAAGTCAGTCTTCGGCCACTATTTCTTCCTGGAGCCCAGGGGGTGAGGCTGACAGTTCCAAGCCTCTAATCACATGGTTTGTTCTTCTGACAACAACCACCCCTTTTTCTGAAGCTGTCTAGGAGCTTTCAGTCACCCAGTCATCTCAGTAACATCACCAAATGCATTCTTACTATGGTGATCCCAAAGGTCTTAGAGGCTCTTGTGTTAGAAACCTGGGACTAAGACCAAATATTGAAACAGAAGATGCCCCATCACTTTCATCACCAAGGCCTTTATAAGAGCTTGAGAAGCTCTGTGCCAGGATGAGGGGCAGAAACCAAATGTGTATTTCTTTTCTTTTTCTTTTGAACACAGAGTCTCTGTTTCACCCAATCTGGAGTGCAGTGATGGTGTTGTAGTTAACTGCAGTCTCAACCACCTGTGCTCAAGCAATTCTCCCACCTCAGCCTTCCAAGCATCTGGGACTACAGGTGCACACCATCCATGCCCAGCTAATTTTTGTATTTTTTTTTGTAGAGATGGGATCTTGTTATATTGCCGAGGCTGGTCTTGAACTCTGGGGCTAAAGCGATCCTTTCACCACAACCTCTCAAGTAGCTGAAACTACAGATGCATACTACCATGCCCAGCTAATTTTTTCTTATTTCTTTTTGTTGTTTAATTGAGGGGGTCTCGCCGTGTTTCCCAGGCTGGTCCTGAAGTTTTGGCCTCAAGCGTTTCTCCTGCTTTGACCTCCTAAACTGTTGGGATTATGGTTGTGAGCCACGGCCTCTGTGTCCAGCAATCACAAGAGGTCTTTATAAGTGAAAGAGGGAGGTAAGAGAGTCCGAATTGAAGGAGATTTGATGATGGAAGCACAGGTCACAGAGGGAGATTCGAATATGCTTTGCTTCTGGCTTTGAAGATGCAGTTAGGAGCCATGAGCCAAAGAATAGCAGTGGCTTTAGCAACTGGGAAAGGCAAGGGAACATATTCTCTCCAGAACCTCCAGAAGGGATGCAGTCCTGCTGGCACCTTGACTTTAGCCTTAATAGACCTATTTTGGACTTCTGGCCCCCAGACCTCTTAGTTAGTAGATTTGTGGTGTATTAAGCCACTCAATGTAGGGTAGTTTGTAACAGCGGCAAGAAGAAATGAACATGAAGCCAGAATTGGTGGCCCACACCTATAATTCCAGCTATTTAGGAGGTTGAGGCAGGATGGTTTCTTTGGCCCAGCAGTTCACGATAAGTCTGGCCCTGAGGCAGGACAATTTCTTGACCTAAGAGCTCCAGGTCTCAGTGCGTTGTGATCATGCCATGGCACCCCAGTCTGAGTGACACAGCGAGATTATATCTTAGAAAAAAAAAGAAAAAAGAAATGAGTGAGCATGGCAGGAATAGGGACAGATAGCAATATTAAATAAAGTGGTCAGGGTTGGCCTCCTAAGTGAAAATTGAGCAAAGACTTGAAGGAGGGGAAGGAGCTGGCCAAGGTACTGAGGGAAGAGCATTGTAGGCAGAAACAACAGAATAAAGATGCTAAGAGGGAACTCCGTGGTGTGTCTGAAGCTCAGGAAAGAGGTCTGTGGAGTAGAGAGAGGGAGAGAAGTAGGGAAGGAGGCCAGGGAGTTGTTGGACTCAGATCAGTGCAGATTGTGTAAGCCCTGGGAGGTTATTGCTGGGGCTTTGGTTTTTATTCTGTCTGAGATGGGAGATGAGGAAGGGTTCTGAGCAGAGAGGTGACGCGAACTGTCTACTGATTTAAAAGCATCCCATGGCAGCTGAGTTGAGAAAGATTGTGGGAAGATTTGGGTAGAAGCAGGGAGGCCATGCTGTGGCAACCTCCAGGTGGGAGATGATAATGGTTCTGACCAGGGCCCTGGCAATGGTGAGAGATGGTTGATTCTTGTTGAAATAGTAAGTAATTAAAAAAAAACCACTACTGCTTTTCCCAATTATATGAAGTATGGGATGCTAGATTACAGAAATCTTAAGTCGGGCCAGGTGCAGTGGCTTATGCCCGTAGCTTCAGCACTTTGGGAGGCAGAGATGGGAGAATGGTTTGAGTCCAGGAGTTTTAGACCACCCTGGGCAACACAGCAAGACCTCCTGTCTATGCAAATAAAAATTAATAAAATATAATTATCCCGGCATAGTGGTATTTTCCTGTAGAACCTGTTACTTAGGTTGTTGAGGTGGGCAGATCTCTTGAGGGTGGGAGTTTGAGGCCAGCTTGGGCAACATAGCAAGGCTCCTCTTTCTACAAAAAAAAAAAAAAAAAATTAGCTGGGTGTTTTGGTGTTCATCTGTAGCCATAGCTATGGTGAGGGTGAGGCAAGAGGATCCCCGGAGCCCAGGAGGTCACGGCTGCAGTTAGCTATGAGTGCACCCCTGCATTGCAGCCAGAGTGACAGAGTGAGACCCGGTCTCAGAATACAGATACAAGTAAAGAAATCTCAGCTCAGAGCAGTCTGTTTGTCACTATGCAGCCTTTGCAACCCCATAGCTGCGCGATTGGGTTTGTGTTGCTGGAGGTGAGGAGACCCGTGCCCAGGTGTTGTTGCCTGTCTAATCAGTTTATTTTAAAATATATTAATGAAATTTATTTCATCATACTTTATGGCCTCATACCTGAATGGTTTTTTGAATTCTCCTTTGAATAGCTTGTAACTATTCAAACCTCTTATTGGTTCTATAATTAATTCTTTTTCTAATTAGCTTTTTAAAAATCAGAATTGATATTAGACCAATCAGTTATTAATGAGGAGATGAAATTGAGTTGTTTGTACACTTTATCTAAGATAGTGTTATATTGGCTAACTCAAATCAGTAGTTCAGCAAATGCAGAATCAGAGCTTCTTCAGCGTGGAACTCTCTTGTGGTTCTTGTGGTTCTTGAAGATGCCGTTTCTTTTTTTTTTTTTTTTTTTTGAGACAGCATCTTCCTCTGTCACCAGGCTCGAGTGCAGTGGCACAATCTCAATTCACAGCAACTTCTGCCTCCCGGGTTCAAGCATTTCTTTTGCCTCAGCCTCTGAAGTAGCTGGGACTACAGGCACATGTCACCATGCCCGGCTAAGCTTTGTATTTTCTGTAGATACGGGGTTTCAGCATGTTGGACAGGCTGGTCTTGAACTCCTGACCTTGTGATCCACTGGTCTTGGACTCCTAAAGTGCTGGGATTACAGGTGTGAGCCACCGTGCCTGGCCTCTTTTTTCAGTCTTTAATAAACTGCTGCCATCATTTCAGACCGCTTGCTATTTTAGGCACTTAGAAATTTTTCAATGGAATTCATGTAAAGAAAGACCATGGGTGTTTGTACTGGATTTAGTATTCATCCTTCGACTGCATGACTCACCCCTAGTGCCATAATTTTACTAATGAATTTTTCAGATACTACTCAGCTGGCCACTGAACCTAACCAGCAACCCACCCTCAACCATTCAGTGGTCTTTTGTTCTTCTCTGTTCCTCCTGAATGTTGATTACTCTCAGAAGGTGATAAAAACTTGGATTTCTTTTTTTTTTTTTCTAGAGACAGGGTTTTGTTCTGTCACCCAGGCTGCAGTGCGGTGGCATGATCATGGTTCACTGCAGCCTGAAACCCCGGACTCAAACAGTCCTCCCACCTCAGCCTCCCAAGTAGCTGGGACTACATACATTTGCCCCTATGCCCAGCTAACTTCTTTATTTTTTATTGTACAGATGGGATCTTGCTGTGTTGCTCAGGATGTTGTCAGACTCCTGGCCTCAAGTGATCCTTCTGCCTCAGCTTCCCAAAGTGCTTGGATTATATGTAGGTGGGAGCCACCTGTGTTCAATGCCCATTTTCTTTTTCTTTCTTTCTTTTGGAGACGGACTCTCACTCTGTCATGCAGGCTGGAATGCAGTGGTGTGATCTCAGCTGATTGCAACCTCCACCTCCCTGGTTCAAGCAACTCCCCTGCCTCAGCCTCCCGACTAGCTGGAATTACAGGCCCATGTCACCACTCTCAGCTAATATTTTTGTATTTTTAGTAGAGACAGAGTTTCAGTATGTTGGCCAGACTGGTCTCGAACTCCTGAAATCAGGCAATCCACCCACCTTGGCCTCCCAGTGTGCTGAGATCAGAGGCGTGAGTCACCACGCCATGCCCAGCCATTTTTAAAATAATAACGTTATTGAAATATGATTAACGTATCATGCAATTCATTTATCAAAGTACGCAATTCAGGCCAGGTGCAGTGGCTAATTCCTATAACGCTAAGACTTTGGGCAGCTGAGGCAGGTGGATCGCTTGTGTTCAGGAGTTTGCGACTAGCCTGGGCAACATGGCAAAACAGCATCTCTAGCAAAGATACAAAAATTAGCTGGGTGTGGTGGCTCATGCCTGTAGTCCCAACTACTTGGGGACATGAGACTGGATGATCACTTGAGCCCGGAAGCCATAGGTTGCAGTGAGACCAGATGGCACCACTGCACTACAGCATGGGTAACAAAAGGAGACCCTGTCTTTAAATAACTAAAGAAAAAAGAAAGTATACAATTGAGTGGTTTTTAGAATATTCAAGGAGCTGTGCATCCATCACCACAGTCTTTCTTAGAAGTGATTACCCACTTGTGAGTTACCCACTTATGAGTGAGAAACCCTCACCTCTTAGCCACTACCTCCTACGTACCCCATGTTCATAGGGTACGTATGTTTATCCATTCATTAGTTGATGGACATTTGTGTTGTTTTTGCGTATTCACCATCATGAGTCAGGCTGCTATGAACACTCGTACGTAAGTTTTAGTGTGAACATATATTTTTATTTCTCTTGGATTTACACTCAGGAGTGAAATTGTTGCATTATGTGATTACTATACATTTAGTCTTTGAGAAACTGCCACGTTGTTTTTCAAAGTGGTTACACTGGTCAGGCACAGTGGCTCACACCTTTAATCTCAGGTATTTGAGACGCTGAGTTTGGAGGATTTTCTTAGCTCAGGAGTTCAGGACAACCCTGGGCAACATAGGGAAACAATGTCTTGATTTTTTAAAAAAATCAAATGCCAAGAAAACACCCAAATTGATTACACCATTTTATGTTCCCACCAGTAATGTATGTGAGTTCCAATTATTCCAATTGTCACCAACTTTTTTTTTTTGAGACAAAATCTTGCTCTGTTGCACAGGCTGGAGTGCAGTGACATGAACATGGCCAGTGCAGCTGTGACCTTCCAGGCACAAGTGATCCTCTCACCTCAGCCTCCTAAGTAGCTGGGACTTACAGGTGCATGCTATCATGTGCAGCTGATTTTTACAGTTTTTGGTAGAAATGGGGTGTTGTCATGTAGCCCAGGTTTGTGTCAAACTCCTGAGCTCAAGTGATCTGCCTGCTTCAGCTTCCGGAAGTGCTGAGATTACAGGTGTGTGCCACCATGCCCGACTGGTGTAACCACTTTGGAAAGCAGCCACTGAGCCCGGCCTTCACCAGTATACCAATATTTGTTAATATCGTTTTATTTTTTACAATTTTTCCATTTTTAAAAACTTATTCTTTTACCTGTATTATTGATTATAATAAACAACGAATAATTTTGCAGTAGAGTCCCCCCAAAAAGTATTTATTGTTTAACTGAAGTAGTTTTTTTTTTTAACCTGGATATATATTTTTTCATTTTCACTTTATTTTTAGTGTTTATTTTTAGAAATTATTTATATGTATTTTTATTTTAATAGGTGTTTGAGAAACAGGTGGTGTTTGGTTCCATGAATAAGTTCTTCAGTGTTGATTTCTGAAATGTAGTACCCCTCATTACTTATTAAATTATATATTAAGTCATTATAAAATAATTAATAAACCAAGGACTTTAGTAAAATGGGAATTTTATTTTAACTTGCAACCTGGGACGTAACTGTCAAAAAAATTAGAGAAATTACCACATTAAGGTTTTAAAATCTTGAACTGAAAAATGAAAACCTTGGTGCACCTAAGAACCACCAGCCCACTGGTCAAAGTGAACAAAACTAAATGAAAAAATAAAACCAAGAAAACCAAACTCAGGATTATTAGGTATTTTGTAATGCTATTTTATCTTTGGACTCACAGAATATTGTTATTATTATTATTACTCTTATTATTATTATTATTATTTTGATATGGAGCCTCACTCTGTCACCCAGGCTGGAGTGCAGTGGCGCAATCTTGGCTCACTGCATCCTCTGCCTCCTGGGTTCAAGTGATTCTCCTGCCTCAGCCTTCAGAGTAGTTGGGATTACAGGCAGGTTCCACCATGCCTGGCTAACTTGTATTTTTGGTAGAGACAGGGTTTCACCATGTTGGCCAGGCTGGTCTGAAACTCCTGATCTCAAGCAATCTGCCTACCTCAGCCTCCCAAAGTGCTGGAATTACAGGCATGAGCCACTCTGCTCAGCTGAAAATAGTTAATTTTATGTATATTCCAACTCAGAATACATCCTATTTTTGAATATTTGATGACTTTAGGATACTATATTAACTCTTAATTGAATTAATACAAGTTTAGGTGTAAAGATGATGTTTATGTTGACAAAAATTATTAATGTTTTACATATATGAAAGTAACAATATCATATATTTTTCATACTTGTACAATACTTTGAAATCTATTATTAGCTAATATTTTATATTCATTTTGCGTTTTCACATTATTGTTAGATCCAGAGAAAAGTAATATTGTGTGAATACTCAAATCATAAACATTTTGCTGGATGCATTCATAGATACTTTATTTAAAAAGTACATTAATTGAAGTTTTACACCATTTTATGATTCATCAAACACAGCAACTGAATACTGGCGTATAGCAACATTACAGATGATGTTAGTCTAAGATAAAACTCATAACACATTTTAAAAAGGGTAAAAGGAAGGAAAGGAAAAAGGATACAAGGCTGTAGAAAGATTTTAAAAACAAACGTCATATGTCTGAACCTTTGCCTGGAGTTTCATATTTTGTGAAAAGCAGTTTGTAAGTAGAGGACTCGTAAGTGCACCTAGTACACTGCAATGGCACAGACACGGCAGATAGTCAATAAAATGACCTTTAACTTCTGATCTAGGTTATTTTTGTTGTTGTTCATGTATTAACCTAGTGAAACTCGCCAATAGATGGAGTGGCATTGACCTGTACAACTTCCAAAATCCCATCCAACCTTAGTGTCCTCTGAAGTTCTCCATAACTTATTGTCTGTTCCAACCAACATTTAGCATAAGCTACAGCTTATATTGTTAATAATTCTTCTATGTTTATGTGCTGATTTGCAAATAAATGGGCCTATATAGTCTTTATCTAGTGTTGGATTGGGATCAAAAGTTTCATGAAATCATTGTTTTTAGTATACGTACAGATGGATAATTGTATAAATAAGTACAGATGTGTATAAATGTGTGAGTATACATACATATATTTTCTAGCTCCTCTAACAAAAGGGCCTAGAAACAACATCATCCCAGTAACAATGAGAACACCATTCTCCAATTAAAGGAACCAAGGCTCCTTGGGGACATATTTGATATCAGGATTGGGCAGGGAAAATACAAGATTAGTTTGAAATATTTTGTCATGTTAGGAAGTAAGGAAATGCTCACAAAATGGGGAAAATGTGAAAGGGAAACAGATCCACTTTGAATAAACTTCCATAGCCAAATTTGAGAAAATTGGGGCAATAAAATAGATAACAATAATAATATATTACAATCTACAGGAGAAAATTTTCAATTAATCCAGGCCAGGTGCAGTTGCTCATGCCTGTATTCCCAGCCCTTTGGGAGGCAGAGGCGGGCAGATCACTTGAGGTCAGGAGTTCAAGACCAGCCTGACCAATGTGGTGAATCCCTGCCTCTACTGAAAATACAAAAATTAGCCGGGCATGGTGGCACATGACTGTAGTCCCAGCTACTCCGGAGGCTGAGGCAGGAGAATGGCTTGAATCCCGGAAGGTGGAAGTGCAGTGAGCGGAAATCGCACCATTGCACACCAGCCTGGATGACAAAACAAGACTCCAACTCAAAAAAAAAATCCATATTGACATAAATAATAAACCAAAGATTGAGAGTGGGTAGTATTTTATTACAGTAAGATTTCATTAAATGTAGGAGACATAAAATATAAGAATCATCACTTTGCAAATATCATAGTAATAATTGTTGCAAGAAAGAACCTTGGAGGAATGCTAAGATTAGTGGTGAATATATGTTGGGAAAGAACATATTTGCATAATATGAAAGTATCTTCCCACAAGATAATTATAGAATAGTAACTTCAAAGTGGAGATGTCAACTTAGCCAAGTGATCATAGTTAACATTACTAATAATAAGATAAATGAACTTCATGTAATTTCTTATATGATGCACTGAGTAGGACAAAACATCAATTCTATGGTATTCTTAGACAAAATGTATAACTTTAGTCCTAACCGTGAGAAAACATCAGACTAACTGAAATTGAGGCAGGACATTCTACAAAATAACGGCCAGTATTCATCAAAAGCATTTTAGAAAGACTGAGGAATTCTCCAGAGACATGGAGGCATGTTATCTAAGTGCAATGGAGAACATGCATTGTATCATGAACCAGAGATGGACAACAGTAGGATATGTACAATAACACCCCAACATTTGAACATTAAACAAAATACTTCAGAAAAACCCATTGGCCAAGAAAAGTTTCACACACAAAAAAAATAGTTTAAACTGAAATAAAATTTTTTAAAAACTTAATAAAATGTGGGATGCAGATAAATCGTTTCTTAAAGGTACATTTATAGATGTAATATATTGAAAATAAAAGGCTTCAATCAATGACCTTTAAGTTCTTTTTTAAGAGGCTAAAAAATAAGCAAAGTATATCCAAATTAAGAAGAAGGAAGATGATAAAGATAAAAATGTAAACCAACAACATAGCAAATAACAAAAGGTGGAGCTAATTAATATACCCACAAATTGGTTCTTTGAAAAAAATTTTTTTAATAAACAATGGCTAGCAAGATTTATCTCGAAAAAAATTAGAGAAGCTACATAATGTAGATAATGGGAATTAAATAGAGGATGTAACTACAGAACCTACAGACATCAATATAATTATGAAAACTTTAGGCCAATACATTTGACAATTAAAATAACATGGGAAATTATTTGTAAAACTAATTCTTAAAACTAATGCAAAATGAAATAGAAAAAGTAATAGCTTCTCTATGTATTGAAGAATTTTTTTAATTTAAAAAGATTTCTATAATTACAGGCTACATGCTTTCTCAGGTGAATTCTATCAAACATTTAAGAAAGTACAGAGAGTCCTCAACTTACAGTGGTTTGACTTGTGCTCTTCTTACTTGATAATGGTGCTTTCATCTGTGTACGTTAATGATGAGCATCAATATGACCAGTTTTTCACTATCAGTATAGTTTTCAATAAATTTCATGAGAAACTCAATATTTTAAAATGGGCCTTGTGGTAGATGATTTTGCCCAATTGTAGGATAATGTAAGTGTTCTGAGCAAGTTTAAGGTAGGCGAGGCTAAGTCATGATATTCAGTAGGTTAAATATATTAAATGCGTTTTAGACTTACAATATTTTCAATTTAGGATGAGTTCATTAAGACATAAAACAATTGTAAGTTGAGGAGTATCTATAACATCAATCTTGAACGGACTCTTTTTAAGAAATAGAATTTAAGGGCCGGACACAGTGGCTCACACCTGTAATCCCAGCACTTTGAGAGGCCAAGACGGGCAGATCACCTGGGGTCAGGAGTTTGAGACCAACCTGACCAGCATGGAGAAACCCCCATCTCTACTAAAAGTACATAATTAGCAGGGCATGGTGGCGCTTACCTGTAATCCCAGCTCCTCGGGAGACAGAGGCAGGAGAATAGCTTGAATCTGGGAGGCAGAGATTGTGGAGAGCCGAAATTGTGCCATTGCACTCCAGCCTGGGCAACAAGAGTGAATCTCCGTCTCAAAAAAAAAAAAAAAAAAAAGAAAAAGAAAATTTAAAGGGACATTTCCTATCTTATTTTATGAACCCAGTATTGCCGATTCCAAATCGAGACAAAGGCATTATACAACTTTGATGTTTATCCCTCATAAACATAGACTCAAAAGTCCTTAAAACATAATAACCAATTGAATGTAGCAGTACATAGAATGGATAATAAACTGTGAACAAATTAAATTTCTAGCAAGATTGCAAAGTTAATTTATTATTTGAAAGATCAGTTTAATCAATTTTATTCACCTGGATGGTTACATCTGGCAAAACTCAGCAAACTGTGCACTTTAAAATAGTATTTATTTTATGTAAATTATCTTTCAATACAATTGATTTTTTAAGAAAAAAAAACGTTTCCCAGAGTGATCAAAGTGGAGGGCAGGGAAGAGTAAACATCAGTGCTTATGTTATAGCTACTAGAAGCCTCCCAATTCCAACGACATGCTTTCAAGCAGGTCTGATCCTTCCCCTGGAGGATACCTCTGACCCAGGTGTGCTACAAATGCATTGCCCCTAGTTGCTTCTGTCACCTTAGTGATGGAAGTGACAAGAGGGTACTGGAGAAAGAAAAGGTGTACAAGGTTCCAAATGTACATTCTATTTCCAAAGGACATTTGTGAAGCCAGTGGAAAGCGAACAAACAAGCTGCTAAATAAGTCACAAGTGTGTTCTCATACAGTTTTGCGATTAACTAAATAGGACATTCAACAGATAAAATTTGTTTTACATAGTTACTCCTCTAACAGGATGAACTTGTGGATTGTGAGATAGGGCTGATATAACCTGTTTTCTCTCTGCCTCTTTTTTTTCCCCCAAGTTTTGTGTGCAATACATTAGGAAAAATATAATTGGGCTACAAATCTACAAAAATGGCTTCCTGGCAGTTCCATGCTTGTTTCCATGTGGTGCCTATGTTTGGCACTGTGTTCTCATTTGCACTTTCCTACTTGATTAGTTAATGTATGAAGGACAAGCCTGATCTCTACTGTGAATTTTTACCAAGGTATTCTAGTAGAAAAATGAGTATGTAATGGTGCTGTGGAATGCTAAAGTGTGTAAAACATTAAGAATCTAAAAATATGCTCATTTCCAAGTTTTGTCCCAGAGCAACTGTGCACTCTGATTATATCGCTACTGCTATTTAAAGTTATCCATTTGCATGTCTAAAAAATAGATTCATACTGATTGTCCCATTTTGATCTCAAAAAACTCCTGAATATGAGAGTCGTGATCAAGGGACGTTTCATGAAATGTTCCAAAGTTAAAGTGTGCAATGAAACCAGATTTATCATAGCCTTATTTAAAATAATTATTTCTAAAATTGTTATTGTTTAATTATAAACGGTATCCTTTCAGGATACTTGGAAGATCCATAGCAGTGTTTTTATTTTCACAGAACAAGCATAAATTATTTATGAAATAATAACTCAGATACAGAGATTACTTCCTATTGGCCTTACATATGAATATAAATAAATACATATTATGAACATGAGCATACTTATTTTATAATTATGTAAATGTGTGTGTAATGTTATATTTAAGTTCAATAAAGTCATGCTTATACATGGTTTCAATTCATGCTTCTAAAAACCACTCAATGTAGTCATTATCATATGTTAATAAATAATCTCTGAAAATGTGCTTCTAGTAGTTGCACAATATCCCATCATAAAGATTGTCATGCTGTTTTTAAGTCATACTTTTGGGTATATAAGTTATATCTGATATTTTTCTGCTACATATATACTATTATAAATCTATTAGTAGCTGATTTTTTTGTCAACACATATGATTGTTTCCTCACAATAGTACAAGAGTTGGTTGTAACTTTATTTCCTTCCAACATTTATTTTAGGTTCAGCGGGTACATGTGCAGGTTTATTATGTGGGTAAAATGTGTGTCAATGGGATTTGGTGTACAGATTACGTAGTCATCCAGGTAGTGAACGTAGTATCTAATAGGGAGTTTTTTGATCCTCACTCTACCCCCACCCTCCACCCACAGTAGACCTTGTGTCTATTGTTCCCTTCTCTGTGTCCATGTGGACTCAATGTTTAGCCCCCACTTATAAGTGAGAACATGCAGTGTTTGTTTGGTTTTCTGTTCCTGCATTAATTCACTTAGAATAATGGTATCCAGCTCCATTCATGTTGCTGCAAAAGACATTATTTCATCCTATTTTATAGGTGTGTAGTATTCCATGGTGTATGTACGCTGCATTTTTTTAATCCAGTCTTCTGTTAACAGGCATCTAAGTTGATTCCGTGTCTTTGCTATTGTGAATAGTGTTATAATGAAAATATGCGTGCATATGTCTATGACAGAATGATTTATATTCCTTTGGGTATATACCCAATAATGGGATTGCTGGGTTGAATGGTAGTTCTGTTTTAAGTTATTTCAGAAATCTCCAAACTGCTTTCCACAATGGCTGAACAAATTTACATTCCTGATGAAACTGGAGACTTCCCTGACTCCCCTTGGCAGGATGTGCAACAGGGGTGTGGCTTGTCTGGCCACCGTGTGTGCTGTCAAACCCCTTACTGGGCAGGGAAGCATGCAGACAGGCAGGTGCAATAGGCAGGGCAAGTGGCCATGGTACTGTCTAGGGGTGGGTTCCTGCGACTCCCACAGCCCAAGTGGGCATGTGTTACAGTGCACTCTTTTAGCTTTGCCATCCACAGACAGCTTAAGTGTTAACCTGTTCAGTGCGCTCTTGGTACCCAGTTCCTTGTCCAGCATCCAGAAAGAATTAAGTTGCACACAGACTTGAGGATGGTGAATGTGGGGGTTTTATTGAGTGGTGGAGGTGGCACTCAATGGGATGGATGGGAAGCTGGAAAGGGGATGGAATGGGAAGATGATCTTCCCCGGGAGCTTTGCCATCCAGAGGCTGATCTCTCCAACCACTGCCAGCCAAACTCCTCTTGGCATTCAGATGCTCCTTCTCTTCTTTCTGCCACATCATTCTGCAATTCTGCTCTTCTGTTCATCTCCTCATCTGCTTGTCTGCTTCTGGAGCCTGGGGTCTGGGGCATATATGGGTACAGGACAGGGGGTGCATGGTGAGCTGAAAGACAACTTTTGGGTGCAAAAGCAGGAATGCCTGTTCCCATTTAGGGCCATGGGTTTCCAGGCTTGTGGGCAGGGCTTTGCCAGGGAACCACTCTCTTCTACCCAGCATTTCCCTGTCTCCTTTCTATATCACCACCAGCAGTGTATAAGCATTCCCTTTTTTCCACAAACTCGGCACCGTCTGTTATGTTTTGATTTTTTAATTATAGCCATTCTGACCGGTGTGATATGGTATCTCATGGTTCTGATTTTCTGATGATTAGTGATGTTGAGTATTTTTTCATATGGTTGTTTGCCATACATACGTTGTCTTTTGAAAAAAGAATCCACAGACGGCTTAAGTGTTAACCCGTTCAGTGCCCTCTTGGTACCCAAGTCCTTGTCCAGCATCCAGAAAGAAGTTGCACATGGACTTGAGGATGGTGGATGTGGGGGTTCATGTTCTTTGCCTATTTGTAGTGGGTTTGTTTTTTGCTTATTGATTCTTTATACATGCTAAGTATTAGACCTTTTTCAGATATGTAATTTGAAAATATTTTCTTCTGTTCTGTAGGGTGTTCTCTGTTGATAGTTTCTTTTGCTGTGCTGAAGCTCTTTAGTTTCATTAGGTCCCACTCGTCAATTCTTCTTGTTGCAATTGCTTTTGGAATCTTCATCATGAAATATTTGCCTGCGCCTATGTCCAGAATGATATTTCCTAAGTTTTCTTCTAGGGTTTATATAGTTTTGGGTCTTACATAAGTCCTTCATCCATCTTGAGTTGATTTTTGTATATGGTGAAAGGAAGGGAGTGTACATGCCCCTGTGATATTGTTCCTAATATCCAGGTTGGGAGAGGATATTATACTCAATATTGCAGGAAGTGTCGACCACCCTGAATGTTGCTTTTAATATCCGGGGAGAGAGGGTGATATTACTCCCAATATCATCCTCTCCCCCCACACCCTGCATAGTACAAGCAATATCAAAGGGGGTCTGTGCAACACGTGCAATATTGGGAATAATATCCTCCCCCAACATGGATATTAGAAACAGTATCACAAGGGGTTGTACACCACCTGTGATATTGGGGAGTACTATCATTTTCTTTCCCCATGGATATGTAGAACAATATCACAAAGGTGGTGTACAACCCCTGCTATATTGGGAGTAATACTGTACTTTCCCCACCTAGATATTAGGAACAATATCACGGGAGGTTATACACCACTGCAACATTGGGAGTAATATCATCCTTTCCCTCCCTGGATATTAGGAACAATAACTCATGGGTGTCTACACCCTGTTCCATATTGGGATTAATATTTTCTCCCTTGCTGGACATAAGGAACAATATAACGGGGGGTATACACTCCTTATGATATTGCCAGTAATATTATAGACTCCCCCCAGGGATATTAGAAAGAGTATCAGAGAGGGGTGTACATCCCCTGCGATATTGGGAATAATATTCTTTCTTTCCCTGGATATTAGGAATAATATCACAAAGGGGTTGTATACCCCCCGTGACATTTTAATTAATATCATCTTCCCCACTGAATATTAGGAACAAATTCCCAGGGGGTTGTACACCACCTGCAATATGGACAGCTATATCATTGTCTCTCCCCCGAATATAAGGAACAATATCACAAGGGGGTTGTACAACCCCTGTGATATTGGGAGTAACTTTATACCCTTTCCACATGGATATTAGGAACAATATCACAGGGTGGTTGTACACCCACTGCGATATTGGGAGTAATATCATCCTCTATCCCCTGGGTATTATGAACAATATCATGGGGAGGGAGTGTATGCCCTCTGTGATATTGGGAGTAATATCATCCTGTCCCCTCTGGATATTAGGAATGATATCACAGCGGGGCTGTACCTTTTCTGCATTATTGGGAGTGGTATCACCCTCTCCCCCTATGGATATTAGGAACAATATCACAAAGGGGGTGTACACATCCTGCGATATTGAGAGTAATATTGTCCACTCTTCCCCGAGATATTAGGAACAATATCACAGGCGGAGTGTACACCCCCTGCTATTTTACCTGTAATATTATTCTCTCCCAACCTGGATATTAGGAATAATATAACAGGAGGGGTGTACACCACCTGTGATATTGGGAGTAATATCATTCTCTCCCCCCATGGATATTGAGAACAATATCACAGGGGCGGTTTACACCTCCTGCGACATTTAGAGTAATATCATCCTTTTCCCCCATGGATATTAGGAACGATATCACAAGGGGGGTGTACATGCCCTGTGATATTGGAAGTAATATCATCGACTCCCCCCACGGATATTAGTAACAATATCAGAAGGGGTGTACACCCCTTGCGATATTTATAGTACTATCATCCTATACCCCCTGGATATTAGGAACAATACCACGGGGGGTGTATACCCACTGTGATATTGGGAGTAATTTCATCCTCTACCCCTTGGATGTTAGGAGCAGTATCACAAGGGGGGTGTGCACCCTCTGTGATATTAAAAATAATACCATTCTCTCCTTCTCTGGATACTAGGAATAATATCACAGTGCTGGTGTGCACCCTTTACACTATTTGGAGCAATATCACCCTCTCCCCAACTTGATATTAGAGACAATATCATGGGGGGTGGCGTGTAACACCCTGCACTGTTGGGAGTACTATCATCTAGTCTTCCCCTGGATATAAGAAACAGTATCACAGAAGGGGTCTACACCTCCTGAGATTTTGGGAGTAATATCATCCTCTCCAAATCTGGATATTAAGAACAGTATAATGGGGTGTGGGGAGTAATATGGTGGGAGTAATACAATCCTCCTCCCCACTTGCTGTTAGGAACAATATCGCAAAACGTGTGTACACCCACTGTGACATTTGGAGTAATATCAACATTTCCCCACCTGGTATCACGGGGAGAGTGTACACTCCTTACGATATTGGAAGTATCATTGTCTCTCACTCTCGATATTAGGAAAAATAGCACAGGGTGTGTATACACTTCCTGTGATTTTGGGAAGAACATCATACCCTTCTGTCTTTGATATTAGGAACAATATCACAGAGGGGGTGTACAACTTCTGTGATATTATAATATTCTTTCTTCCCATGGATATTAGGAATGATATCCCGGGGGGCTTGTTGTACACACCCTGTGATACGGACAGTAATATCATTGTCCTTCCCCCTACATATTAGAAACAATATCACAAGGGTGGTATACACCCCCTGGATATTAGAAACTATCACAGGGGGGCTGTACAACCTCTTTGATACTGTGAGTAATACCATTGTCTCCCCTCCTGGGTATTAATAACAATATCATAGGGTGGGTGTACACTCCCTGCAATATTGGGAATAATATCATCCTCTCTTCCCAGGGATATTAGGAACGTTATCACAGGTGGGGTTTACACCCCCTGCAATTTTGTCAGTAATATTACTTCTGGATGTTATTGAATATATCACAGTGGGGGTGTACACCCCCTGTGATATGGGGAGTAATAGCATCCTCTTTCCCACTGGATACTACAAACAATATCGCAGATTGTGTACAACCTCCTGTGATATTGTTCACAATATTTAGGGAAGGAGAGGATGATATTACTCCACATATCGCAGGGAGTGTTACATCCCCTGTAATATTGTTCATAATATTTAGAAGACGACAGGATGATATTACTCCCAATATAGTAGGAAGTATACACTCCCCTGTGATACTGTTCATAATTTTTAGGGGATTAGAGGATGATATTACTTCCAATATCACAGGGAGTGTACACTGGTGATATTGTTTATAATTTTCAGTGGATTAGAAGATATTATCCAGAATATCACAGGGGTTGTACACCCCAAGTGATATTGTTAATATCCAGTGGGAAAGAGGATGATATTACTCCCCATATCACGGGGGATGTAAACCCGTTTGTGGTATTGTCACTTACATCCGGGGGGGAGAGGATGATATTACTCTGCATATCATAGAGGGTGCACACGGCTGTAATGTTGTCCATAATAACATCCAGAGGGGAAGAGAATATTATTCCCATGTTTCAGAAGGTGTACACACCCCTGTGATAGTCTCTGTAACATTTAGGGAAGAAGGGGATGATACTACTCCAGATATTGCAGGGGGTGTACACCCCCCTGTGATACTGTTCGTAACGTTTAGGGGGAAGAGGATGATATTACTCCCCATATCGAAGGGATTGTATATCTCCCTATATATTGTCCATAACATCCAGGGCAGGAGAGGATATTACTACTCCCCATATCACAGGGGGTGGACACCCCCCTCTAAATATGTCTAACATCCAGGCGGGGACAGGAGGATATTTTTCCCCATAACCCAGAGAAAGTAAACCTCCTGTGATATTGTCCATAACATCCAGTGGGGAGAGGATGATATCACTCCCCATATTGCAGGGGGTGCACACTCCACTCTGATATTGGCCGTAATATCCGGGGGGGGGGTGAAGTATGAAGTCACTACACATATCGCAGGGATTATTAGTATCAGATTGTTTGAAGGGCTCACAGTAAGGGTAGTAGTAGGGCGAGTTCTAACTCAAATAGGGGAAATGTGATGGCTACTAGAAAGAATTTTATGGAGAAGGGAATGTGGGCAGAGGATAGAGGGTCAAATCTGCATTCATAAGGGCTAGATTTTTCTATATATATTTATTTTATACATATATATATATTTATTTTATACATATATATATATATTTTTCTCTCTCTCTACATATATATATTAAGTTGTGGGAGCCAAAATGTAATAATTATTAGTAACAGGGCTAATAGGGTGTTGATTACTAGGGTTAATGTTAGGTGAATTACTGTTTTTCGGATGCTATCAAAACTTTGGAAATCATGGTACTATTTATACTAAAAGAGTAAGATCCTCATCAATAAATAGAAACATACAAGAATAGTCATACTACATCTACAAAGTGTCGATATCAGGCAGCGGCTTCAAAGGCAAAGTGATGACTAGATGTAAAGTGGTATTTTAATTGGCGGAGAAGGCAGACTGAGGAATGTTGATCCAATAATGACGTGAATTCTGTGAAAGCCTGTAGCTATAAAAAAATGTTGAGCCATAAATACCATCAGAAATAGCAAAGAGAGCTTTGAAGTATTCTGAGACTTGTAGGAGGGTGAAGTAAATATCTAATATAATTGTAACAAGTAGTGCTTGGATTGTATGTTTTTGATTATTTTTTGTTAGGCTGTGATGGGCTCAAGTAATTGAAACTCCTGATGCAAGTAATACAGATGGATTCAGGAGAGGTACTTCCAGGGGGTCAAGGGGAGAAATACCTGTTGGGGGTCAATGCCCTCCTAATTCTGGAGTAGGGGCTAGGCTAGAATGGTAGAATGCTCAAAAGAATCCAGCGAAGAGGAATATTTCTGAGCCACCATGCCCGGGTAATTTTAAAATTTTTTTTTTCTAGAGATGTGGGTCTCACTATGTTGCTCTGGCTGATCTCAAATTCCTGGCCTCAAGTGATCTTTCTGCCACTGCTTTTTAAAGTGATGGGATTACCGTCATGAGCCACCATGCCTAGTATAGAGTGTAATATTAATTTCAAAGTCTTATTCCTAGAGCCATGTATTGACTTTGGCCTAAATAACTCAATATGATATCTCTGAAACTTTTTTTTACATATTGTGGGGAATGATAATGAGGGAAGGGGATTAGACACTTTTTACTAGGAGATAACTTTGTGCCATTTAAGGAGGAACAAAAATAAATTATCAGAAAAATAAAAGTAAGATGAAGTACAAAAGTTCTGTGGCAAAGATGATGATAGTAAAGAATATATTTTTATGACTCATGGTAGCTTTAACATTGTTCTTAAAATTCTGAGTAATTTAAGGGTTCACATTTGAAGAATCTGATGCATTACTGATAACATTTTATTGCATGTAAATGCATTTTAAAATTTGCTATTGGTTTTGTATTAGATTATTCTCAGCCTACTTCATTATCAAGCTATACTATTTTATTTATGCAGTTTGATGATCTTACGGCAGAGGAGGAAGCTGTATCTTCAAAATGTGTCAATTTGGCTAAAGACAATCAAGTTATCCAACAGGAGTTATTATCTATGAAAAAAGTACAACAAGAATGTGAAAAACTTGAGGAGAATCAAAAGATGTTGGAAGAAGAAATATTAAATCTCAAGACACATATGGAAAACATTATCGTAGAACTTAGTGAACTACAAGAATATAAATCAGAGCTAGATGAAAGGGCAATGCAGGCAGTAGAAAAATTAAAGGAAATCCATTTACAGGTTACTTGTTTAAATCAGGTAAGTTTACCTGTAATGTGCTTTCATTTATTTCACTGCAAATTATATTTTGGAGATTTTATATATATATATATATATATATATATATATATATATATATATATATATATATATATATATATATAGTGTTTCCTCTGCCTCTCTTGTAGCAATCTGCTTTGTAGAGTTGTAGAAAAAAATGGCATCTGTTTTTTCTTTTAAATATTTAAATTTCCATTATTATTATGAGAAAATCAATCTTTCAGAGTAATGATTCTCATTATGGAGTCATTTGATGATTAAGACCAGTTGGCATAGGAAAAAATTGTGATTTAGAAATTATGTGATACTTTTGAATTGGTGTTAAGCTACATTGTTCATTGATCACTTTTTCAAATTATGAATGGATTCTATTACTTTTTATATGACCAGATTACATTAATACTAACATAATTATGATTTCAAATTTTTATAAATCAGACTTAATTCTGAATTCAGTTATTAGTTTTGATATTGCTGAAATATTTTAAGCTTCAGCCTCTTTTTTAACATATTCAGAAATGCTCTTTGAATCACTGACTCAAAATGAAAGGCAACAAACATATAATAATTATGTTATTGTTTTAAAAGTGTATTATTTTCCTTTGTTTTAGTTACAAGCACAATATAAAAAACAATTAGACCAGTTAAACAAGGATAATACGGCTTCACTAAATAAGAAGGAACTCACACTTAAAGATGTGGAATGTGAATTCTACAAAATGTAAACTGCTTATGAAGAGGTTACAACTGAGTTAGAAGAATATAAGGAAGCCTTTGCAGCAGCATTGAAAGCTAACAATTCCATGTCAAAAAAATTAACGAAGTAAGTCAAAACATACACTCAGAGAATGAATTAAGCTCATTAATTTGTTTCAAAAGCATAATTTTTAGTGAGATGGCTTCAGGATATTAGTAGGAAGTGAATGTTAATTTGACAATGTAATTTTGAAAAACAATGTTAGTAAATAATCTTACCTTTTAATGTTAGTCAAAGATAGTTTTTGTCTCTCCTCTCATTTTTTTTTGTTTGTTTTTGTATGGCTTTTTCCCCTGAAAAGTCTCATGTAATTAAACTGATCTGTTAGTTTTTTTCACTATGTATTTTTGAAGCTTTATAATTAATGAAGTGATCCTGTTATAAAATTACTTGTCAGAATTTCCCTAAATAGAAATATTAATGAGTTTAATTTCTTTTTCAGTGGATCACAACCTAAATGAAAAGTGGTACTGTTACTTTGGGCACAATCGTTTTTGATTGTGATCTTTAGTATTATCATCAGAGGGTGCCTCAAGAAAGACTATTTGTGTAACATATTCAAGATGTTACAGAAAGGCATCCTTGTGAAATAAGGAATAATTATCACAGGAATTTAAAGAAGTGTAATTCACAAAGCGGTTAAAAAATAACACCTTGTTCAGCCAGAAGGAGTGTTTGGAAGGCAGAAAGAACATGCCCCACCTCCTGGGCCTTGGTCACAGTGTTGGGGGCTAATTGCCTTCAGAGATGCTTTAGTTCTTTTTGATCACCAACCAGACAATCTAGTTCTCCCCTAGGAGTTGTTGCTCTGAATTATTCTTCAGTGCCAAATGTTTAATTGGTTCTAGATAATGGGTGAAATGTACAAGGGTGAAATCTAAAACTGGTTTACTAAACACAAGTACTCCTAGATTTTTTTAATTCATTTTAGTTTTCTTAAACTACATTAAGGAATACAACATGATGTTTTGATATAATTATTTCTAGTGAAGTGGTTCTTATAATCAAGCAAATCAACATATTCATTTTCCCACATTATTGCCCTTTAAATACAAGTATTTCTAATGGAATCTTCAGAATCTTACAAGTAGAGCCATTTTAGAAGGCAGCAAATTTTGCCTGTTGAGCCATACACCACTGATAGCCATTTCTCTTCCCTGTCTACTTTGTTTGAACTGCTTGTTCAGTGTAAATCACCTTAGAAACAAAGGTGCTTCTTTAGAATGATTTTAAAATTATAATTCCTTACAACAGGTATGCTCTTACACATCTTCGGTGTGAAAACACTATTTAGTGGGTAATTTGGTTTACTCTCAGGGCAACACTTTAAATGTAATGACTGCAAGGCATTAAGAATCATTTAAGGAAATATGAAATACTAAGCATTTGTCTTTGTTATCTTTACAGATCGAATAAGAAAATAGCAATGATCAGCACCAAGCTCCTTATGGAGAAAGAGCAGGTGAAATATTTTCTCAGCACTCTTCCTACAAGGCAAGGTCGAGAGTCACCTTGTGTTGAAAATCTTACTAGTATAGGACTCAACAGAAAATATATTCCCCAAATGCCCATAAGAATTCCTACTTCAAACCGTCAGACTTCAAATAACTGCCAGAACTACTTGACTGAGGTTAGTTATATGACCGTTTCTCTTTAGGGTTTCATTTCTCTAGCGTAATTCTTGTTTATAATTTGGTGAAATACTGAGTTGTTCTGTTGACTTTTTCATGTGAAGTAAAGATCATAATTAGCTGTGTTAACACAGAAAGGAAATGGGAATTTTACATTTTTTAATTCCCTGGAGCCCTCATTTTCAAGAGATATCCATTTGCTAACTTTATTCAATAAATGTGACTAAACTGACACATTTAAAATGTTTTTAAATCTGCATTTAAGTTAGGTTTTAGAAATTACATGTTGTTGCCTGATAACTGATGATATACTTTGAGATGCTTTGGCTTACTCTCTAATTGACTGTAGTTAGGTGTGGTTCATACCACTTTTTTTTTCTTTTTTTTGAGGCAGTGTCTCACTCTGTCGCCCAGGCTGGGGTGTCTTGGTGCCATCTCCACTCACTGCAACCTCCACCTCCTGGGTTCAAGTGATTCTCCTGCCTCAGCCTCCTGAGTAGCTGAGACTACAAGCACCCACCATTACACCCAGCTAATGTTTGTATTTTTAGTAGAGACAGGGTTTCACCATATTGGCCAGGCTCTTCTTGAACTCCTGACCTTGTGATCTGCCTGCCTCAGCCTCTCAAAGTGTTGGTATTACAGGCATGAGCCACCGCACCCGGCCCATGTCACTTTTAAAGTTTCTTTGCACTGGCCAGGTGCTGTGGCTCATGCCTGTAATCCCAACACTTTGGGAGGCTGAGGCAGATGTATCACGAGGTCAGGAGTTCAAGATCAGCCTGTCCAAGATGGTGAAACTCCATCTCTACTAAAAGTACAAAAAAAATTAGTCTGGTGTGGTGGTGGGCACCTGTAATCCCAGCTACTAGGAAGGCTGAGGCAGAGAATTGCTTGAACCTGGGAGATGGAGGTTGCAGGAGCTGAGATTGCACCACTGCACTCCAGCCTGGGTGACAGGGCAAGATTCCGTCTTGAAAATAAAAAATTTAAAAAAAAGTTTATTTGCACCATCTCAATTCTTCCCACCCATAATCACAACTGAATGATTGGCATCCAAACAGTTTACCACATATGGATGTTTATTATTTAGTAGAATCCAAAATAATTGCATTTTATTAATTAAACAAAACACTAAAATATTCAGTTCCATTTTTATGTTAAAAGCTTTGTGCTTGGCCAGGCACGGTGGCTCACACTTGTAATCCCAAAATTTGGGGAGGCCGAGGCAGGTGAATCACTTGAGGTCAGGAGTTTGAGAACAGCCTGGCCAACATGATGAAACCTGTCTCCAGTAAACATACAAAAGTTAGCAAGGGGTGTTGGCAGGCATGTGTAATCTCAGATACTCAGGAGGCTGAGGCAGGAGAATCACTTGAACCCAGGAGACAGAGGTTGCAGTAAGCCAAGATCATACCACTGCACTATAGCCTGGGTGATGGAGACTCCATCTCAAAAAAAATAAAAATAAAAATAAAATGTTTGTGCTTTTCTTACATAAAAGTACATCTTCTGACTATAAAAATCCTGGAAGAAAATCTAGGAAATTCTCCTTTAGACATCATATTTGTCAATTAATTTATGGCTAAGTCCTCAAAAGCAATTGCAAGAATAACAAAAATTGACAAGTGTGATCTAATTTAGCTAAATAGCTTCTGCACAGCATGAGAAACTATCACGGGATTAAACAGACAGACTAAAGAATGGAAGAAAATATTCACAAACTATGGATATAGCAAACGCCTATTATCCTATTATCCAGAATCCATAAGAGACCTAAACAAATCAACAAGCAAAAAATAAATAACACCATGAAAAATGGGCAAAGGACATGAACAGATAGTTCTCAAAATAACACTTGTAGTGGCCAAACAAACATTAACAAATGCTTGCCGTTGCTAATTATCATAAAAATGACAAACAAAACATCAGTGAGATACCATTTCACACCAGTCAGAATGACTTTTGTTAAAAAAAAATAATAAATAAAAAAATTAAAAAAGATGTTGGGGAGGCTGTGGAGAAAAGTGAACACACACTGTTTGTGGCAAAGTTAATTAATTCAGCTATTCTGGAGAGCAGTTTGGAAATTAAGAAGTAAGAAAGACTGTTGGATACAGCAACCCCATTACTACACTAGAGGTATACCAGAAGGATAATAAATCATTGTAACAAGAAGATGCATACACATGTATGTTCACTGCAGCACTATTCACAATAACAAAGACGTGGAGTCAATCCAGGTGCATCCAAGGTACGTTGAAAATCCAAGGTAGATTGGAAAATTCCATATATACCATGGAATACTATGCAGCCATAAAAAGAACAAAATCACATCGTTTGCAGCAACAAGCATACAGCTGGAATCCACTCTCCTAAGCAAACCAACACAGAAACAGAAACCAAATATCTCATGTTTTCACTCACGTGGGAGCTACACATGGGGTGCACATTGTCATAAACACGGGAATAATAGACACTGGAAAATAAGAACGGGGAGGGACAGAGTGGGCCAGGGTTGAAAAACTACTTCTTGGGTCCTATGCTCACTACCTGTGTGATGAGTTCAATTGTGCTGCAAACCTCGGCATCCCTAAATATGCCTTTGAAAGAAACCTACAGAGGTACCACGTTAATTTAGAATACAAACTAGAAAAAAAAAAGAGAAAAGTTTACTATAAGTAGAGAACAGAAATTTCTTTTTAAGATAAAATTTATTGAAGTAAAAAATGGGTTAAACTTTCATAAAGGGCAGAGTTTTCTAAGAATTTCAAAGCAATCCATTCATTGCAAAAGATGGCTTTAATTACTTATTTTTTTTTTTTTTTTTTTGAGACAGGGTCTCACTCTGTTACCAGGCTGGAGTGCAGTGGTGCAGTCTTGGCTCACTGCAGCCTCCACCTCCTGGCTTCAAGCAATTCTCCTGCCTTAGTATCCCAAGTAGCTGGGACTACAGGTGCGCATCACCACGCCCAGCTAATTTTTGTATTTTTAGTAGAGATGGGGTTTCCCCATGTTGGCCAGGATGGTCACGATCTCCTGACTTGTGATCGGCCTGCTTTGGCCTCCCCAAGTGCTGGGATTACAGGTATGAGCCACCATGCCTGGCCATTGTTTAACCTTTGTACTAATAAAACACTACCTTTCTAAAATCATGTATATGCAATAGATCAATATTAACTGCATTTTTGTCAGATTACTCTAAACAGCATTACACATATACATCCTCTGTTATCTAATCTTAAAATAAGTAGAAATTTTACTTTATTTATGTGATTATTTTTCTATTTAAGCAAACTTCAAGTTATGTCTAGTCACTAAAAATACTAAAGGCCACATTTTGTAAGTGATGTCTTATTTTTATGATAATGTTTCTTGTTTAACTTAAACATTATTATTATTTTTACTTATTTTAGATGGAGCCGGACTGTGTAGAACAAATAATTAGAGAAACAAAGAGAAGTACGTTGCCAAAATTTATTAATTAAATTTAGGTTTATTTTAGAAATAAAGTGTAAATAGCAAATGGCATTCCTTTTCATTCTTGGGTTAGTAGATACTACATCAATATTTTTTTTCTTACACACATCTAATGAAAGATGTGAAAACAGAAACTTTCACAGAGAAGACTGTACTTATACACCATAAATTCATCATGTTCCAAAGCTTAAACAGTTCCCAAGAAGTCTGTGCATCTCTTTTTCACTGGCTCTACACTTTCTTAAGTTTTGCCATCCTCATGGAACTGTCAGCCAGCACACTGAAACGATTCTCAGAAAACAAAAGCATCATCAAGTTCTCAGGGTTTCGGTAGAGATTGAAGGCCAACAGACCTAAGACTCATTAAGAAATACTTAGCTGAGCAATAACCCTTCATAAGCAGTCACTTGACAGGTGACATTTTAAATCTCCTGTCAATTACTGTGTCATTGGCTTACACTTGTTCTCAGGAAAAGTTCCAAATTTTTCACCATGAAATAAAAACACCCATATCAAAGTAATTCTCGTCAAGTTACTCAGCCTTGTCTCTCGCCACTTACTGCACTCTGCCCTTTGCTCTAGCACCAAACTGGATGGAGTGGAACTCTGCAGGGCTCTTCCTCACCTCTGGCTCTTTGCCTTCCCCTCTTCCCTCTATCTGGGAAGCTTTTTCTTGCCCTTCAGGTATCAACCTATGTTATCTCCTCCACCAGAAAGCCCATGATATTGACATAAAAGTGGGTAGATGTCCCTTCTATGTGTTCCAGTAGTGCCCTGCTCTATACCTGTCATGGTATCTTTGACTCTATATGGACATTGCCTGCCTGTCTGTTTTTTTTTAGGTTATAGCATATGACTGTTGGGAGGTGGACCATGCCATCTTCATCTTGTAATTCCAGTGCTGGTTCTAGTACCTTAGCATGTGGCTGTTGATTACATGAATGAAGAATGAAAAACTCTGATATTTAAACACAATTAGAATTAATGCCATGTGTAAACTATTAAATAGTAATTTTGTATTGTAAATGCACATACATATTTCTCATTCTTATTAACTCTGATAAAGTTATCAACTCTTTAGTTTTTAAACGCACACTTAGTCAACTGAAGTGTTTTAGGTAAAGAACATAATTCTTTATTTTTCTTTCCAGCTGCTGCTGTGTCGGACACTTGCTCCCATCTACTTTCTTCTCTAGAATCCACGGGTAAGCCACATCTAACGAAGAGAATATTTAACCATAAAGTCTTAAAGAAAAATTGTATGATTTAAAAGATTATAAAACTTTATTACTGGGCTATTTACACATTTTAGTTGTTTCTCATAAAATGTATAACATTACAATATTTACTGAAGTAGGATATTTTTGTATGATATATATGATGATAATTTATAGGGTATTTTAAATGATGTTTTTTAGCCTCCTTAAGTTTTAAGTGGATCTTGCAAATGAAAACCAGTATTATTGAGTTTGACATACTCAAATTGCCCAAATGTCAGCTGTTTAAACAACCAAGTCATCATTGATACTTTAGTAAAGGTTAGTAAAGGTCATCAAAGTCTTATTTGCATTTTACAGTTTTTATTACTTAGGAGACTTAAGGAGTACCTGCCAGGTTTGTCCATGCTAATGTTATGATTTTCTTTTTGTAGTTCAACCGTATTTTGTATGGAGATACTTTGAGGCTCTGTAAATATCTTGTTACTCCTCAGAACCCACTAGATTTAGCATTTCATGATGACTTGTGTTTGAACAATTATTACTTTGATGGATGCCAGATGATTATTTTCCTATTGTCTTCTTTGTTCTACATGGAGAAATAAAACCAATAAATAAGGGAGAAGGAAAGCTCTTGATTCTGATGCTTCAATTCCCCAAGATTAGGCCAGTAGTAGACATTCCAAGCTGACTTTATGTCTCTTTGATTTGTCTCCGTTACTCTGTCAGCACTTTTTTAATTTCTGGCAGAAGATGTTCTAAGCTCATCTTGTATTTTCTCTGCCCCAGCTCTGGAATGAGTAATTTTTTTTAGAAGCAGAGGTGGAGCCAATGAGGAAGCACAGGTGAGCCCTCCCCAGTGTGTACTCACTGGTCCCCAACAGAAGAACCGCTGCCACATCCACTGAGGTACCAGGAAACTAGCAAAGAGCCTTCTGGCTGTCTGGAGAGAGTCCTCATGTGGTCCCTGGCTGAGCCTCAGAGGTTCTGGATTAGTCTTCCTGTAGCCTCTGTGTTGTGTCTTTAGATCGGGGCTATATGGGAAGGGCCCTGGGAGACCCAACAGCACAGTGTGTCTCATCTGCCAAACGTCCCTCCCTTCCTCACACTCTGACACTCAGGAATAGGGTAGATGGTGTGTCCAGGCAGTGTCAGGCCACCTCACTTTCTCCTTTGAGACGGCCCAGAGGGCCTTTGGTGTGAGTGTGGAGCTGGGAACCTGGAGCCTGAGGCCAACTGTCTCTCCCTGTGTCTTGGAGGAAAGGCCATGTCTCAAAAAAACCCCCAGGGCCTGACCTCTGGGCACACATGCAGGGAGGGAGGGTCTATGAGCTGAGGGGGACATTGTAATGAGACTTTGAGCCCCGTTGCTCAAGGGCCTGGTCAGTGGACCATGGTCAGAGATGACCTGGTCATCAGGACCTAGTCATGTGGGACCTGATCAGCAGGGGCCTGGTTAGTGGCGGCCTCCTCAGTAAAGGCCTCATCAGTGGGGACCTGGTGACCTAATCATTGGAAGCCTGGTCAGTGGGGGGACCTAGTCAGTGGTGGCCTTATTAGTGGGGCCTGATCAGTTGGAACATAAACAATGAAAAACTGGTTGGTGAGGCATATACAGTATACCAGAGGCCTGGTCAGTGTGGGGCCTTAGTGGCTTGGAACCTGGTCAATGAGGGCCTGGTCAGAGGGGGCTCGGTCAGCTAGGGACTCATCCATGGAGAATTGTTTAGTGGGGGGTCGGGTCAGCAGCAACCTGGTAAATTGTGGTCTTGTCAGTGGGAACCCGGTCTTGTCAGTGGGGACCAGGTCAGTGGAAAATTGGTCAGTGGGGTCTGGTCCATGAGGCCTATTAAGTGTGGGCCTGGTTAGGAAGACATGGTCAGCGGGGACTTGATCAGTGGGACCTGGTCAATGGAGGAGTGGTCATTAGGGGCCTCATCACTCATCACTGGGAACCTGGTCAGGGATGATTCGTCAGTACGTGGCCTGCTGGCCACTATTGGACCTTAGGCAGGGGGCTTTTCTCTGTCACCTCCTTGCCTCCATCTGCAGGGAAGGTGAGTCAGGGCACCCTAGAGGGTGGCTGGAAAGAGAAGGTGAGAAGATGTGTTGAATCCAATACTGCTTGACAAACCTACAACTTTACAAATGACCTGTGTTCCACCTAGAGAGGGTGCCAGCCCTCTCAGCAGTATGCAGTGCCTCTCTTCTGTCTACATCCCCAGGACCACCATGGGTGGGGAGGGCAGAGATTGGGGAGCACCTATAGAGGCTCTAATGCTCTAAGGTGACAGTGATGAGGACCTGGGTGCACCCATGGGTGGAGAAGCTAGGCCTGTCCAGAGAAGCAAGACAAACACACACATACACGCGCACACACACACAGGCACACATGCGTACACAAACACATTGTATATACACATGTCAGTTCAGGGGATAGAGGACACTGACTCTGAGCCCTGTTGACCCAAGCAGGCTCCCGTTGTGGTGGGTTGTCAACCCACAACATCACTCTTCCTGAGTCCCCATCGCCTCTGTGTTGTGGAGAAGTTAGAGACACACAGCAGTGTCTGTGAGTAGCTCTGCATGAAGGACCATTTTCTAGATGACAGACACATCTCAACACAGCTCACTGATCAGACTCAGGTGAGTGGGACCTGCTCTCCTCACTTCCTCCTGGCTTGGGGACAGTCACTATCAGGTGGGTGGTTTTGGCCTCTGGGCAGCTACTGAGGGTAATCCCTGAACACTCACCGGGTGCCTGTTTTGTGCTGACAGTCGTCTCATTCATCCTCACAGCAATTCCATTCTGCATTTTTCTCATCACCCCCCTGACCACCCAGGACAACCCCATCAGGGCCCTGTCACCAGGCCCAGTCCAGCTCCATGATAACCAAGACACAGGTCCAGAGACTACCGTCCTGCATCGTGCCTGCATCTGATCCCCCTTGGTGGGTAGTGACCAGCACAACATGGAAGAAGCCAGGGCAGCATGCAGCTCTGCAGCCCCAGATGGCTCCTGGGCCTTGGGAAGTCATTCTTAAAAGGGAAGCTGGTCACTTTGAGGTCCCTGAAAGGAAGGGTGAACGTGCATCCCAAAAGCCCTGGCAGCCGGCAGCCAGCAGCCAGCAGCATGGCATACATCTTCTCACCCAACCTGTGTGACAGAGGCCCCCTCCTGGGGCACAAGTCCCATACCTAAAGCATCCTGTCCCAGTCGGACCTCATCCTGAGCCCTGGGAGGGGAGGGGCACCATGGGTTCCCTGCAGCAGCCAGGATTACCACCCAGGGGACTCGGCCTTCTGTGGCCCTGGCCAGACTTAGAATTTGGCCCAAGACAAGCTTACTCGGAGCAACTTCTCAGTACCTGGGGCCTGTGCATGCCAGGCAAGGACAAGCTGGCTCAAAGAGCAACCAGCTACCTCTGCAAGGGTGTGCCAGGAGCAGGTGGAGCAGTCACCAACCTCACCCACTCAAGGAAACAGGGATGGCCAGGTTCCCACAGTCTGAATGACCACCACCTGACAGCTGATGGAGTGGAGGCCTGAGGAAAAGCAGATGGCACTGGGGCTCTACCTCCAGGGCAGAGTAACTGATTTACCCTGGCTGGCAGGGAGTGACGTTGGTGGCTGGTCTATCAGCTCTTGGCACACCCTTGCAGAGGTGGCTGGTTGCTCTTTGAGCCAGCTTGGCTTTGCCTGGGATGAATAGGACTCAGTGCAACAAATGTGCTGCAAATGGAGCCACATAGAGGAAAGGAGCAGCAGGCTCAGGAGCGGGGTGTGTGCCACCTTTGGGGCTCCAGTCCATGCATAGGGGCTTCTACAGCACTGTGGGCTTCTCAGGTGCCAAGAGGCAGAACACAGGCCATCTGGAGGATGACTCTGGTAAGAGCTTCCTTGGGTATGTAGATGATGTCCAGAATGTTGGCCTGGTGTCCCTGAGACAGCACTAACAGGTCCATGACTGGGTCCAGGTCCTGCCTGGGCTGATTGGCAAAGAGCTCATTGACAGTGTGGAATGCATCTATGGTGAAGTGGATCTGTGTTCAAGTGCAGAAAGGGCCCAATCTGGTAGATGAACCACACAACCAGCGTCTGGGTGCAGGCACAGTGCCACATTTTTTGTCACTTCCTGATGTACCCCACCAGCACTGAAGAGACAGCCTGGAGACAGGGCAAGAGGAAGGCTGAGAAGGATGAGATGGTGAGTGCCAGATTCTTCCTGGCCCTGAGCCCTCCCTCAGAGTGACACTCAACCTTTAGGAGTGGGAGAGCAAGATTGACGGCTTCAAGTGCTTCACCAAGAAGATGGACAACAGGGCTCTCAGGTCAACTTCACAGCCAATGAGTGGTGACAGGCTTTAAGAAAGAGCATCTTCCACATTGTCAGTGAGCTCTTTGCCAATCAGTCCAGGCAGGACCCCGACCCAGCCATGGGCCTGTTAGTGCTGTCTCAGGGACACAAGACCAACATCTTGGACATCATCCAGATACACAAGGAAGCTCTTACCAAAGTCACGGAGAGCAGGCAACATGTGGCAGAAGGGAATACAGAGGTGCAGAGGCTGATGATGTCAGAATCACAGGAACAGGATTTCTTTGGCTACTTTGGCTGAAATTCACCACTTCCATCCAATTCCAGTGAGAGACATGGACTCACAGATGCAGCATTTCTTGCAACAAGAGATACTACTTTTTCAAAAAGTCACTGAGGAATTGATAGTGTTGAATGACTCAATACTCAATCGTGGACTGTTTCCAGTTCAAGGATACTTTCTACAGCAGAATAATAACACTAGCAAAGAGCTAGTACAAGGATGGTTTTGTGCTCAACTGAAATCCAGCTGAATACAGAATTGTATAGGAAACAGTTAATGTGGTGATAGAATAGAAACAGTAGCAAATGTGAACTAAATCATGCTATGAATGCCTAAACTACTGCTGTAACTTTTGGAAAAATGATAATACCACTTTATTGCTTTTTGAAGAATGAATATTTTAGTGTATATGCTCTAGACCTCAAACCCTATAAAGATTCTCAAAGAAGTTGGCTGGATAAAGCCTACTGTGGATGTCTTTATATTCAAAGATTGATGATGCAATTTGAATATGTGTCTCCTCCGAATCTCATGTTGAATTATATTTCCTAATGTGGAAGGTGGATCCTGGAGTAAGGTAATTGAATTATGAAGGCAAATTTCTCATGAATGGTTCAGCACCATCCCCTTGTACCGTCCTCACAATAATGAGTGACTTCTCATGAGGTCTGGTCACTGAAAACTCTATGTCACCTCCCTACTCTCCGTGTTTTCCCCTTGCCATGTGAGACAACTAATTCTTTCTTTGCCTTCCATGATTATTGAAAGATTTCTGAGGCCTCCTAGAAGCAGAAGCACTGTGCTTAGAACCATGAGACAATTAAACCTATTTTTCAAAATAAATCATACAGAAAATGGCAAATGAGGACTGGAGCACTGCTATAAAGATACCTGGAAATGTGGAAGCAGCTTTGGAACCCGGTAATGGACGGAGGTTGGAAGAGTTTGGAAGGCTCAAAAGAAGACAGATAGATGAGAAAACTTTTGGACCATCTTAGAGTCTGGCTCAATTGTTGTGACAAAAATCCTGACAGAAACATGGACAATGAAGACCAGACTGAGGAGGTCTCAGAGAGAAATAAGCTTTCTGGAAAATGTCTTTATTTTTGATATGGAAAGCTTACACAATGCCTGTACCATCATTGTACCTTAGAAGCAGTGAACTTGCTTTTTTCAGAGACTCATAGGCAAAAGAGACTGCAGCCTTGACCCAGATGAGATTTGGACTTTGTAACTTTGAGTTAATCCTGAAATGAGTTAAGACTTTGGGAGACTGCTGGCAAGGCATGATTGTATTTTGCAATGTGAGAAGGACATGAGATTCATGGGGTCAGGGACAGAATAATACGGTTTTTCTCTATGTCCCAACCAAAACTCATATGGAATTATATTTTGTAATGTTAGAGGCGGGGCCTAGGTGGAAAAAGATTTAGTCATAAAATGGTGCAGGTAGATACTTCACGAATGATAAAGGACCATCACCTTGATGCTATCCTCCTGATAGTGAGTGACTTCTCATGAGATCTGGTTGTTTAACAGGCTGTGGAACCTCTTTCCTCACTCTGTCTTCCTCCTACTCCTGCTTTAGGAGACATCTCATTGTCCCTTGGCTTTCTGATATAACGAGGAGTCTTCCTGATTCCTCCCAGAAACAGAAGACACAATGATTCCTTCACAGCTTGCAGAAACATGAGTCAATTACACGTCTTTTATTTACAATAATACAGAAAATTAGAACTGCAGAGAGGAGCTGTGAAATGTCTTCAAGGCCTTTTACCCTTTGTCTTGGCTATTAGCAAAGGGCTTCTTTATATGCAAATTTCTGAAATCTTCTTGAATGTTTCCCCTTAAATGGGATTTTTGTTATTGCTACCTAGCCAACCTGCTATACAGATAGCTAAAAAAGTAGAAGCAGGCTCAATAGTGGGTAGCAAACAAAGATTGGAAGGGCTTGGAGGGATTAGAGTACTAGAGGGAGTGGGAGGGAGTGATTTAATCATGGATGGGTGGGGGTGTATGTGGAAGGGAAAAAGGGGTGGGTAGGGTGGGAGGGAGTAGACTGGCTGTATGGTGGTGGGAAGGTGGTGGGTAGTAGGAAGGGGGAGTAGCCTGCTGCAGAGGCAGAGCCTCATGGAAAATGCCTACTGGGGAAGTGCACCTGTGGCTTTGCAGGTCTGAGCCCCCATGGCTGCTCTCATAGACTGGACTAGTGTTGAGTGCCTGTAGCTTTTCCACACGGAGGGTGCAAGCTGTTGGTGGGTCTATGTATCTGAGGTCTGGAGGGTGGTAGCATGGGGGCTCCAAGTCCATATTTTCCTTCTGCACTGCCCTAGTAGAGGTTTCCCAAGAACTCTTCGTCTGCAGGAGGCTACTGCGTGGAAACAGTAGGAGGTGGGTGTGGGAGGCAGATCCTTCACCAATGGTTAGGCAACGTCTTCTTGATGCTGTCCTCATGATAGTGTGTTCTCATGAGATCTGGTTATATAACAGGGGGTGGCAACTCTTTCCTCTCGCAGTCTTGCTTCTACTCCTGCCATTTGAAATATCTCATTGCCCCTTGGCCTTCTGGTATGATTGGGAGGCTTCCTGATCTGATCCTCCCAGAAGCAGAAGCCACTATGCTTCCTTTACAGCCTGCTGTATAGTGAGCCAATTAAACCTCTTTTCTTTATGATCATACAGAAAATCAGTGCTATGAAGTGGAGCCATGAAATGCCTTCAAGGCCCTTTCCCCTTTGTCTTGGCAACCAGCACTCAGCTTCTTTTCATGCAAATATCTGAAGCCTTCGTGAATTTTCCCCCGAAAATGGACTTTTCTGTTTTACCACATTGCCAGGCTCTGATAAAGATAGCTGACAATGTAGAACCAGGTTCAGAAGTGAGTAAAAGACAGAGGTCAGAAGAATTGGGAAAGCTTAGAAGACAGCAAGATGAGGAAAATATTGGACCACTATAGAGAATTGTTAAATACTTGTGATTAGAAGGCTGACAAAAGTTTAAACACTGAAGTCCAGACTTAAAAGGTCTCAGATGAAAATGAGGAATTTCCTATTAATAGAAGCCAAGATTACATTTGATTGGCCTTAGCAAAGAAGCTGGCTGCACGGGGACCCTGCCCTGGAGATCTGTGAAACTAGGAACTTGGGGGTGATGATTTAGGATGTATTTGGTGAAATGAACATCTAGGCAGCATAACACAAGAGGTGACCTGTCCGCATTGAACAGCCTGTGTTCTTAAGGGTGACCTAAGAAATGACTTCAAGTTGGAACTTCAAGTGGAGATCTAAAGTTTGGAAAATTTGGAGCCTGGCCAAGTAGTCAAAAAGAAAAGCCGATTTTGAGGGGGAAAATTCAAGAAGGCTTAGGGTATTTGCATAAAAAGGAACCCAGTGCAAATAGTCAAGACAGTTTGAAACCGGCCTTGAAGGTATTTTAGAGAAGTCTGCAGCAGCCCTTGCTGTCACAGGCCCCGGGGCCTAGGAGAGAAGAATGGTTTCCTACGCCAGTCCCATGGCCCTGCTGCTGTGTTCAACCGCAGGACACTGCTGCCTGCATCTGTGCAGCTCCAGCACCAGCCATGGCTGAAAGACATACAGGTACAGCTCGGGTCATTGCTTCAGAGGTGGCTCAAAGTCTTAAAGGTTTCCATATAGTGTTAAGCCAGTAGGTGCACAGAGAAAGAGACTAGAGGCTTGGGAGCTCCCGTCTAGACTCCAGAAGATGTACAGAAAATCCTGGATGTTCAGGAAGAAGCTTTTCCAAGAGGCAGAGCCTTATGGGGAACCTCTACTAGGGGAGCAAAGAAGGGACATATAAGGTTGAAGCCCCCACACAGGGAGGCATCACTCTCTAAACCCCAGATTCATAGACCCACAAACAGCTTGCACCCCTGGTGTGGAAAAGCTATGGGCACTCAACAACAGCCCTGTCCATGAGAGACAGCCACTGAGGCTGAACGCTGCAAAACCACAGGGGCAGATCTGCCCAAGGCCTTGGGAGCTCAGCCCTCACAGCCCTGTGCCATGGATATGGGACAAGGATTCAAAAATGATGATTTTGGAGCTGTAGCATTGAGTGACTGGCCTGCTGGGTTTTGGACATTTATGTATCCTATGAGTCCCTTCTGTGTTTTGTGCTTCTTTCTAGGAATTATTTTTTTCTGTTGACTGGGAATGCTTACCCATTGCCTGTACAATCCTTGTACCTTGGAAGTAGTAAATTTTCTTTATAATTCAGTGACTCATGGGCAGAAGGGACTGTAAACTTGTCTCAGATAAGACTCTGGGCTTTGGGCCTTTGAGTAAATGCTGGAATGAGTTAAGATTTGAGAGACTCTAGGGAAGGCATCATTGCATTTTGCAATGTGAGAAAGACATGAACTTTGGGGGACCAGGGACAGAATAATATGTTTTGGCTCTCTGTCTCTACCAAAGCTCATGTGGAATATTAATGGGAAATGTTAAAAGTGGGGGCTGGTGGAAGGTGATTTCATCATGGTGAAGAGTGGAGGTTGGATGGTTGGGGGGCGGGGAGGGTTGGGGGGATTGGGGGGCGAGGAGGGTTGGAGGGGATTGGGGGTTGGGAGGGTTGGAGGGGATTGTGGTGGGGTTGGGGATGAAAGGCAGGGGTGGGGGTGGATCCTTCACAAATGGTTAAACACCATCTCCTTAATGCTGTCCTTCTGATAGTGAGTTCTCTTCATGATTTTGGAGCTGTGAGATTGAATGAACACTGACCTACTGTATTTTGGATGTCCACTGGGCCTGTGGTCCCATTTGTGTTATTTTTCTTGGAAATTTCTTTCCTTTGGATTGAGAAAGCTTACCCAGTACCTGTGCCATCATTGTACCTTGAAAGAAATGAACACCCTTTTAACTTCAGGGAATCATAGGCAGAAGAAACTGTAGCGTTGTCTCAGATGAGACTTTGAACTTTTTACATTTGAGTTAATGCAGGAAGGAGTTAAGGCTTTTGGAAACTTTTGAAAAGGTATGAATGTATTTTATTCTGTGAGAAGGATATGAGATTTGGGGGGTCAAGGTCAGCATAATATGATTTGGCTGTGTGCCCCTGGAAAAACTCATGTGGAATTGTAATGCCAAATGTTGGAGGCAGGACCTGGTGGGAGATTATTTAATCATGGATGGGAGGGGTAGGGGTGGAAAAAAATGGGGTGGGTAGGGTGGGGAAGAGTAGGCTGGCTGTAGGGTGGTGGGTAGTAGGAAGGGGGAGTAGACTGCTGCAGAGGCAGAGGCTCATGGAAACCTCTACCAGGGCAGTGTGCCTGTGGCTTTGCAGGCTTTAGCCCCCATGGCTTCTCTCATGGGCTGGGCTGGTGTTGAGTGCCTATCACTTTTCCATACTGAGGGTGTGAACTGTTGGTAGGTCTATGAATCTGGGGTCTAGAGGATGGTGGCCTCCTGCATAGTCACTCAAAGCCCTTATTTTCCTTCCGCACTGCCATAGTACAGGATTCCCAAGAGCCTCTGCCTCTGCAGCAGGCTTCTGTCTGGAACACTAGGAGGTGGAGCTGTGTTGGGGGGCGGATCCTTCACCAATGGTTAAGCACCATCTTCTTGATGCTGACCTAGTGATAGTGAGTCCTCATGAGATCTGGTTATATAACGGTGTGGCACCTCTTTCCTCTCTCAGCCTTGCTCTTACTCCTGCCGTATGAAACATTTCATTGCTGTTTTCCTACTGGTATGATTGGGAGGCTTCCTGAGTCCTCCCAGAAGCAGAAGCCACTATGCTTTCTTTACAGCCTGCAGAACCATGAGCCAATTAACCCCTTTTCATTATGATCATACAGAAAATAAAGTACTGTGAAGTGGAGCTATGAAATATCTGCAATGACATTTCCCCATCGTCTTGGCTATTAGCACTGGACTTCTTTTTAATGCAAATATCTGAAGCCTTTTGAAGTTTCCCCCTGAAAATGGACTTCTTTTTCTTCTACATTGCCAGGCTGCAATAAAGATAGCTGAAAATGTAAAGCAGGTTCAGAAGTGGGTAAAAGCCAGAGGTTGGAGAGTTTGGAGAGCTTGAAAGAAGACAGGAAGATGAAAGAAATTTTGGACCATAGTAGGCACTTGTTGAATAGTTGTGATTAAAAGGCTGGCAGAAGGATGGACAGTGAAGGCCAGGCTTACAAGGTCTCAGATGAAAATGAGGAAATTACTGGGAACAGGAGCCAAGGTTACTTTTGTTTTGCTATAGCAAAGAACATGGCTGCAGGGCGACCTTGCCCTCTAGATCTGTGAAACTTTGAACTTGAGGGTGATGATTTAGTACATATCTGGTGGAATGAACTTCTAGGCAGCATAGCACAAGGGGGATCCTGTCTGCATCAAACAGCCTGTGCTCTTGTGTGACCGAGGTTATGTGTGACCGAGGAAATGACCTCAAGTTGGAACTTATATTTAAAAATGACAAGCAGAGCTCAAAAGTTTGGAACATTTGCAGCCTGGCCAAGTGGTCAAAAAGAAAAGCTGATTTTCAGGGGGAAAATTCATGAAGGCTCCAGAAATTTGCATAAAATGGAGGCCAGTGCTAATAGCCAAGACAATGGGGGAAAAAGCCTTGGAGGCATTTCAGAGATGTTTACAGCAGCATTTACTGTCACAGACCCTGGGGCCTAGGAGAGAAGAATGGTTTCCGGGGCCAGCCCCATGGCCCTGCTGCTGTGTGCAGCCTCAGGACACTGCTGCCTGCATCCCAGCAGCCCAGCTCCTGCTCCGACCTTGGCTGAAAGATACACAGCTACAGATTGCATCACTGCTTCAGAGGGTACAAGCTATAAGGCTTCATGGCTTCCACATAGTGTTAATCCAGCGAGTCCATAGAGCACTAGCCCAGAGGCTTCGGAGCCCTCATATAGATTTTGGAAGATGTACGAAAATGCTTGGGTGTCCAGACAGAAGGCTGCCAAAAAGCAGAGCCTCTTGGGAAACCTCTACTAGGGCAGTGCAGAAGGAAAATATGGGGTTGGAGCCCCCACACCGGAGGCCACCATCATGCAGACCCCAGACTCATAGACCCACCAAGAGCTTTGTACCCTCTGTGGGTGAAAACTACAGGCACTCAACACCAGCACAGCCCATGAGGGCAGCTGTGGGGACTGAAAACCACAAAGCCACAGGTGCAGACCTGCCCAAGGCCTTGGGAGCCCAGCCCTCATGCCCTTGTGCCCTGGATGTGGGGCAAGGATTAAAAAAGGATGACTTTAGAGCTGTAGGTTTTAATAACTGGCCTGCTGGGTTTTGGATTTTCATGGGACCTGTAAGTCCCATTTGTGTTTCATTGCTTCTCTGGCAAAAATCTTCCTTTAGGGTGGGAATTCTTACTCAATGCCTGGACAATCATACCTTGGAAGTAGTTAACTTGCTTTGTATTTCAGAGGCTCAGGAGCAGAAGGGACAGCATCTTTGTCTCAGATGAGACTTTGGGCTTCAGACATTTAAGTAAATGCTGGAATGAGTTAAGACGTTGGGGGTTTTAGCCAAGACGATGGGGAAAAGTCATTAAAGGCGTTTCATAGCTTCACTTCATAGTACTAATTTTCTGTATGATCATAACAAAAAGGGGTTTAATTGGCTCATCTTTCTGCAGGCTGTAAAAAAAAGCATAGTGGCTTGGGGAATGGTAAGTAAGGCATCACTGTATTTTGCAAAGTGAGAAGGACATGAGATTTGGGGAGGCAGGGACAGAAGAATAAGATTCGGCTGTGTGTCCCTATGGAAACTCATGTGGAATTGTAATCAGAAATGTTAAAATTGGGGCCAGGTGGAAGGTGATTTAATCATGGAGGGCACTGGGTGTTGGAAGGTGGAGATTGGGAAGGATGGGTGGATTATGCTGGGGGTGAGGGGTGAAAAGTGGGGGTGGGGGGATGATCCCTCACAAGTAGTTAAACACCATCTCCTTAATCCTTTCCTCATGATGGTGAGTTCTCGTGACGGTTTTGGAGCTGTGAGATTGAATGGATACTGACCTCCTGGGTTTTGGACTTGCGTTGGCCCTGTGATCACATTTGTGTTATTTTCCTGGCAAACTTCTACCCTTTGGATTGAGAAAACTTACCCAATGCCTGTACCATCATTGTACCTTGAAAGAAAAGAACTCACTTTTAAATTCAGGGACTTATAGGCAAAAGGGACTGTAGCCTTTTCTCAGGTGAGACGTGGAACTTTTTACATTCGAGTTAATGCTGAAATGACTTAAGACTTTTGGCAACTTTTGAAAAGGCATGATTGTATTTTACTCTGTGAGAAGGATATGATATTTGGGGGATCAGGGTCAGAATAGTATGATTTAGCTGCGTGTCCCTACCTAAACTCACATGTAATTGTAATCCTGAATGTTGCAGGTGGGGCCTAGTGGGAAGTGACTTATTCATGGATGGGAGAGGGGTGGGGTTGGAAGTAAAAACAGGTGGGTAAGGTGGGGAGGTGTAGGCTGGCTGTAGGGTGGTGTGTAGCAGGAGGGGAGTAGCCTGCAACAGAGGCAGAGGCTCATGGAAAACCTCTACTAAGGCAGTGCACCTGTGGCTTTGCAGGGTTTAGCACCTGCAGCTGCTCTCATGGGCTGGGCTGCTGTTGAGTGCCTGAAGCTTTTCCATACTGGGGGTGTGAGCTGTTGGTAGGTCCATGACTCTTGGGCTGGAGGATGGTGGCGTGGGGGCTCCAAGCCCATATTTTCCTTTTGCACTGCCCTAGTAGAGGTTTTCCAGGCGGATCTGTCTCTGCCTCAGGCTTTTGCTTGGAAACAGTGGGTAGTGGATATGGGGTGGTGGGCGGATCCTTCACCAACAGTTAAGCACCATCTTGATGCTGATCTTCTGATAGTGAGCTCTCATGAGATCTAGTTGTATAACTGGATATTGCACTTCTTTCCTCTCTCTGTCTTGCTTCTACTCCTGCCATATGAAACATTTCATTGCTGCTTGGCCTTCTGGTATAATTGGGAGGCTTCCTGAGTCCCCCTACAAGCAGAAACCACTATGCTTTCTTTACAGCCTGAAGAACTGTGAGTCAATTAGACCTCTTTTCTTTATGTAGATACAGAAAATTAATGCTGTGAAGTGAAGTTATGAAATGACTTCTAGGTGTTTCCCCCATTCTCTTGGCTATTAGCGCTGAGCTTCTTTCAATGCAAATATTGGAGGCCATCTTGATGTTTCCCCTGATAATGGACTTTTCTTCTTTTACCACATTGCCAGGCTGCAGCAAAGATAGCTGACAGTGTAGACGCAGGTTCCAAATTGGGTAGTGGCCAGAGGTTAGAGAGTTTGGAGAGCTTGGAAGAAGACAGAAAGATGAGGGAAAGTTTGGACCATTGCAGAGACTTATTAAATAGTTGTGAGTAAAAGGCTGACAGAAGGATGGACAGTGAAGACCAGCCTTGTAAGGTCTCAGATGAAAATGAGTAACTTACTGGGAAAAGGAGCCAAGGTTTTTTTGTTTTGACTTAGCAAAGTAATTGGCTACACAGTGACCCTTCCCGGGAGATCTGTGAAACTGAACTCGAGGGTGATAATTTAGGGTGTATTTGGTGGAATGAACTTCTAAGCAGCAAAGTTCAAGAGTTGTACTGCCTACATCGAACAGCCTGTGCTCCTATGTGTGATGAAAGAAATGACCATAAGTTGGAACTTATATTTAAATGAGAAACAGAGCTTCAACATTTGGAAAATTTGTAATCTGGACAAGTGGTCAAAAAGAAAAGCTGATTTTCAGGGGGAAAATCAAGAAGGCTTAGGATATTTGCATAAAAAGGAGCCCAATGCTAATAATTCAAGACAATGGGAAAAAGGCCTTGAAGGCATTTCAGAGACCTTTGTAGCAGTCCTTGCTGTCACTGGCCCTGGGGTTTAGGAGAAAAGAATAGTTTCCTGGCTCAGCCCCATGGCTCCACTGCTGTGTGCAGCCTCAGGACACTACTGCCTGCATCCCTGCAGCTCCTTTTCCAGCTTCAGCCATGGATGAAAGATGTACAGGTACAGCTTGCATCACTGCTTCAGAGGATGCAAGCTCCAAGCCTTGGTGGCTTCTACATAGTGTTAAGCCAGCAGGTGCATAAAGCACAGGACTAGAAGCTTCAGAGCCTTCGTCTGGACTCCAGAGAATATATCAGAAAGCCTGAGTGTCTAGCCAGAAGCTTTTCCAAGAGGCAGAGCCTCATGGTAAACCTCTACTCAGGTAGTACACAAGGAAAGTATAGGGTTGGAGTCCCCATAGAGGGAGGCACCATTTTCCAGACCTCAGTTTCATAGACCCACCAGCTGCTTGCACCCTTACTGTTGAAAAGCTACAGGTACTCAACGCCAGCCTAGCCAATGAAGTCAGCTGTAGGGGGAAGATTCTGCAATGCCACATGTGCAGAGCTGCCCAAGGCCTTGGGATCCCAGCCATCACACCACCCTGTGCTCTGGATGTGGACATAGATTCCAAAAAGATGATTTGGAGCTGTATGATGGAATGACTGGCCTGCTGTGTTTTTGACTTGCAGGTGGTTTTTAAGTCTCATCTGTGTTTTGTGCTTCTTTCTGGCAAATTTCTTCTTTTTGGCTTGGAATGCTTACCCAATGCCTGTACAATCATTGTACCTTGGAAGTGGTTAACTTGCTTTGTATTTCAGAGGCTCAGGGCAGAAGGTATGGCAGCCTTGTCTCAGAAGAGACTTTGGGCTTTAGACATTTGAGTAAACGCTGGGATGAGTTAAGATTTGGGGGACTCTAGGGAAGTCATCATTGCGTTTTGCAATGTGAGAAAGACATGAACTTTGGGGGACCAGGGACAGAATAATATGTTTTGGCTCTGTGTCTCTACCAAAACTCATATGGAATTTTAATGGGAAATGTTAAAGGTGGGGGCTGGTGGAAGGTGATTTAATCATGATGGAGAGTGGAGGTGGGATGGTTGGGGGGTTGGGGAGGGTGGGGGTGATTAGGGGGTGGGGAGGGTTGGGGTGATTGTGGTGGGGTTGGGGGTGAAAGGCAGGGGCGGGGGGTGCATCCTTCACAAATGGACATTTGA
Source organism: Homo sapiens (assembly GCF_000001405.40). NCBI lineage: Eukaryota > Metazoa > Chordata > Mammalia > Primates > Hominidae > Homo > Homo sapiens. The sequence continues at coordinate 49,222,373 of NC_000004.12, read as the reverse complement.
GTAAATGCTGGAATGAGTTCAGACACTGGGGGACTGTAGAGGATGCATCATTGTATTTTGCAGTATGAGAAGGATGTGAGATTGGGGAGCCAAAGGGGGAATAATATGATTTGGCTCTGTGTCCCTACCAAAACTCATGTTGAATTGTAATGGGGAATGTTAAACGTGGGGCTTGGTAGAAGATGATTTAATCATGGTAGAGAATGGGGGTTGGAAGGGGGATGTAGGGGAACGGAGGTTCATGGTGTGAGTGAAGGTGAAACATGGGGACGGGTGGCAGATCCTTCACAAATGGTTAAATACTATCTCCTTAATGCAGTCTGTGTGATAGTGAGTTCTCATGATAAATGAATGCTGTCCTGCTGGGTTTTGGAGTCGGATTGGGCCTGTGTCCCAATTGTGTTATTTTTCTGGGAAAATCTTCCCTTTGGTTTGAGAAAGTTTACCCAGTGCCTGTGCCATCGTTTTAACTTGAAAGAAAAGAATTGTATTTTACATTCAGGGACTTATAGGCAGAAGGGATTGGTCTTGTTCTGGATGAGACTTGAACTTACTACATTTGAGTTACTGCTGGAATGAGTTAAGACTTTTTGAAACTTTTGAAAAGGCATGTTTGTATTTTTCTGTGTGAGAAAGACATGAGATGTGGGGGTGTCAGGGTCAGGATAATATGGTTCGGCTGTGTTTCTCTACAAAAACTCATGGGGAACAGCATTCCTGACTGTTGTAGGTGGGACCTGGTGGGAAGTGATTTAATCACAAACAGGAGGTTGGTAGGGGTGAAAGGGAAAATAAATGGGTAGGGTGGGGAGGAGTAGGCTGGCAGTAGGGTGGTGAGAGCGTGGTGGGCAGTAGGAAGGGGGAGTAGCCTGCTGCAGAGGCATATCCTCATGGAAAACCTCTACCAGGGCTGTGCACCTGTGGTTTGCAGGGTGTAGCCGCCGTGGCTGCCCTCATAGGCTGGGCTGGTGTTGAGTGCCTGTAGCTTTTCCATACTGAGAGTGCAAGCTGTTGGTGGGTCTATGAATCTGGGGTCTGAGGATGGTAACCTCATGCGTGGGGCCTCCAAGCCCATCTATTTTTTCTGCTCTGCCCTAGTAGAGGTTTTCCTAGTGGCTCTGCCTCTGCCTCAGTCTTCTGCCTGGAAACAGTGAGGGGTGTGGGTGGTAGGGGGCAGATCTTTCACCAATGGTTAAGCAACATCTTGATACTGACCTTGTGATAGTGAGTTCTCAGGAAATCTGGTTGTATAACAGGGTTATACAACGTGTGGCACCTTTTTCCTCTCTGTGTTTTTTTTTCTACTTCTGCCATATAAAACATCCCATTGCTGCTTGGTCTTCTGGTATGATTGGGAGGCTTCCTGAATCTTCCCAGAAGCAGAAGCCTCTATGATTTATTTAAAGCTTGCAGAACCATCAGCCAGTTTAACCTCTTTTCTTTCTGATTATACAAAAAAATAATGCTATAAAGTGGAACTATGAAATGCCTTCAAGACCTTTTTCCTAGTCTCTTGGCAATCAGCACTCAGCTTCTTTTCAGGCAAATATGTGAAGCCTGCATTAATTTTTTCCTGAAATGGACTTTTCTTCTTTTACCACATTGCCAGGCTATGACAAACGTAGCTGAAAATGTAGAAGCAGGTTGAGAAGTGTGTAATGGCCAGAGGTTGGAGAGTTTGGAGGTCTTGGAAGAAGACAGGAAGATGAGGAAAACTTTGGTCCAGTGTAGAGACTCGTTAAATAGTTATAATTAAAAAGGTGACAGAAGGATGGACAGTGATCTCCAGGCTTAGAAAGTCTCACATGAAAATGAGGAGCTTGCTGGGAACAGGAACCAAGGTCACTTTTGTTTTTTCCTTAGCAAAGAACGTTGCTGCATGATGCCCCTAATGTGGAGACCTGTGAAAATTTGAACATCAGGGTGATAATTTAGAGTGTATTTGGTGGAATGAAATTTTAGGCAGCAAAGCTTAAGAAGTGTCCTGTCTGTGTCGAACAGCCTGTGGTCCTATATGTGACCAAAGAAATGACCTCAAGGTGAAACTTATATTTAAATGAGAAGGAGAGCTTAAAAGTTTGGAAAATTTGCAGCCTGGCCAAGTGGTCAAAAAGAAAAGCTGATTATCAGTGGGAAAGTTCAAAAAGGCTTCAGAAATGCGCATAAAAAGGAGTGCAGTGCTAATAGCCAATACAATGTTAAAAAGGCCTTGAAGGCATTTCAGAGACTTTTGCAGCAGCCCTTGCTATCACAGGCCCTGAGGCCTGGGATAAAAGAAAGGTTTCCTTCTCCAGCCCAATGGCCCCGCTGCTATGTCCATCCTCAGGACACTGCTGACTGCATTCCTGAAGCTCCAGCTCCAGCCATGGCTGAAAGATGCACAGGTACAGCTTGGGTCACTGCTTCAGAGGGTGCAAGCTGCAAGCCTTGGTGGCTTCCACATAGTGTTAAGCCAGCAGGTGCACAGAGCACAAAACTAGAGGCTGGGGATCCTTAGTCTGGACTCCAGAGTATGTATGGAAAAACCTGGGTGTCCAGGTCGAAACTTTTCCAAGAGGCAGAGCCTCCTTTACTAGGTCAGTAGAGAAGGAACATATAGGGTTGGAACCCCATACAGGGAGGCACCATTCTGCCAACTCCAGATTCATAGACTCACTAGCAGCTTGCACCCTGATTGTGGAAAAGCTATAGGTACTCAACACCAGCCCAGCCCATGAGGGCAACTGTGGAGGTTAGACCCCGCAAAAGTCACAGGTGCAGACCTGCCCAAGGCCTTGGGAGCCCAGGCCTCATACCCTTGTGCTCTGGATGTGGGATCTGGATTCAAAAAAAATGATTTGGAGGTGTAGGATTCAATGACTGGCCTGTTGGGTTTTTGACTTGTATGGGGTCTGTAAGTCCCAAATGTATTTTGTGCTTCTTTCTGGCAAATTTATTCCTTTTGGCTGGGAATACTTATCCAATGCATGTAAAATCATTGTACTTTGGAAGTACTTGCTTGGTATTTCAGAGGCTCAGGGGTAGAACATATGGCAGCCTTGTCTCAGAAGAGACTTTAGGCTTTGGACACTTCAGTAAATGCTGGAATGAGTTAAGAGATTGGGAAACTGTAGAGAAGGCATCATTGTACTTTGCAGTGTGAGAACAACATGAGATATGGGGACCAGGGTCAGAATAATATGATTTGGCTCTGCATCCCTAGCAAACTCATGTGGAATTGTAATGGGGAATGTTGAAGGTGGGGCCTGGTGGGAGGTGATTTAATCATTGAGAAGCATGGGGGTTGGAGGTAAGGGTGTGGAGAGAATGGGGGAGATTATTTTGTGGGTGGGAGTGAAAGATGAGGGTGGGGGGGCAGATTCTTCACAAATGGTTAAGCACACTCTCCTTAAGGCTGTTCACATGACAGTGAGTTCTCTTGATGATTTTGGAGCTGTGAGATTGAGTGAATACTGTCCTGCTGGGTTTTGGACTTGCATTGGGCCTGTGGGCCCATTTGTGTTATTTTTCTGGGAAATTTCTTCCCTTTGGACTGAGAAAACTTACCCAATGCCTCCACCATCATTGTAACTTGAAAGAAAAGAACTCCATTTTAAATTCAGGGACTCATAGGCAGAAGGGACTGTGGCCTTATCTCAGATGAGACTTTGAATTTTTAAAATTTGGAATGAGTTAAGACTTTTGCAAACTTTTGAAAAGTCATGATTGTATTTTGGTCTGTGATAAGGACATAGATTCTGGAATATCAGGGTCAGAATTATATGGTTTGCCTGTGTGTCCCTATGAAACTCATGTGGAATTGTAATCCCTAATGTTGAAGCAGGTGACTTAATTATGGACAGGAGGTTGGTGGTGGTAGAAGGTAAAAGGGATCGGTAGGATGGGGAGGAGCGGGTTGGCAGTAGGGTGGTGGGAGGGTGGGGGGAAGTAGGAAGGGGGAGTAGACTGCTGCAGAGGCAAAGCCTCATGGAAAACCTCCACTAGGGAAGTGCACCTGTGGCTTTGCAGGTTTGAGCCCCTCAGCTGTTCTCGTGGGCTGGGCTGGTATTGAGGGTCTGTAGCTTTTCCACACCAAGTGCGTGAGTTGTTGGTGGGTCTATGAATCTGGGATCTGGAGGTTGGTGGCCACCTGTGTGGGGGCTCCAAGCCCATATTTTCTTTCTGCACTTCCATAATAGAGGTTTTCCAAGAGGTTCTGCATCTGAAGGAGGCTTCTGCCTGGAAACAGTGGGAGTTGGGGGTGTGGGTCAGATACTTCACCAATGTTTAAGCACCATCTTCTTGATGCTGACCTTGTGATAGTGAGTTCTCATGAGATCTGCTTGTATAATAGGGCATGACAACATTTTTCCTTTCTCTGTCTTGCTCCTACTCTTGCCATATGAGACATCTCCTTGCCCTTTGACATTCTGGTAGGATTGGGAGGCTTCCTGAGTCCTGTCAGATGCAGAAGCCACTATGCTTCCTTACAGCCTGCAGAATCATTAACCAATTAAACCTCTTTTCTTTATAATCATGGAGAAAATTATGACTGCAAAGTGGATCTATTAAATGTCTTCAAGGTCTTCTCCCTAAAGTCTTGGCAATCAGCACTCAGCTTCTTTTCACTCAAGTATCTGAAGCCTCCTTGACTTCTTCCCCAGGAAATGGGCTTGTCTTCCTTTACCACATGGCCAGCCTGTGACAAAGATAGCTGATAATGTAGAAGCATGTTCAGAAGGGGGTAGCAGATGGAGTTTGGGAGAGTTTGGAGGACTTTGAAGACAGGGAGATGAGGGAAAGTTTGGATCTTTGTAAAGAATTGTTAAATACTTGTGATCAGAAGGCTCATAGGAAAATAGTAAGGATCAGATTGAGAAGCTCTCAGATGAAAAGGAGGTACTTACGGCAAACAGGAGCCAAGGTTACTTTTGTTTTGCTGCAGCAAAGAACGTGGCTGCACAGTGACCCTGCCCTGGAGATCTCTGAAACTTTGAATTTGAGGGTGATGACTTACTGAGTATCTGATGGAATGAACTTCTGGACAGCAAAGCTGAAGGGATGTCCTGTCTGTATCAAATAGCCTGTGCCCTTATGTGTGACTGAGGAAATGACATCTGGATGGGTCTTACATTAAATCAGTCCCAACTCTTATATTATATGAGAAACAGAACTCAAAAATTTGCAGCCTGGCCAAATGGTCAGAAAGAAAATCTGATTTTCAGGGGAAAACTGAGGAAGGCTTCAGAAATTTGCATGAAAAGGAGCCCAGTGCTAATAGCCAAGACAATAGGGAAAAGGCCTTGAAGCCATTTCAGAAACCTTTGCAGCAGCCCTTGCTATCATAGGCCCTGGGGCCTCGGAGAGAAGAATGGTTTCCTGGGCCAGTTCCGTGACCCCCCTCTATGTGCAGCCTCAGGACACTGCTGCCTGCATCCCTGCAGCTCTAGTTCCAGGCATGGCTTAAAGATGCACAGGTACAGCTTGCATCACAGCTTCAGGGGTGCAAGCTTCAAGCCTTGGTGACTTCCACATAGTGTTAAGCCAGCAGCTGCACAGAGCACAAAACTAGAGGCTTGGGAGCCTTTGTCTAGACTCCAGAGTATGTACGGAAAAACCCGGGTGTTCAGGCAGGATCTTTTCCAAGAGGCAAAGCCTCATGGGAAACCTTTACTAGGGCAGTACAGAAGGAGAATTTAGGGCTGGAGTCCCTAAATATGGAGGCACCATTCTCCAGACCCCAGATTCATAGACCCACCAACAGCTGGCACCCTTAATGTGGAAAAGCTACAGGCACTCAACATCAGCCCAGCCCATGAGGGCAGCTGTGGGGGATAGACCCTGCACAGCCATCTGTTCTCTAGATGTGAGATGTAGATTCAGAAAGGATGATTTGGAGCTGTAGGATTCAATGACTGGCCTGCTGGGTTTTTGACTTGCATGGGGTCTGTAAGTCCTTGTACATTTCAGTAAATGCTGGAATGAGTTAAGTCATTGGGGGGCAGTAGAGAAGTCATCAATGTATTTTGCAGTGTGGCAAGGATACAAGATTTGGGGAGCAAGAACCAGAATAATATGATTTGATTCTGTGTCCCTACCAATACTCATGTGGAATTGTAGTGGGGAATGTTAAAGGTGGGACCTGGTGGGAGGTGATTTAATCATGGAGAAGAGTGGGTGTTGGAGGTAGGGTTGTGGGGAGAATGGGAGAGATTATTTTGTGGGTGGGAGTGAAAGATGAGGGTAGGGGGGCAGATTCTTCACAAATGGGTAAACACTATCTCCTTAATGCTGTCCGCATGACAGTGAGTTCTCTTGATGACTTTGGAGCTGTGAGATTGAGTGAATACTGTCCTGCTGGGTTTTGGACTTGCATTTGTGTTATTTTTTCTGGGGAATTTCTTCCATTTGGATTGAGAAATCTTACCCAATGCCTGTTGTACCTTGAAGGAAAAGAAATCCCTTTTAAATTCAGGGACTCATTGGCAGAAGGGACTGTAACCTTGTCTCAGATGAGACTTGGAAATTTTTACATTTGGAATGAGTTAAGACTTTTGGAAACTTTTGAAAAAGCATGGTTGTGTTTTGCTCTGTGAGAAGGACATGAGGTTCTGGGGTATCAGGGTCAGAATAATATGGGTTGGCTATGTGTCCCTATATAACTCACGTGTCATCCTTAATGTTGGAGGTGGGTCAGGTGGGAGGTGATTTAATCTTGGATGGGAGGGGGTTGGGTGGAAGGAAAAGGGGTGGTAGTGTGGGGAGGAGTAGGTTGTCAGTAGGGTGTTGGGAGGGTGGGAGTAACCTGCTGCAGAGGCAGAGGCTCATGGGAAACCTCTACTAGGACAGTGCACCTGTGGCTTTGCAGGGTTTAGCCCCCATGGCTGCTCTCATGGGCTGGGTTTGTGTTGAGTGACTGTAGCTTTTCCATACTGAGAGTATGAGCTGTTGGTGGGCTTACAAATCTGGAGTCTGGAGGATGGTGGCCTCCTGTGTGGGGGCTCAAAGCCTATATTTTCCTTCTGCACTGCCATAATGGAAGTTTCCTAAGAGGTTCTGCCTCTGCAGGAGGCTTCTGCCTGGAAGCAGTGGGCGGTGGCATGGGTGGAGAATCCTTCACCATTGGTTAGTCTTCTTGATGCTGATCTCCTGATAGTGAGTTCTCATGTGATTTGATTGCCTAACAGGATGTCACACCTCTTTCCTTTCTCTGTCTTGCTCCTACTCCTGCCATATGAAACATCTCTTTGCCGCTTGGCCTTCTGATATGGTTAGGAGGGGCCTGATCAGTGTGGGCCTGCTCAGTGGACCTAGTCAGTCGGGACTTGGTCAGTGAGGCCTATTTAGTGGGAGGTGGCCACCAGGGGTCTGCTTAGAGAGGGTCTCATTAGAGGGATCTAGTAGTGCAGGTCTTGGTGAGTGGGTTCCTAGTGGCAGACAAATATTTGGTGTCTGGTCAATGCCTACCTGGGCTGTGGGACTTGGTCACTGGAGACCTTGTCAGCTGGGGCTTAGTGATGGCCTTGTCAGATTGGGCTGGGTTACTGGTGACCAGGTCAAGGGGTGTTATTCAGTGGAGGTCTGGTCACATGGGACCTAGTCAGCAGAGGCGCTTGTCAGTGGGGCCCTGGTCAGGGCAGGCTGGTCCATGGAAACCTAATCAGTGGGGGCCTGGTCAGAGAGGACTTGATCAGTGGTGGCTTTTGTAGCACTGGTCTACGGGGTGACCTGGTCAGCGGGGATCTGAGCAGTGCATGCCTGTTCAGTGGGGCATACTTATTAGGGTCCTGGTCAGGGGCATCTGGTCACCTCAGGCCTGGTTAGCAGGGGCCTGGTCACTGGCAACATATTCCCTGCAGGCCTGGTCAGTAGGGCTTCATCTGTGGGACCAGGTAATGGGGTCATGATCGGTGGAACCTTATCAGTTAGACCTTGTAAGTAAGGACCTGGTCAGTGAGGCCTTGCCAGTGAGGCCTTGTCAGTAAGGTCCTCGTCAGTGGAGTCCTGGACATTGTGGGCCTGGCAGTGGGAATCTAGTTAGTGAGGTCTGGTGAAGGGGGTCTAATCAGTGAGGGTGTGGTCAGGGAGGATCTGATATGCTGAATCTGCTCAGCAGGGACCTGGTCAGTGGGGGCTGCTGAGCACTACTGGGAAATGTCAGGGAAAATGCATGTTATCGAGGAGGCTGTGGACAGTTGGCGTGGCCCAGTGGTGTTCAATGGCCCAGTCAAAAGTGGACAAAGCAGGTGTCTGGATGGACCTGGGAGTTCTTGCGCCAAGGAACAGGCAGGGTGGGCAGCTGGGTTTCAGGGAGAGGCAGGTGCATGCTGGGAGGTCAGACCCTGTGAGGGCTGTGGGGGCATCAGGTGGGGTTGGCTCCAGGTGCACCCTCAGTGCACTGAGCAGGTCTTGGCCCAGGCTTTCTGGACCCCGGCCGGGTGATGTGGTCACTTACTGGGGGACTGTTGTCAGGCGCTGGCCGCCCACCCTGGGTAGCACTGTCCCATCTCAGGACTGGACTTCCTCAGATCCTGCAGAGGGCACAGCCTCCAGCCCAGGAGAGGCAGCCCCTTGGTGGAGCCTGAGCTCTCCATGGGCATGGAGCATCACCTGCCAGCCCTGTGCTCTCTCTTCTCCCAGGTCCTGCTTTTCCAGGGTCAGCCAGTGGAGAGGCCCCATCCTCCCTTCCCTATGTGTCTCCTGGGCTGAAACTTGCAGTGCACTGGGATAGGGATGAGGCTTCCCTAAGGCCCATTTAGGGAGAGGACTGGCTCCCAGCTGGGCACAGGTCCTCAGCTCTGCCTTGGTTGCCTTAGAATGAGATGGATCTCATTCTAAGATTGGCTGGTCTAGGGATGGAGGACTTAACAGGTCCTCCCAGTCTGTCAGGCCTGGGCAGCACTGTCCTGTCTCAGGACTCAGAAAGTCCATTCCTGGGATGTGACGGTGCTGCCCAGGGGGGGTGGCCAGGGTCTGACAGCAGTCCCCCAGGGAGTGACCACATCACCCAGCCGGGGTCCAGGGAGCCTGGCCTGAGACCTGCCCAGTGCACTGAGGGTGAACCTGGAGCCCACTCCACCTGATGAGCCCACAGCCCTCACAGGTCCTGACCTCCCAGCATGCACCTGCCTCGCCCTGCACCCCAGCTGTCCACCCTGCCTGTTCCCTCACTTCCTCCATCCTGTCCAGCAGGATGGGATGGGCAGGGGGACAGCCTGTGTGCACATTTCATGGCAAGCAGGAGTGACACACCATCCCTGGGAGGCGCCTTGGTTCCTCCCAAACCCAGCCCCAGAACTCTGTCCCTGGGGTGGTTTTACCAAACCCCAAACCCAGAACTGTGGTTGTGGCTCGGGGGTCAGCACCCGCTAGTTCTACAATGTCGCCAAGGACTTTGACTGTACTTTATTCTTCTTTTCAATAGTCATTCCAAATATTGTGAGATGCATTGTTTCAGGAAGCCCCTTGCCCTCCTAAAAGCCACCCTACTTCTCTCTAAGGAGAATGGCCCAGTCCTCTCCCGAGCTCACACAGGGGAGGTGATAGCATTGCTTTTGTGTAAATTACATAATGCAAAATTTTTTAAATCTTTGCATTAATACTTTTAAATTTTGTTTTATTTTGAATGATTAGCCTTCATTGCCCCCCTTTTTTGTACCCCAACTTGGAGTGTATGAAGGGTTTTGGTCTCCCTGAGAGTGGCTGGAGGCAGCCAGGGCTTACCTGTACTCTGCCTTGAGAAAAGTTGGATAAAAGTGCACATCTTAAAAAAAACTGAATGATGAAGAATTAACAAAAACAGAATTTCAATACAGTGGACAGCTTAGCATTTTGACAATTGGAAATAAAATGCACAGTTCTGAACTGTACAATGTAAGACACAAAAACGAAACACTGGAAATGGAAATTCAATTATGTCACTGTAGACTGGCTACTGCTCTACATGATTGTGACCAAAGTCAGAGAGTTGCAAGAGATTTCTTTCCAGAGAACAAGACATGAACAGGTTTATTTACAGAAAACAATGAATTCTCATATATCTAACCTAAAAGATAACAGATTCTTTCAGAACAAGTCTAATGTAGACAGTAAAATTAACGGGCTAAAAATTAAGCTCCATCAAACAAGACGAACTCTGAGAGAATAGATGGGGCAGGCCGCCATCTTTCCTGTTCAGGCAACTTGGTCATTCCAGCCTGAAGGCTTTGGAGAGTACAAACCGACCAGGGGCAGAAGAGATCCCACAGCACAGCATGGCTGCTTTACCAAATCATGGCCAGACTGCTTCTGTAAGCAGGCCCCTGACTCTGTTGCATGTCACTGGAAAGGACCTCCCAACTGGGGTCCCAGCTACGGCCACCAGCATTCCTTGGCCAATGGAAATTTGAAGTGTTCCCGGGACAGAGCTCCCAGAGAGAGGGGCAGGCCACCACCTTTGCTGTTTGGGTGACTAGCCATTCTGGACTGCGAGATTTGGAAACCCCAAGGTGACAAGGGGTGGAAGAGGAACCTCAGCACAGCACAGCCACACTACAAAAACGTGGCCAGACTCTTGTTTAAGTCAGTCCCCGAACACATTTCTAATCAGTGGGTGAAGCCTTTCAACCAGGGTCTCCAGCTACCTTCACTGCTGTTCTCTGGCCGACAGAGGTTTCAGGCCTCCCTGAGTCAGAGCTCCCAGGGGGAGGACCAGACTGTCATCTTTGCTGTTGGGGCAACTCAGCCATTTCAGCCTTAGGGCTTCAGAGTGTCTGAGGCGACAAGGTGTGGAAGTGAACCCCCGGCATAGCACAGCTGCTCTAGAAAAACGTGGCCAGACTTTTTTTTAAGCAAGTCCCTGTTCTTGTTCCTCCTGACTAGATAAGACTTCTCAACTTGTCTCCAGTCATATCTTATAGGTGTGTTCATATAGGCAACAAGTTCGTACCTCAGTGGCCCAGAGCTCCCAGAGGAAGGGGCAGGCTATCATCTTCCCTGGAAAATACAAGGCAAATAGGGACTGGAGGGACCCCCAGCATACCACAGCAGCCTGACAGGAAAGTGGCCGGACAGTCTACTTGATGGACAAGTCCTCCTGGCCTGGGTCTCCAGCCAGTCCACCATTGGAGCTATCAAGCCAGTAGCAACTCAGCAATTCCCTGGACAGAGCTTCCAGGAGCAAATGAAATTCCCTCTGCCACTGTCTCTGCAGTGGAACTGCCCTTGCTACCCTCAGAATATCAAGGGAGCAAAGACCCTAAGTGCCATATCGACACCTCCAATAAGCTGCAGTTGACCCAACGAACAAGCCAGTCCATCTCCCACGGGTACCACACACCCCACACTGCTCATCACCAGAGAGGGAACCCTGGCTTGGGCTTACAACACAGACCCTCCATCCTGGGCTGATTACGCTAAGTGATTGCTAACTCACATCTCTCCGGGATGGAGCACCCAGGAGACAAGCAGAGTGCTGGAGCAGCAAGTCAGGTGATGTGGAGCCCAGAGGGCAGGGACAGCTATCTCTCTAGGCTCCACTTGCCCTTGTGAGACACTTTATCCCAGCACTTTAGAAATGCTAAGCTCAGATCAGCCCCATCTCATGTTCAAGATTGCCCAGCAGAGATCAGGTCAGAGAGTTCCCCTCTTAAAAAAGGGGACTTGCTTAAAAAAGAAGACTGGCCATGTTTGTGTAAAGCAGCTATGCTGTGCTGGGGGTTCACTTTTGAGGGAGTTCTCCTCTGAGACCTGATCTCTGCTGGGCAGTCTTGCCCATGAGATGGGGCACTCCTTAGTCTGCTTGCCTCTCCCAGGACCCCAGCCTGGCCACACCTGCTTACAGGGCACTCTCGGATGCCCACAGCATAGCTTCCGTGCTAGTGGACCGTAGCTGATCAGTGGAGAGCTGCAGCAAGGTGGCCCCAACAGCCACGCACCAGTCTGCACATTACCTCTCCATGCTGCAGCCCTTTATATGGAAACTTCCTACATCACTTTGCTGTGTGTGTTTACACAGGTGGGTTTTGCTGTACTTGCCCTGACAGCACACGGGAGTGCAGCACACACACCAACCCACACCAACTGCCATTGAAGACAGAGCCTTGGTGGGCACAGAACCAAGAACCCCATCCCTGCCAGCACCTCACCCTTGACCTAATGCTGTGCAGAGAAAAAGGGACATTCTTATACCCTGAGCGACCACTGTTTCTTTGAGGGGCACAGAGAAGGCACCATGGTCTGCACTGGCCAGCAGCTCACCCTGAACCAACACTACCTCCAGTGCAACACACACACAGCAGGGGAGCCCTGGCCCACACCCCAGCTGTCTTGCCTCCACCACTGGGTGAACGCCCGCAGGGAGGAAGGGAATTTTGCATCCACTAGCATTCCGCCACAGTTGCCACACTTCGGTCCCCTCAGTGCAGTGGACTCCAAACCTCGAGGAGCCAGAGAACAAAGTTGGGGCCTAAGACAAGTTCCCTAGAGTTAAAGCACACAGTCCAGGAATTGGGAGCTGCACATTGGCCTCCCCAAAATCCTCCAAAAACAAAGCCAGTTGGTTGAATCCACCTTATACCACAATGAAACCCTCAAGATCATCAAATACAATAAAACAAAAATACCCTGTCCGAAGGTCAGCAACCTCAAAGATGGAAGGTGGATAAGCCCATAAAGATGAGAAAGAATCTGTGTGAGAACACTGAAAACTCAAAAAGTCAGCATGCCTTCTTTCCTCCAAATGACTGCATCAACTCTCCAGCAAGTGTTCAGAACTGGGCTGAGGCTGAGATGTCTGGAATGATACAAGCAGGGTTCAGGATATGCGTAGGAACAAAGTTCACTGAGTGAAAGAAGTATGTTGTCATGCAATACAAGTGAGCTAAAAATCATTGTAAAACATTGCAGGAGCTAACAGACAAAATAGCAAGTATAAAGAAGACATAACCGACCTAATAGAGCTGAAAAGCACACTACAAGAATTTTCATAATGGAGTCACATGGTGATTATGTGTGATTGCATTATGAAAATTATTGTAGTGTGTGTGGGCACCCGATATTGCCCTGTAAGCAGGTGTGGCCAGGCTGGGGTCCTGGGAGAGGCAAGCAGACTAAGGAGGGCTGAGGTCAGAACAGCTCCATCTCATGTGCAAGACCACCCAGCAGAATAGACCAAACAGAGGAAAGAATCCCAGAGCTTGAAAACTGGCTTTCTGAAACAAAACAGGCAGACAAAAATGGAGGAAAAGGAATGAACAAAACATCCGAGAAATATGGGATTATATAAACGACCAAATCTATGACTGATTAATGTACCTGAAAGAGATGAGGAGAATGGAACCAATTTGGAAAACATACTTCAGAATATCCTTCATGAGAATGTCCGAAACCTAGCCAGACAGGCCAACATTCAATTTCAGGAAATCCAGAGGACTTCAGTAAGATATGCCACGAGAATATCATCCCCAAGACATATAATCATCAGATTCTCCAAGGTCAAAATGAAAGAAACAATGTTAAAGGCCGCTAGAGAGTTAAAATGGTTAAAATGAGAGCTAGAGAGTTAAATGGTTAAAAAAAAAGAAAAGAAATTTCAACCCAGAATTTCATGTCCAGCAAAATTAAGCATCATAAGTGAAGGAGAAACAAGACCCTTTTCAGACAAACAAATGCTGGGAGAATTCATTATCACCAGATCTACCTTACAAGTGCTCCTGAATGAAGCACTAAATATGGAAAGAAAAGACCATCACCAGCCACTACAAAAATGCACCGAAGTACACAGACCAGTGATGCTAAAAACCGACCACATACACAAGTCTGCAAAATAACCAGCTGACAGCATGACGACAGGATCCAATCCACACATACCATTACTAACCTTAAATGGAAATGGGCTAAATGCTCTGATTGAAAGACGCAGGGGGGCAAGATGGATAAAGAACCAAGACCCATTTGAGTATGCCGTCTCCAAGAAACCCATCTCACATGCGGTGCCATACATAGGCTCAAAATAAAGGAATGGAGAAAAATCTTTCAAGCAAACGGAAAACAGAAAAAAGCAGGTGTTGCACTCCTAGTTTTGACAAAACGTATATACCAATAAAGATAAAAAAAGACAGAGAAAGACATAAAAAGGTGGTCCTGACCTTTGATAAATCTCATTATTGCTTGATACCAACCTGGGCTATCTTTATTGCCCAAATCAACGGATAATTTGCTGAGGTTGTGGAGCTTCTCCCCTGCAGAGGTTCCCTGATCTCCCAAAATCTGGTTGAGAACTAAGGTTGATTTTGCTGTACAACTCCTTTTCTGAAGTTTTACTCATTTCCAACAAAGAAGGCAAGTTTTCCTGCTTCCATGATGATGGAGAGCAGGCACCTCCTTTCCTGAGTTTCAGCTTGCTTCTGACAGGGAAGGTGAGTGTAAGTTTTTTCCAGCTTCTAAGATGGCAGAGAACGACCACCAGCCTGAGCCTTATTTCCAGGTAAGTAGCTGAATTAGAGTTTTGTCTTAAAATTTTTCCTTAATGAATAAAATTTAAGATTACTCACCAGCTGCTTTTAATTTCTGCTTTTAATTTCTCCTTACCATTAGAACACTCAGTAATCATATGAATTGTGCATTTGTTGTTTTGCTTAACTCTTTGTTTGTTTATGCTTGGGGTTTTATTGTTGTTGTTTCACTTTTCTCCCATCTCTTCCTGACTTGGTCAAATCCAAAGGAATGTTCCAAATTGTAGGGAGCAAGGCCTCTGAATTGGCTAAAACTCCTATGGCTGCAAAAAGAAACAAACAAATAAACAACAACAAAAAGCATTCCAGTTAGCAGAAATTATTTTTTAAACCTTTTTTTTTACGTAAGTGGTCTCATCTACATAAAAAGGTCACCCTTTTGCTAGCCAAGGCCAAACTGAAGGAGTAGCTGTGGTGACCCAATGTGAAGATTCTGCCCTGTTCACTACAGAAACCTGAGTTTGGTTCCTAAGTCTAGTTCTTTCTGTTTGATATTTGTGTTACTTTTAAAACGTCAGCAGTTTGTCCCAGCTATGATGTGGTAGTAAAAGATTCAAAAGGGTTTTCTTTACAAGTTCTATGATTAAAAGCTTAATTAAAAACAAATTTCTTTTTTTTTTAATTATACTTTAAGTTCTGGGGTACATGTGCAGAACATGCAGGTTTGTTACATAGGTATACACATGCCATGGTGGCTTGCTGCATCCATCAACCCATGATCTACATTAGTTATTTCTCCTAATGCCATCCCTCTCCTAGCCCCCCACGCTGACAGGCCCTGGTGTGTGATGTTCCCCTTCCTGTGTCCATGTGTTCCCATTGTTCAACTCCAAGTTATGAGTGAGAACATGTGGTGTTTGGTTTTCTGTTCTTGTGTTAGTTTGCTGAGAATGATGCTTTCCAGCTTCATTCATGTCCCAGCAAAGGACGTGGATTCATCCTTTTTTATGGCTACATAGTATTCCATGGTGTATATATGCCACATTTACTTTATCTAGTCTATCATTGGTGGGCATTTGGGTTGGTTCCAAGTCGTTGGTTTTGTGAAAAGTGCCGCCATAAACAGACAGGTGCATGTGTCTTTATATTAGAATGATTTATAATTTTGGGGGTATATACCCAGTAATGGGATTGCTGGGTCAAATGATATTTCTGGTTGTAGATCCTTGAGGAATTGTCACACTGTCTTCCACAATGGTTGAACTAATTTATATTCACACCAACTGTGTAAAAGCGTTCCTATTTCTCCACATCCTGTCCAGCATCTGTTGTCCCCTGATTTTTTAACGATAGCCATTCTAAGTGCTGTGAGATTGTATCTCATTGTGGTTTTGATTTCTATTTCTCTAATGACCAGTGATGATGTGCTTTGCTTCACATGTTCGTTGGCTGTATAAATGTCTTCTTTGGTAAGTGTCTGTTCATATCCTTTGTCCACTTTTTGATGGGGTTGTTTGTTTTTTTTCTTGTAAGTTTGTTCTTTGTAGATTCTGCATATTAGCCCTTTGTCAGATGGATAGATTGCAACAATTTTCTCCCATTCTGTGGGTTGCCTGTTCACTCTGATAATAGTTTCTTTTGCACAGCAGATACTGTTTAGTTTAGTTAGATCCCATTTGTCAATTTTGGCTTTTGTTGCCATTGCTTTTTGTGTTCTGGTGATGAAGTCTCTGCCCATGGCTCTGTCCTGAATGGTATTGCCTAACACAAGGACATTTCTGTGCCTGAGTGCTATACCACCCAAAGTAATTTATAGATTCATTGCTATCCTAATTAAGCTACCATTGACTTTCTTCATAGAATTAGAAAAACTACTTTAAATTTCATATGGAACCAAAAAAGAGCCCACATAGCCAAGACAATCCTAAGCAAAAACAACAAAGCTAGAGGCATCACAGTACATGACTTCAAATTATTCTACAAGGCTTCAGTAACCAAAACAGCATGGGGCTGGTACCAAATCAGATCTATAGACCAATGGAACAGAACAGAGGCCTCAGAAATGACACCACACATCTAAAACCATCTGATCTTTGACAAACCTGACAAAAACAAGCAATGGGTAAAGGATACCCTATTTAATAAGTGATCTTGGGAAAACTGGCTAGCCTTATGCAGAAAACTGAAACTGGGCCACACCCATACACCTTAAACAAAAATTAAGTAATATGGATGAAAGAGTTAAATGCAAGACCTAAAACAATAAAAAATCTAGAAGAAACCTAGGCCACCAACCTCAGGGAAAATGTACCTGTAGTGAAATGCATGGTACAAACACGCATTCCCTGCTTCCTTGAGTGGGTGACGTTGATGGCTAGTCCAATCACTCCAGGCACACCCTTGCAAACGTGGCTGGTTCCTTTTTGAGCCAGCTTGGCTTTGCCCGGCATGCACAAGTCAGTGCAACAACTGTGACACAAATGGAGCCATACAGAGAAAATGAGCAGCAGGCTCAGGAGCAGGGTGTGCGCTGCCTTGGGGGCTCCAGTCCATGCCTCAAGGCTCATATGGCACTGCGGGCTTCTTGGTTGCAAAGAGGCAGACCACAGGCCATCTTCAGGAGGCCTTTATGTTGAAGTGCAGAAAGCAGCCAGGATTACCACCCGTGGGACTCGGCCTTTTGTGACCCTGGCCTGACAGAGTTTGGCCCAAGGCAGGGCAAGCTCACTCAGAGCAACGTGTCAGTACCTGGGGCCTGTGCATGCCAGTCAAGGCCAGGCTGGCTCAAAGAGCAACCAACCACCTCTGCAAGGGTGTGCCTGGAGCAGGTGGACCAGCCACCAACCTCACCCACTGAAGGAAGCCAGGATGGCCAGGTTTCCACAGCCTGAGTGGCTGCCTCCTGATGGCTGATGGAGCAGAGGCCTGAGGAAAAGCAGGTGGCATGTTTAACTCTTTAATCTATCTTAAGTTAATTTTTGTATAAAGCAGAAGGTACCGGTCCATGCCTCGGGGTTCATATGGCACTGTGGGCCACAGAAGGCTGAGTCCCCTGGGTGGTAATCCTGCCTGCTTTCTGCACTTGAACATAAAGTCCTCCTCAAGACGGCCTGTGGTCTACTTCTCGGCCCCACCTTTAGGGTAGAAGAACTGATGTACCATGTCTGACAGTGAGTGAGGTTGGCGGCTGGTCCACCTGCTCCTGGCACACCTTGCAGAGGTGGCTGCTTGCTCTTTGAGCCAGCTTGGCCTTGCCTGGCATGCACAAGCCTCACTGCAACAAGTGTATAACAAATGGAGCCATAAAGAGGAAATGATCAGCAGGCTCAGGAATGGGGTGTGCACTGCCTTTGTGGCTCCAGTCCATGTCTCAGGGCTCGTATGGCACTGTAGGCTTCTTAGTCGCCAAGAGGCAGACCACAGACGGTGTTGAGGAGGACTTTATGTTCAAGTGCTGAAAGCAGCCAGGATTAGCACCCAGGGAACTCGGCCTTCTGTGGCCCTGGCCAGAGGTAGAATTTGGCCCAACACACTACAAGCTGACCTGGAACAGCATATAGGTAGCTGGGGCCTGTGCATGCCAGGCAAGGCCAAGCTGGATCAAAGAGCAAGCAGCCACCTCTGCAAGGGTGTGCCTGGAGCAGGTGGAGCAACCACCAACCTCACCCACTCAAGGAAGCAGGGATGGCCAGATTCCTACAGCCTGAGGGGCTGCCTCCTGATGGCTGATGGAGCAGAGGCCTGAGGAAAAGCAGATAGCACTGTGGCCCTACCTGTAGGGTAGAAGAACTGATGTACCCCGACCGGCAGCAAGTCAGGTTGGTGGCTGGTCCACCAGCTCCAGGCACACCCTTGCAGAGGTGGCCGGTTGCTTTTTGAGCCAGCTTGGCCTTCCTCAGCATGCACTAGTCAGTGCAACAACTGTGACACAAATGGAGCCACACAGAGAAAATGAGCAGCACGCTCAGGAGCAGGGTGTGCGCTGCCTTGGGGGCTCCAGTCCATGCCTCAAGGCTCATATGGCACTGCGGGCTTCTTGGTTGCAAAGAGGCAGACCACAGACCATCTTCAGGAAGCTTTTATGTTGAAGTGCAGAAAGCAGCCAGGATTACCACCCGTGGGACTCGGCCTTTTGTGGCCCTGGCCTGACAGAATTTGGCCCAAGGCAGGACAAGTTCACTCGGAGCAACGTGTCTGTACCTGGGGCCTGTGCATGCCAGGCAAGGCCAAGCTGGCTCAAAGAACAACCAGAGCATCCATTCTGGTGGATGAGCCAACCACATGGCCAGCTTCTGGGTGTGGGCACAGTGCCACATCTTCCATCACTTTCTGATATATCCCAACACCACTGAAGAGACAGCCTGGAGAGAGTGCAAGAGGAAGGCTGAGAAGGATGAGATGGTGAGTGCTGGCTTCTTTCTGACCCTCAGCACACCCCCACGTGGTGACCATCAACCTTTAGGGGTGGGAGAGCAAGACTGATGGCTTCAAATACTTCCCCAAGAAGATGGGCACAGGCCACTCAGCTCAACCTCACAGGCAATGAGTTGACATGCAAGCAGATGACAGTGACAGGCTTTTAGAAAGAGCTTCAGAAGGCGGCCAGTTTTTCTTCAGCCTCAGCCAGGCCTTGGAACTTGACTAGGCCATCCACTTCACCAGAGATGCCTTCAAGAACATCAGTGAGCTCCTTGCCAATCCGTCCAGGAAGGACCTGGACCCAGCCACGGACCTGTTAGTGCTGTCTCAGGGACACCAGACCAACATCCTGGACATCATCCTCATACACAAGGAAGCTCTTACCACAGTCATGGAGAACAGGCAACATGTGGCAGAAGGGAAGACACAGGTACAGAGGCTGATGGCATCATTATCACAGGAACAGGATTTCTTTGGCCACTTTGGCTGAAATTCACCACTTCCATCCAATCCACTCAAGCGAGAGACTTGAAATCACAGATGGAGCATTTCTTGCAACAGGAGATACTATTTTTTCAAAAAGTCACCTAAAATTTGATAGTGTTGGATGACTAGCTATTCGATTGTGGTCTTTTTCCAGTTCAAGGGTACTTTCTACAGCAGAATGATAACAATATCAAAGAGCTAGTGCCAGCTATCGGTGGTAGTACAAGGATGACTTTGTGCTCAACTGAAACCCAGCTGAATATAGAATTGTGTAGGAAAGTGTTAATATGGTGATAGAACAGAAACAGTAGCAAATGAACTAAATCATACTATGAATGCCTACACTACCATTATAACTTTTTGAAGAATGATAATACCGCTTACTTTATTGCCTTTTGAAGTAGGAATATTTTAGTGGATATGCTATAGACCTGAAACCATATAAAGAATCCCAAAGAAGCTGGCTGGATAAAGCCTGCTATGGATGTCTTTATACACAAAGACTGATGAGGCAATTCGAATATGTGTCCCCACCAAATCTCATGTTGAGTTATGCTTCCTAATGTTGGAGGTGGATCCTGGTATAAGGTGATTGAATCATGAAGGCAAATTTCTCATGAGTGGTTCAGCACTATCCCCTTGGTACTGTCCTCACAATCATGAGTGACTTCTCGTGAGATCTGGCCACTGAAAACTCTATATCACTCCCTACTCTCCGTGATTTCCTCTTGCCATGTGAGACAATTCACTCTTTCATTACCTTGCACAATGATTGAAAGATTTCTGAGGCCCCCCAGAAGCAGAAGCACTAAGCTTCCTGTCCACTCTGCAGAACCATGAGCCAATTAAACCTCTTTTTCAAAATAAATCTTACCAAAAATGGCAAATGAGGACTGGAGCATTGCTATAAAGATACCTGAAAATGTGGAAGCAACTTCGGAACTGGGTAATGGGTAGAGGTTGGAAGAGTTTGGAGGGCTCCAAAGAAGACAGACAGATGAGAACATTTTTGGACTATCTTAGAGACTGGTTAAATGGCTGTGACAAGAATTCTGACAAAAACATGGACAGTGAAGGCCAGGCTGAGGGGGCCTCAGATAAAAATAAGAAGCTTTCTGGAAAATGTCTCCCTTTTGGATATGGAAAGCTTACACAATGCCTGTACCATCATTGTACCTTAGACGCAGTGAACTTGCTTTTTATTTCAGAGACTCGTAGGCAAAAGAGAATGTAGCCTTGACCCAGATGAGACTTTGGACTTTGTAACTTTGAGTTAATGCTGAAATGAGTTAAGACTTTGGGAGACTGCTGGCAAGGCATGACTGTATTTTGCAATGTGAGAAGGACATGAGATTTGTGGGGTCAGGGACAGAATAATACGGTTTTTCTCTATGCCCCTTCCAAAACTCATGTGAAAGTACACTCCCTAATGTTAGAGTTGGGGCCTAGGTGGAAAAAGCTTTAATCATAAAGGAGTGGGAGTGGATCCTTCACAAATGGCAAAGCACCAAGCCCTTAATGCCATCCTCCTGATAGTGAGTGAGTTCTCATGAGATCTAGTAGTTTAAAAGGCTGTGGAACCTCTTTCCTCTCTCTGTCTTGTTCCAACTTCTGCCATATGAAACATGTCATTGCCGCTTGGATTTCCAGTGTGGTTAGGAGGGGCCTGATCAGTGTGGGCCTGGTCAGTGGACCTAGGTCAGTGAGGACTATTTAGTGGGATCGTGGTCAGCAGGGGTCTGCTTACAGAGGGTCTCATTAGTGGGGTCTAGTAGTGGGGGTTTTGGTGAGTGGGGACCTATTGGCTGCCAGTTGTTTGGTGTCTGGTCAGTGCAAACCTGGGCTGTGGGGCTTGATCAGTGGAGACCTGGTCAGCTGGGACTTAGTGCTGGCCTGGTCAGCATGGGCTGGGGCACCGGTGACAAGGTCAAGGGGTGCTATTCAGTGGAGGACTGGGCACATGGGACCTAGTCAGCAGACCCTGGTGGGCGTGTCCTCATCAGTGAGGCCCTTCTCAGTGGGGCCCTGGTCAGGGCAGCCTTGTCAGCGGGACCTAATCTGTAGCGTCCTGGTCAGAGAGGACTTGGTCAGTGGTGACTTTTGTAGCACTGTTCTACAGGATGACCTGGTCAGCGGGGATCTCAGCATTTGGTTCCAGTTCAGTGGGGTCTACTCACTAGGGTCCCAGTCAGGGGCATCTGGTGACCTTAGGCCTGGTTATTAGGGGCCTGATCGGTGGCAACCTGTTCCCTGGAGGCCTGGTCAGTGGGGCCTCATCTTTGGGGCCAGGGAATGAGGTCATGATCAGTGGAACCTGATCAGTGAGGCCTTGTCAATAATGACCTAGTCAGTGAGGACTTGTCAGTAAGGACTTGGTCCCTGAGGCCTTGTCAGTGAGGCCTTGTCAGTAAGGTCCTGGTCAGTGGAGTCCTTGTCATTGTGTGCCTGGCAGTGGGGGCCTTGTTAGTGGGGCCTGGTCATGAGGGTCTAATCAGTGAGTGTGTCATCAGGGATGACCTGATGTGCGGGGTCTGGTCAGCAGGGACCTGGTCAATGTGGGCTGCTGAGCACTGCTTGGATAAGCCAGGTGCAATGTGCATTATTGAAGGCCCTGTGGACAGCTGGGATAGCCCAGTGATGCCCAAGGGCCTAGTCAAAAGTGGACAAAGCACGTGTTTGGATGGACCTGGGAGATCCTGCTCAGAGATTCTGAGAGGACAAAGGTAAAGGAAGGGCCAGAGTGGCTGCAGAGATGGTCACAGTCTATGGGCTGCACAGGATGAAGGAGGCCAGGGAACAGGCAGGGTGGGCAGTTGGGGTTCAGGGAGAGGCAGGTGCATGCTGGGAGGTCAGACCCTGTGAGGGCTTCGGGGGCGTCAGGTTGGGTAGGCTCGAGGCACTCTCACTCACATAGGATTCCATAACACTGCTACAAGGCTCTGAGTGTTTGTCCCTCACATAGGATTCCAGAACACTGCTGCCATTGTCTGAATGTTTGTCCCCCACATAGGATTCCAGAAGCCTGCTGCTGGGGTCTGAATGTTTGTCCCCCATCTAGGATTCCAGAACACTGCTGCGAGGGTCTGAATGTCTGTCCCTCACATATGATTCTAGAACATTGATGCTAGGGTCTGTATGTTTGCCCTTAACATATGATTTCAAAACACTGCTCCTGGATTCTGAATGTTTGACCTTCACATAGGAATACAGAACACTGCTGCTGGAGTCTGAATGGTTGTCACTCACATAGAATTCCAGAACACTGCTGTGAGGATCTGAATGCTTGACCCTCACATGGGATTCCAGAACACTGTTGCGAGGGTCTAAATGTCTGTCCCTCACACAGGTTTCCCGAACAATGTTACGAGGTTCTGAATGTTTGTCCCTAACATAGGATTCCAGAGCACTCCTGCTGTGCTCTGAATGCTTCTCCCTCACATAGGATTCCAGAACACTGCTACGAGGGTCTGAATGCTTATCCCTCATATAGGATTCCAGAACACTTCTGCTGTGGTCTGAATGTTTGCTCCTCACATAGGATTCCAGAATACTCCTGCCGTGGTCTGAATGTTTGTCCCTCACATAGGATTCCAGAACATTCATGCTGGGGTCTCAGTGTTTCCCTTAACATAGGATTTCAGAACACTGCTCTTGGGGTCTGAATGTTTGTCGCTCACATAGGATTACAGAACACTGCTGCTGGAGTCTGAATGTTTGTCAGTCACAGAGAATTCCAGAACACTGCTACAAGGGTGTGAATATTTCTCCCTCACCTAGTATTCCAGAACACTGTTGCAAGGGTCTGAATGTTGGTCCGTCATATAGGATTCCAGAACACTGATGCTGTGGTCTGAATGTTTGTCTCTCACATAGAATTCCGGAACACTGCTACAAGGGTCTGAATGTTTGTCCTTCACATACCATTCCAGAACACTGCTGCCGTGGTCTGAATGTATGTCCCTCACATAGGATTCCAGAACACTGCTACTAGGTTCTGAATGTTTTTCCCACACCTAGGATTCCAGAACACTTCTGCTGGTGTCTGAATGGTTGTTCCTCACGTATGATTCCAGGACACGGCTATGAGAGTCTTAATGTTTGTCCTTCACATAGGATTCTAGAACACTGCTCCCGTGGTCTGAATGTTTGTCCTTCACATAGCATTCCAGAACACTGCTGCTGGGGTCTGAATGTCTGCCCCTCAAATCAGATTCCAGAGCACTGCTGCTGGGGTTTGAATGTCTTTCCCTCACATAGAATTCCAGAACACGGCTGGGAGGGTCTGAATGTTTGTCCCTCACATGGGATACCAGAACACTGCTGCGAGGGTCTAAATGTCTCTCCCTCACATAAGATTTCAGGACACTGCTACGAGGTTCTGAATGTTTGTCCCTCACAAAGGATTCCAGAGCACTCCTGCTGTGGTCTGAATATTTGTCCCTCACATAGGATTCCAGAACACTGCTGCTGGGGTCTGAATGCTTGTCCCTCACATACGATTACAGAACACTGTTGGTGAGGAGTGAATGTTTGTCCCTCACATAGGATACCAGACCACTGCTGTTGGGGTCTCAATGTCTGTCCCTCAAAAAGGATTCCAGAACACTGTTACGAGGGTCTGAATTTTTGTCCCTCACTTAAGACTGCAGAACACTGCTTCGAGGGTCTAAATGTCTGTCCTTCACATAGGATTCCAGAACACTGCTACGAGGGTCTGAATGTTTGTCCTTCACATAGCATTTCAGAACTGCCATGGTCTGAATGGTTGTCCCTCACATAGTATTCCAGAACACTGCTATGAGGGTCTGAATGTTTGTACCTCACATAGGATTCCAGAACACTGCTACGAGGGTCTGAAAGTTTGTCCCTCACATAGGATTCCAGAAGACTGCTGCTGGGGTCTGAATGTCTGTCCCTCACATCGGATTCCAGAACACTGCTGCTGGGGTTTGAATGTATGTCCCTCACATAGAATTCCAGAAGACTGCTGGGAGAGTCTGAATGTTTGTCCCTCACATAGGATTCCAGAACACTGCTATGAGGGTCTGAATGTTTGTCCTTCACATAGGATTCCAGAACACTCCTTCTGGGGTCTGAATGTTTGTCCTTCACATAGGATTCCAGAGCACTCCTGCTGTGGTCTCAATGTTTGTTAATCACATAGGATTCCAGAACACTGCTACAAGGATCTGAATGTTTGTCCCTCACATAGGATTCCAGAATACTCCTGCTATGGTCTCAATGCTTGTCCCTCACATAGGATTCCAGAACATTCATGTTGGGGTCTGAATGTTTGCCCTTATCATAGGATTTCAGAACAGTGCTCCTGGGGTCTGAATGTTTGTCCTTCATATAGGATTTAAGAACACTCCTGTTTTGGTCTGAAAGTTTGTCCCTCACATAGGATTCCAGAACTCTCTTGCTGTGGTCTGAAAGTTTGTCCTTCACATAGGATTCCAGAACACTGCTGCTGTGGTTTGAATGTTTGTCCCTCACATAAGATTCCAGAACACTGCTACGAGGGTCTGAATGTTTGTCCCTCACATAGGATTCCTGAGCATTGTTGCCGTGGTCTGAATTTTTGCCACTCACATAGGATTCCAGAACAGTGCTACGAGGGTCTGAATGTTTGTCCCTCACATAGGATTCCAGAAAACTTCTGCTGGTATCTGAATGTTTGTACCTCACATAGGATTCCAGAACACTGCTGCTGGGGTCTGAACGTCTGTCCCTCACATAGGATTCTAGAACACTGCTGTTGGGGTTTGAATGTCCCTCACATAGAATTCCAGAACACTGCTGCGAGTGTCTGAATGTTTGTCCTGCAGATGGGATTCTAGAACACTGCTGCGAGGGTCTAAATGTCTGTCCCTGACATAACATTCCAGCACACTGCTACGAGGTTTTGAAATGTTTGTCCCTCACATAGGATTCCAGAACATTCCTGCTGTGGTCTGATTGTTCCTCACATAGGATTCCAGAACACTGCTACGAGGTTCTGAATTTTTGTCCCTCACATAGGATTGCAGAACACTGCTACAAGGGTTTGAAAGTTTTTCCCTCACATAGGATTCCACAACACTACTGCTGGGGTCTGAATGTTTGTCCCTCACATAGGATTCTGGAACACTCCAGCTGGCTTCTGAGTGTTTGTCCCTCACATAGGATTCCTGAAGACTGCTGCTGTCACTATAGTCGTTGCGAGTGTCTGAATGTTTGTCCTTCACCAAACACTAAATATCCTGCCCCTTTAGTCTTGGACTTCCCAGCCTCCAGATCTGTGAGCAATAATCTCTGTTGTTTATGAATTACTCAGTCTAAAGTATTTTGTTATAGTAGCCTAAAAAGACTAAGAGAGCATCACCTGCCCTGTCACCTCATCACCGCATTACTAAAGCTATACTAACAGCAGTCACTTTTAGTGGGTGCTTCATGCATGAGAATAAAGGGAAAAAATTGAAAGGCATACTAAAATCCAAAAAAAGAAAAAAAATACAATTTGTATCAACAGAGCAAGCTTCAGAAGCAGACAAAGATATGATTTTGGAATTTTTGTAAACCTCTGGAGAATATGCTAAGGGCCTAATGAATGAAGTAGACAGCATTCAAGTATAGACGGGTAATGTAATCAGAAAGACAGACATCGTAAGGACCTTCAACATAATGTAGTGGTAAAAAATGTGGTAAATAACTGAAGAATACCTCTGATGGCTTATTAGTAGACTGGACTCAGCTGAGTAAATAATCTCTGAGCTTGAGGATTTATCATCAGAAACTTCGAAAACTAAAGAAAAGAAACACTGAAAAGAACAGAAGATGATATCCAAGACTGTGGGACAACTACAAGAGGTGAAACAGAGTAATGAGAATACCAGGAGGAGAAGAAATAGAAGAAAGTTCTGCAACAACCATGTCTGAGAACTTCCAGTATTAATGTCAGACACCAAACCAAAGATCCAGGAAGCTCCGAGAACACCAGGCAGAATAAATGCCAACAACCTACACTTGGACATATAATTTTCAAACTATATGAAATAAAAGATAAAGGGAAACTCTGAAAGAAACCAGAGGTGGGGCAGAAAACACCTTACCTACAGAGACACAAAGATAAGAACTGCATTCAACATTGCAGAAACTGTGAAAGCAAGAAGACAGTGAAATGAAAAATTCAAAATGTTGACAGAAAAAAACCCACCAACCTAAGTTTCTGTACCCACTGAAAACTCCCTTCAAAAGTGAAGGAGAATTAAGGCCTTCCTCAGAAAAATAAAAATTCAAGAAACTTGTTGCCAGGAGACCTGTCTTGCAAGAAATGTTAAATGAAATTCTTTAGAGGGAAACAAAAGATATATAACTGAAACTTTGATCAACATTTTTAAAAAAGAGCATTAAAGAATTGTGGTACAATAAAAACCTATGTATTTATTCTTAATTGATCTGACCAAGAAGTTCATAGACAATAACAAATACACACATATAGATTATGTATGCTTATACACAAGTTAAATGAGTAACACTAATACAAGGAATGGAATGGAAGGATGGGAGGGAGGAATTGTGGTACAATAAAAACATGTATTTATTCATAATTGATCTGACCAATAAGTTTGTAGATAATAATAAATACACACAGATAGATTATGTATGCTTATACACAAGTGAAATAAGGAACAATACAAGGAATGGAATGGAAGGATGGGAGGGAGGAATCAGGTGTTTTCTTTGTTAAGCAGGTAGTCACCCGTGAAGTGGGATAGTGTTATCTGAAAGTGGACTTGAATTGGTTGTAAATGTATATTGAGGAATTAGGTGTGTTCTTTGTTAAGCAGGTAGTCTTATTTGTGGGATAGTGGGATAGTGTTATTTGAAAGTGGACTTGCATTGGTTGTAAATGTTACTGAGGAATTAGGTGTTTTGTTTGTTAAGCAGGTAGTCTTATTTGTGGGATAGTTGGATAGTGTTATTTGAAAGTGGACTTGAATTGGTTGTAAATGTATATTGCAAATTCTGTGGCAACTAGTTAAAAAAGTTTTAAAAAGAGAAGTACATGCTAAGAAAGACAGGGAAAATGTAGTCATCTAAAATCATCAATGAAAACTGCAAAAGGCAGAAAAAGAGTGGTAGACAAAAGAATGGAGACTGAGGAGAATAAATAGAAAACAGTAACAAATATAGTAGATATTAATCCAATGATATCAATAATCACTTTGAATGCTAATGGTATGAATGTACCAATTCAAAGATAGAGATTGTCAGAGTCTATCAAAAGACAGACACATCTTGTTTCACTGCACTTTGCTTTATTGTGTTTTGTGACCATGTGTTTTACATATTGAAGGTTTGTGACCACCCTGCAATAAGCAGGTCTGACTGGCACCATTGTTCCTACAGCACGTGCTCACTTCACGTCTCTGTGTCACATTTCGGTCATTCTCACAGTATTTTAAGCTTTTTATTATTGAATCTGTTGTGGTGATCTGTAATCAGTGATCTTTAATGTTACTGTTGTCATTTTGGGAACCACAAATCACACCAGGATAAGACAGCAAACAATTGACAAATGCGTTTGTTCTGACTGCCCCATCAACGGGCCATTTCTCTTTCTCTCTCTTTTTCTCAGGCTTCTTTTTATTAATATTAAAATGTGGCCAATTAATAACCCTACAATAGCCTCTATATGTTCAAGTGAAAGAAGAGTTGTATGTCTGTCACTTTAAACCAAAAGGAAGAAATAATTAAGCTTAGTGAGGAAGGCATGCTGTAAGCAAGACAGGCCAGTAGCTAGACCTCATGCAACAAACACTTAGCCAAGTTGTGAATGCAAAGGAAGTGTTCTGGAAAGAAATTTAAAGTACTACTCCAGTGAATACATGAATGATAAAAAGCTAAACAATCTTGCTGCTGTTATGAAGAAAGTTTAATTGATCTACATAGAAGATAAAAAAAATTCCATTAAGCCTAAGCCTAACTAACTTTTTACTTTTTTCTTTGTTTTTGAGACAGAGTTTCATTTTTCTTGCCCAAGCTGGAGTACAATGGCGTGATCTTGGCTTATCGCAACCTCTGCCTCCCAAGTTCAAGCTCTCCTGCCTCAGCATCCCGAGTAGCTGGGATTACAGGCATGCACCACCACGCCTGGCTAATTTTTTGTATTTTTAGTAGAGACGGGGTTTCTCCACGTTGGTCAGACTGGTGTCGAACTCCCGACCTCAGGTGATCTGCCCGCCTCGGCCTCCCAAAGTGCTAGGATTACAGGTGTGACAGCCACCACACCTGGCCTCTCTTCAATTCTATGAAGACTTAGAGAGGTGAGGTAGCTGCAGAAGAAAAGTCTGAAGCTAGAAGAGCTTGTTTCTTGAGGTTTAAGGAAAAAAGTCATCTCCATAACATAAAAGTGCAAGATAAAGCAGCAAGTACTGATGGAAAAGCTGCAGAAAGCTATCTAGAAGATAATTGATTAAGATGGCTACACTAAACAGATTTGCAATGGAGACAAAACAGCCTTCTACTAGAAGGAGATGCCATCCAGGATGTTCCCAGCTAGAGAGAAGTTGATGCCTGGATTTAAGGCTTCAAAGGACATGCTGACTCTTTTATTAAGGCCTAATGCAGTTGGTGATGTTAACTTGAAACCAATGATGATTTACTATTCTGAAAATCCAAGGGCCCTGAAGAATTATGATAAAACGCAGCTCTGCTTGTACTCTACAAATGGGAACAAAGCCTGGATGACAGACTATCGGTTTACAAATATGGTTTATTGAATATCTTAAGCCCACTGTCGACAACTACTGCTCAAGAAATAAGATTCCTTTCAAAGTATTACCGCTCACTGACAATGCCCCTGGTACTCAAGGGCTTTTACAGAGATGTATAAAGAGCTGAATATTGTTTTCATGCCTACTAACCCAACATTCATTCTGGTGCCCTTGGATCAAAGAATAATTTCAACTTTCAAGTCTTATCACTTAAAAAATATATTTCATAAAGCTATAGCTTCTCTAGAAAGTGGTTCCTTTGATGGATCTGGGCAAAATAATTGAAAACCTACTGGAAAGGATTCACCATTCTAGATGCCATTGAGAACATTCATGATTTAAAAAAGAAGATCAAAATAGCAACATTAGGAGAAGTTGGGGCTGGGCTTGGTGGTTCACGCCTATAATCCCAGCACTTTGGGAGGCCAAGGCACGTGGATCATGAGGTCAGGAATTTGAGACCAGCCTGGCCAACATAGTGAAATCCTGTCTATACTATAAACAGAAAAAAAATTAGCTGGGCCTGGTCGGGGGTGACTGTAATCCCAAACACTTGGGAGGCTGAGGCAGGAGAATTGCTTGAATACGGGAGGTGGAGGTTGCAGTGAGCTGAGATCGCATCACTGCACTCCAGCCCAGGCAAGACTTCATCTCAAAAAAATAAAAGAAAGAGAGAGAAGTTGGGAAGATTATTCCAACCCTCACTGATGACACAGGGGTTCACGACTTCTGTGGAGGAAGTAACTGCAGATATGGTGGAAATAACAAGAGCACTAGAATCAGAGACAGAGCCTGAAGATCTGGCGAGACTGCAGCAGCCTCTGGAGAAAACGTGAGTGGGTGAGTTGCTTCCACGGATGAGCAAAGAAAGTGGTTTCTTGAGATGAAATCTACTCGTGGTGAAGACAGTGTAAACAATGTTGAGATGACAACAGATTTAGAATAAACTTGGTACAGCAGAAGGAAGGCTTGACAGGATTGAACCCAATGATTTACAATAATACATAAACTTAGTTGGTACAGCAGTACGAAGTTTTGACAGCATTGAATCCAATTTTGAAAGTTCTACTGTGGGTAAAAAGCTATCATCTTATGCTACAGATAATTCTTTTGTGAAAGGGAGAGTCAATTGACACAGCAAACTTCAATGTTGTCTTATTTTAAGAAATTGCCACAGCCACCCCAACGCTCAGCAACCACCACCTTACATTAAGGTAAGACCCTCCATCAGCAAGAAGACTGAAACTTGGCCAGGTGCAGTGGCTCACACCTGTCATCCCAACACCTTGGGAGGCCAAGGTGGGTGGATTGCTTGAGCCCAGGACATCAAGGCAACATGGCAAAACCCCATCTCTACAAAAAAAGAAAATACAAAAATTAGCTGGACACGGTGGCATGCACCTGTAGTCCCAGCTAGTCAGGAGTCTGAGGTGGGGGTTTGATTGAGCATGAGGTTGAGGCTGCAATTACTCCAGCCTGAGCCACAGAGTAAAACCCTGTCACGAACACAAAAAAAGATTGCAGCTTTCTGAAGGCTCAGATGACTGTTAGCACTTGTTAACAATAAAGTATTTGTAAATTAAAGTGTGCATACTTTGTAGACATATGCTATTGCACACTTTATACAGCACAGTATAAACATACTTTTACATGCACTGGGAAACCAAAAGAAATTGTATAAAACTTTATTGCAGTGGTCTGGAACCAAACCCACATATATCTCTGATGCATGGACGTCCTGTATTGTACACTTAAAAAAATACTTAAGAGGGTATATTTTATGTGAAATGGTCATCTCATTTTTTTTTTTTGAGACGGAGTCACACTCTGTTGCCCAGGCTGGAGTGCAGTGGCACGATCTCGGCTCTCTGCAAGCTCTGCCTCCCGAGTTCACACCATTATCCTGCCTCAGTCTCCCAAGTAGCTGGGACTACAGGTGCCCGCCATCACGCCTGGCTAAATTTCTGTATTTTTAGTAGAAACGGGGTTTCACTGTGTTAGCCAGGATGGTCTTGATCTCCTGACCTCGTGATCCACCTGCCTTGGCCTCCCAAAGTGCTGGGATTACAGGCGTGAGCCGCCACTCCCGGTCTCATTTTTTAAAAAGGGTGAGAATGAGAAATATATGGGGAGTGATTGTCAAGTTTACGGCATTATTTGTTGTGATGAGACCTGGGGCGAATACTTATCCCTATACTCATTAAGATGTATATATTCGGTGTCACACGCCTGTAATCCCAGCACTTTGGGAGGCCGAGGCAGGTGGATCATCTGAGGTCAGGGGTTCGAGACCAGCCTGGCCAACATGGTGAAACCCTGTCTCTACTAAAAAAATACAAAAATTAGCCAGGCGTGGGGGCGCAAGCCTGTGATCCCAGCTACTCAGGAGGCTGAGGCAGGAGAATTGCTTGAACCCGGGAGGCGGAGGCTGCAGTTAGCTGAGATCGTGTCACTGCACTCCAGCCTGGGCAACAAGAGTAAAACCTCCGTAACACACACACACACACACACACACACACACACACAAGGTATATATTAAATATGTGTAATTTTTGTGTGTCAACCACACCTTAGCTTTATTTTATTTTATTTTTTTGAGACAGAGTCTCTCTCTGTCACCCAGGCTGGAGTCCAGTGGTGCAATCTCGGCTCACTGCAAGCTCCACCTACCAGGTTCACACCATTCTCCTGCCTCAACCTCCGGAGTAGCTGGAACTACAGGCACCCGCCACCACGCCCGGCTAATTTTTTGTATTTTTAGTAGAGATGGCGTTTCACCGTGTTAGCCCGTATGGTCTCGATCTCCTGACGTGATCTGCCTGCCTCAGCTTCCCAAAGTGCTGCGATTACAGGTGTGAGCCACCACGCCCAGACAATTTTTATTTTTTTGAGACAGAGCCTCACTCTGTCACCCAGGCTGGAGTGCAGTGGCAGTATCTTGGCTCACTGCAACCTCTGCCTCCCATGTTCAAGCAATTCTCCTGCCTCAGTCTCCCGAGTAGCTGGGAATACAGATGCATGCTATCACGCCTGGCTAATTTTTTGATTTTTAATAGAGATGAGGTTTCACCATGTTGGCCAGGCTGGCCTCAAACTCCTGACCTCATGTGATCTGCCCACCTCAGCCTCCCAAAGTGCTGGGATTACAGGTGTAAGCCACTGCACCCAGCAATTTTTAAATATATATAATTAAAAATTAATAAAAAACAGGTATTTGCAAGGTTCTGTTTAGTTATATGCTTATTATTCTTTATCTTTATGTCAGGTTGCTGTGTCAATACACTTAGGAGATCATAGTTTCTAAATTGAAATACAAATAAATATGTCTGAAATTTTTTTTTCTTTTTTTTTGAGACGGACTCTCATTCTGTCACCCAGGCTGGAGTGCAGTGGTGCAATCTCAGCTCACTGCAACCTCCGCCTCCCAGATTCAAGTGATTCTCCTGCCTCAGCCTCCAGAGTAGCTGGGATTACAGGCAACCGCCATGACACGCAGCTAACTTTTATATATTTTTTTTCTATTTTTAGTAAAGACAGGTTTCACTATGTTGGCCAGGGTGGTCTCCAACTCCTGACCTCAGATGATCCTCCCGCCTCGGCCTCCTCAAGTGCTGGGATTACAGGTGTGAGCCACTGTGCCTGGCCTGGAATTTTTTTCTAAAATTTACATTTCTGAGTTAAGAATGCTTAAAATATTATAAAAACAGAAGCACAATTCATTATGTGTTTCATTAATTACCTTTATTAAAAACAACACAATTATATTACAATAGGACAAAAAATGTTTAAGCAAATGAAAACGAAACCATGACATACCCAAACTCAGGAGGAGGCAACAAAGGCAGTGCTAAAGGGAAGCTTACAGCTGCAGATGCTTAAATTAAAAAGAAGAAAGATCTCAAACCCATGCTAAAGGGAAGCTTACAGCTGCAGATCCTTAAATTAAAAAGAAGAAAGATCTCAAACCCGTGCTAAAGGGAAGTTTACAGCTGCAGATGCTTAAATTAAAAAGAAGAAAGATCTCAAACCCTTGCTAAAGGGAAGCTTATAGCTGCCGGTGCTTAAATTAAAAAGAAGAAAGATCTCAAATCAATAACCTAACATTACACCTGAAGAAGGAAAAAAAAAACTAATGACAATCCAAGCAAAAGGAAGAAAATAACAGATTACAGCAGAGATAAGCAGAATAAGACCAGAAAAAAAGGAAAAAAAACACTGAGTTTGTTTTTTTAAAGATCAATAAAAATTTTAAAACTCACAGCTATATTAAGAAAAAAAGAGAAATCTCAAATACTACAATCATAAATAAAAGAGTTGACAGTACAACACATGCCACAGAAATGAAAAAGATTACAAGACACTAATGTGAGCAACCATATGCCACCAAACTGGGCAACCTAGAATAAATTTATAAATTCCTAGAAACACAAACCACCATACTGCATCACGGAGAAATAAAAAATCCAAAGAGACCTGTAACTAGTAAGAAGATTCAACCAGTAATCAAAAACCCCACCAAAAAGAAAATTCCAGGTCCAGATAACTTCACTGGAAAATTTTACCAAACATTTCAAGAAGAATTAATTCCAATCCTCTGCAAAATCTTCCAAAAATGTTCAAAAAACCAGAAGGGGACATTCCAATCCATTCTATCAGGTCAACATTTATCTGGTTCCAGAGCCAGATGAACACCTTTTGTAATAAAAACACTCAAAGAATTAGTAATATATGGAAACTCCTCAGTAAATAAAGATTATACATGAAAAGCTCACAGCTAACATCATACTCAATCGTGAAAAACTAAAATCTTTTCCTCTAGGATCAGGAATAAGATAGCAACTTCTCTTCCTGCCACTTCTATTCACCACAGCACTGGAATTTCTACTTAGAATAATTAGGCAAGAGAAAGTAATAAAAACATGCCGATCGGAAAGGAAAAAGTACAAAATTTTGTTCACAGACAACAAGATGTAATGTGTAAAAATTCTGAAATTCCACAAAATACTGGTAGAATAATGAAATTCAACAAAGTTTCAGGATATGGTAACACTCTCAAGTCAGTTGCATTTCTATAAACTAACAATGAACAATCTGCAAATAAAATTTTAAAAAGAGGCCAGGTGCAGTGGCTCACACTTGTAATCCCAGCACTTTGGGAGGCCAAGGCGGGTGGACCACCTGAGGTCAGGAGTTCGTGACCAGCTGGGCCAACCCCATCTCTAATATAAATAGTAAAACTCTATCTCTATTAAAAATACAAAAATTAGCTGGGCATAGTGGCAGACACCTGTAGTCCCAGCTACTTGGGATGCTGAGGCAGGAGAATTGCTTGAACTTGGAAGTTGGAGGTTGCAGTCAGCTGAGATTGTGCCACTGTGCTCCAACTTAGGAAACAGAGTGAGACGCGGTCTCAAAAAAAGAAAGAAAGGAAAGAAAGAGAGAGAAAGAAAAGAAAAGAAAAGAATAGAAAAGAAAGAGAAAACAAAAGAAATTTTTAAAAAGAATGACATTTGGCCAGGTGCGGTGGTTCATGCCAGCAATCCCAGCAGTTTGGGAGGCCGAGGCGGGCAGATCACCTGAGGTCACAAGTTCAAGACTAACCTGGTCAACATGGAGAAACCCTGTCTCTACTAAAAATACCAAAAAGTTAGCTGGGCGTGGTGGCGTGCACCTGTGATCCCAGGTACTTGAGAGGCTGACGTTGGAGAATTGCTTGAATAAGGAAGGTGCAGGTTGCAGTGACCTGAGATAGTGCCACTGCACTCCAGCCTGGGAGACAGAGCAAGACTCCATCTCAAAAAAAAAAAAAAAAAAAGAATTACATTTACAAAAGCATTAAAAAAATTAGAGGCTGGGCGCGGTGGCTCACGCCTGTAATCTCAGCACTTTGGGAGGCTGAGGCGGGCGGATCACGAGGTCAGGAGATCAAGACCATGTTGGCTAACACGGTGAAACCCCGTCTCTACTAAAAATACAAAAAATTAGCCGGGTGCCTTGGCGGGCGCCTGTAGTCCCAGCTACTCGGGAGGCTGAGGCAGGAGAATGGCGTGAACCCGGGAGTCGGAGCTTGCAGTGAGCTGAGATCGCGCCACGCCACTGCAGTCCGGCCTGGGCGAAAGAGTGAGACTCTGTCTTAAAAAAAAAAAAAAAAAAAAAAAAAAATTAGAAATAAGCTTAACCAAGAGGGCAAAAGATTTGAACACAGAAAACTACAAAACACTGTTGAAAGAAATTAAACACAAATAAATGAAAAGAAAAGCTGGGTTTGCAGATTAGATGATTTCATCTTGGAATGATGTCAACACTACTCGAAGTGACCTAGATTCAATACAATCCTTATAAAGATTCCAATGACATTTTTGATAAACAGAAAAACCTATCCTAAAATTCATATGGAATCTCCAGGGCCCATGAATAGGCAAATCGATCTTGAAACAGAACAAAATTAAAGGTCTCAAAACAATTACAAAACTGCAATAAGCCAAAAAAAAATGTGGTCATGGCATAAATACACTCTTGACACACTTATGGACCAACACAACAGAGACCTCAGAAACCAACCCTGGCATATATGGTCCGATGATCTTCCACAAGGATGCCAAGACCACTCAATGGTGAAGGACAGTTTCTGCAACAAATTGTGTTGGGAAAATTTTATATCTACATGCAAAACAGTGAAGTTGGACTCTTACCTTATAACACGTTAAAATTAATTCAAAGTGAATTATAAACCTAAATGTAAAACTAGAACTATCAAACTCCTAGGGAAAACAAATTTGGAAAATGCTTTATGACGATGAATTTGTCAATAATTTTTAGGATATGACATTAAAAGCTCAGGCAGTAAAAGCAAAAATATATCAAACCTAAAAACTTCTGTACCTCAAAGGTCACAACCAACAGGGTAAAAGGCAAACTGTAGAATAAATAAAATGCCAGTTGAGAGTTCCTTATTTGAAATGCTTGGGATGTGTTTCAGATTTTGTAATATTTGCACTATTCTTACTGGTTGAGCATTTCGAATTCAAACACCTGAGTCTGAGATGCTCCAATAAGCATTTCCTTTGAGTGTCATGTTGGCACTCTAAAAGTTTCAGACTTTGGAGCATTTGGGATTTCAGATTTTTGGATCAGAGACATTCAACCTATAGTTGCTCATCATGTATCTCATAAGAAGTGAACATACAGAATACGTAAAGAACTCCTACAGAGAGACTACCAGAAGCAGAGAGGAGCAAACACATTTTCACACTAGGGCACCTCCTATCTCTCCTGGATTCCAATTAGGGCAGAGTAAGTGCTAGTTCTCTGCCAACCTAGGATTAGGCCCTGCAGCTGCAGTGAAAATAATCACAGAAGAAAACTAAGAAATAAAAAATGGAGAAAGTGAGACATCAAACTAGAATTACTAGAAACCCCTAGGAAGAAGGAAAAAAAAAACAAAACAGAAAAACAATCAAACCAGTTAATTAAACCTTGGTGTGACCAGAAGATCAGGGTTTCCTAAAGGAGTGGAAATTTATTGACTTGAAGAGTATTTATTGATTACTGATTTGAAGAGGAAGAAAAACCATGAATGGTCTAAAGCAAAAGCCTAGTGTCTGAAGAAGTCAGTAGGGTGAAAACAAGAGCTGGCCAGAATGTCCACAGATGGTGACAAGTTTGCAAAGCCTTTACTAGACTACTTGTGAGGCTAACTAGAGGCCAAGGAGCCAACACTGCCCCTGTCCTTACAGAGAGACCCTACAGAGGATTCCCAGATATACATGGAAGGACAACATCTTGTCAGGTCCTCTCTGTGCAGATGTGGTTATCATTCCAAATAATGAGCTCCAGCCCCAAGACTGTTCCATCCTCAATTGCTTTGAGTGGGCAAAGTAGGCTCTCCACACATGAGCTACATGTAGGTTCCTTGGGTACCCAGATGGGAGCCGTGAAACGCAAACCTTCCATGGTCAGGTCCGTATCTGTTTCCTGCCTTTTCCCCAGCAATCCCCAGGCCTCAGCAGCAGTGGTCTACCTCTGCTGATTCTCATTCAGAATCTAAACTTAGAAACAATTAGAACCTAGACCCCAATTCTATCTGAAAGTAACAGAATAACATAATCTATACCCTGCAGCATGACTGTTTGCCCAACGTAATGAGGATGAACTGAGAGATAATGAATGACCATGACCCTGGCCCAAGTAACAAGAATGAACTGTGAGATAAATGAATGATCATGACCAAAAAACCCCACTACAACACAACAACAAAATAAAGTGATTAAAAAATGGACAAAGAACATTTATCCAAAGATGCAAAGATGATATAAAAATAGCCAACAGATACATGAGATATATGAGAAGATGTGTAACATCACTAGTCATTAAAGAAATGCAAATAGAAACCACAATGGGACATCACTTCTAACCCAACAGAAAGTAACAAGTGCAGGTGAAACTGAAACCCTTGAACACTGTTGGTGGAAATATGAACTGGCTCCTCACAAAAAATAAAATAAAATGACCATATGATCCAGGCATCCAACTTCTACAGAGACAGAATAACTAGTAGCAGGAACTCCAACAGATATGTGCACACCTGTGTTCACAGGAGCATTACACAGCCACAAGTGGAAGAAACCAAAACGTCCATCCAGGAATAGATGGATAAACAAAAGGATATATATATAGAGAGAGAGAGAGAGAGAAAATATATATATATATATGAAGAAATATTATTCAGCCATAGAAAGGAAGAAAATCCTGACACATCTGACATATAACATGGAACCTACTTACAAAACAACAAATATTATAT
The DNA here is from genome assembly GCF_000001405.40 of Homo sapiens. Taxonomy (NCBI): domain Eukaryota; kingdom Metazoa; phylum Chordata; class Mammalia; order Primates; family Hominidae; genus Homo; species Homo sapiens. The sequence goes on along the minus strand of NC_000004.12, from coordinate 49,184,496 downwards.
AACCCTAGGTATATAAGCCAAAGTTTTAGAAACACAAAGTAGAATAGTACTTGCCAGGAGGTGGAAGGAAGGGGGAATTAATAGTTGTTGAATGGGTATAGAGTTTTCCAAGATAAAAAAAAAAATCTAGAAATCTGCTACACAACACTGTAAATATTCTTAACTCTACAAAACTGTACACTTACAACTGGTTATGATGGTAAATTTTAAGGTATGTGTTTGTTACCAAAATTAGAAATAATAAATTATTTATAAAAAATGATATTTTTTGACACAGGATCTTACTCTGTTGCCCTGGCAGGAGTGCAATGGCATGATCACAGCTCATTGCAGCCTCAGCCTCCCAGGCTCAAGCAACCCTCCCACCTGAGCCTCCCGAATAGTTGGGACTACAGGTGCACACCAAGATGTCAGGCTAAAGTTTGGTTTGGTTTTTTGTAGAGAGGGTTTTCCCATGTTGCCCAGGCTGGTCTCAACCTCCTGGGCTCAAGCAATCCACCTCCCTTGGACTCCCACAGAGCTGAGATTACGAGCATAAGCCAACATGCCCAGCCTATAAAAAATTATTTCAAAAAGCCAAAAGATTAATCAAACTGGAATATTTAGAAATATTTAACCCAAAAGAAGTTAGGAAAGAATATATAGAAGATCAAAAGACAGACGAAGACCAGGCATGGTGGCTCATGCTTGTAATCTGAACAATTTGGGAGGCCAAGGTGGGTAGGTTGCTTGAGCTAAGGAGTTCAAGACCAGCCTGTGCAACATGGCAAAACTCTATCTCTACAAAAAATATAAAAATTAGCCAGGTGTGGTGCCATGCACCTGTAGTCCCAGCTACTCAGGGGGATCAAGTGAGGATTGGTTGGGCCTGGGAGGCAGAGGTTGCAGCGAGCCAAGATTGCACCATTGCACTACAGTCTGGGTGACAGAGCAAGACCCTGTCTTAAAAATAATAAACAAACAAATAGAAAATAACTAGAAAAATGGCAGACCTAAATCCAACCTTAGCAATGATTAGTTACAATGTAACTGGACAAATACTCTACTTAAGACAGAGACTGCCAGACCTGAGAGGAAGGCAAGACCCAACAATATGGCATCCACAGAGACACAATTTAAACACAAAGACACAAACAAAGTATGAGAAAAAATATGCTATGCAGACACTAATCATAAAAATATGCTATCCAGACACTAATCATAAAAAGCTTCAACAGAGATGTTAACACTAGATGAAAGAGGCTTCAGAGCAAAATATATCACCAGAAATAAACAGGGTAATTTAATAAAAATAAAAGAATCAGAGACGATGATGTTACAATTAAAAATTGTGCCTCAAAATGCACACAAAGTACACACACACACACAACCTCAAAGTATGTGAATCAAAAACAACAGAACAAAAGCAGGAAATTGACAATGCAAAATTATAGCTGGTGAATTAATACTGCTCTCTCAGTAACTGATGGGACAACCAGATAAAAATATTGGAAAAATATGGATCTAAATGACAAAATCCTGACCCAAATGGTACTTGGCAGTACCAAGATAGACTGTATGTCGATCGATTGAGAAAAGGTTCAAGCCTGAAATACTATACAAAGGATGTTGTCTGAACACTTGAAATTAAATTAGAAACCAACAACAAATTGATAACCAGAAAAGCCTCAAATGTCTGAAAACCAAGTAATAAACTTTGAAATACCCTGTGAGTCAAAAAAGTATTCACAAGGGGAACTGGAATGTATTTGGAACAAACTTGTTATAAAAATCTCATTTCTGGTAGACTAAAGGTGACAACTTCTTTCCTGCTCCTCTCTCTGTGAGGACCAATTCCCCTTAAACCTTGACCAAACTACTGACTTATTTGGCCAACAGAAGGTGACAAAGGTGGTATTTGGGGACTTCAGAAGCCAGGCTGAGAAAACAGAACACTTATCCAGGAGAAAGCCAGTCACCAGGCAGGAAATCCCACTCCCCTGAGACCTCATGATGGAAACCACACGGCCAGTCCATGACTAGCTACATGCATTGACATCCCCCACTGAGCCTCCAGCAACACCGACTCCCAACAACTAGTGAGCCTCCAGCAACATCCACTCCCAACCGCTAGTGAGCCACCCTGCACACCACCTCACTGTGCTTTCACACAATCCAGCTTGGCTGCAACTGTGTGTGAGATGAGCTGACCACCAAGACTCTCTAAGCCAAAAAACAAGTAATAATGAGTTGTTTTAAGCTGCCAAGTTTTGGGGATGGTTTCTTCAGAATAGATAACTGGAACAGAATATGACAGCTGGAAATGAGCTGCTGTGGTAATCAGAAGCTACAATATGTGACACGACTGTGAGGCTGATCTGTAACTGGGCCTCAAGGAGACCATTCATGCAACCTGGAAGAGCATCAAGACACTTGGTCAGGGCCTGAAGGACGGTGAGAAAATGTCATTGGAAACTGGAGAAAAGGCCTGAGAGTTACATGCTGAGGGACTGTGGGAAAACTATGGCCACAACATGGAAACTGAAAGGGCACTGCACCATCTCAGGGATCTGCCTAAGGAGACATCTGGGAAGAACATGGAAAGTGCTACCAGCCTCCCCTAACTGTCACTGAATAAATATGACAGGAGAGGGACATGATCTAAAGAAGAAGGTTCAGTTTTCAAACAGAATTTAGAGAAAATATAAAGAAATAATTTCTTGTCTCAAAAGGCCAAAGTAAAAAAAAAAAAAAAAAGAAAAGAAAAGGAAAAAAAATGAAAAAGAAGCCATTGAATACCCTATTGACCATAAGAAAAAGGCAGGGAAAGTTGGTCAACGGCAACCCAGGCACTGAAGGAAAAAGAACATGGAGAATGACAAAAGCCCAGAGGGAAGAGTAAAAGGACACAAACACCATTCTCAGGGACCAGGACTGGGCGCCGTTCTCAGGGACCAGGACTGGGCACTAATCACAGAACTGTAACAGGCACCCCATGGGAATGACCAACTGTTAGACGGGGCCTGCAGGGCAGCACTTCCCTCTTGCCTCCCACCAACAGCTTCTAAAGGGAAATGCCGACTGTTTTCACACCAGTCCCCTCACTGCGGCTGAGTTTGTGGGCTCAGATGATAGGTCATAACAACCTGATTCAGTCCTCACTGTGGCTGAGTGTGTCAGGGGCAGACGACAGGCCACCACAACCTGATTCAGTCCTCACTGTGGCTGTGTGTGGGGGGGTCAGATGACAGGTCACCACAACCTGATTCAGTCCTCACTGCGGCTGAGTGTGTGTGGGTGCAGATGACAGGTCACCACAACCTGATTCAGGATTCAGTTGGGCTACCAGCCAGTGCCATAAGGAAAACCTTTCTGGGGCTCTTGAGAGGGGCAAAGCATAATTTGCATGTAGGAGAAATGTTAATAGTTTGTGGCCAGAGGACAAGCTGTGGTTTATTAAAGACTGCTGCAGGTTCCTACTATGCTTCTCATCAAGAGGTGGAATCTAATCACCTTCCCCCCTTGAATCATGGCTGGTCTCAGTGATGAGTGCGACTGGGCAGTGTGGCAGGAGAGATGCTCTGGGACTTCTGAGGGGCGATCATGAGAGTCCTTACAGCTTCTGCCTGGGCCTCTTGGACACACACCCTGGGAGAAGCCAGACAAACCTGACTACCTGACGCTGCCAGACTGGGAGGAAGTCCGTGCTGGCCACGAAGAGAGGGCTGGGTGCCTGCTCCATGTCCCCAGCCACTAGAGTCCTTCCAGATGAGACCAAGGACATCATGAAGCAACCAACCAACACCGCCCTGTCCAGTGTCTTGACCCAGAAAATTGTGACATGTAAAAAGAATAAATTCCTGGTTTAAGCCAGTAAGGTTACTGGTACATTGTTACATCTCAGATAATTAAAACCTTGAAAAACTCATGAGAGATCACAAGTAGAACCTTGATCTGAAACGGCATGTAGCGATTTATATTGAGTATTAGGTTAAAAATGCAAGAATGGAGCATAGTTAATATTTTACGTTAAAGCTAAAACTATAATTGCCTACTTCAAATTTTCAGTTAATTAGTTTGTCACTTTTTGTTCTTAACCAAGAAATCAACTAGTTTTAGTCCATAAACAGTTAGAACTGATGCACACATCCGTTTCTCCTTACTCATTTTAAACAACTATCTGAAATAGGAAGTGTAATATAATCTTTAAAGAATCTGAAAACATGACAGAAATGTTTAAACTATAAACATATATTGTATATGTTAGCATATTGTATACATTGCATATTAACATAAGCTAGAATCATTGACATAAATTTATATAAACAAAAGGTGTAAAATATGACAGTGTTCTTCTTGATTTTTGTCTTTGCATATTTCTTTATTGGCCTTTGTCAAATGTGACCCACTAACTCCTGAATGCTTTCTCTCTCCCCATTGATTCCTAAGGATGTCACCACAGTGTTGGCCAGATGCACAGGTCACAGGGGACTGAATCTCATCACCCCACAAACATACTATTCAGGTTTTGCCAAGAATGACACTGTAAATGTAACGAAGCTTCCGTGCTTGTTAGTGAACACCAACTCAGCTCCTCTCCTGTATTCAGAAATCAGCATGAGATGAAAACAACAAGCAGGCCAGGCACGGTGGCTCACGCCTGTAATCCCAGCACTTTGGGAGGACGAAACATGTGGATCACCTGAGGTCGGGAGTTCGAGACCACCCTGATCAAAACAGAGAAACCCCATCTCTACTAAACATACAAAATTAGCTGGGCATGGTGGCAAATGCCTGTAATACCAGCTACTCAGGAGCTGAGGCAGGAGAATTGCTTGAACCCGGGAGGTGGAGGCTGCAGTGAGCCGAGATCACACCACTGTGCTCTAGCCTGGACAACAAGAGTGAAACTCTGTCTCAAAAGAAAAAAAATTAAAAATAAAAGAACAAGGAAACAAAAGTAACAAGGCTTGACACCAGATGAGCCTGAATCTAAGCAAGAAAAGCCCAGAAGAAATCCCATTTTGGGTCACTGGTTGCATGGTAGTAATACCATACACATAAGGGAAGAGAGGAGGATGTGGCTTTCACTTTGAATTTTTTGAGCTTAAGGTAACTTTTGCGTAGCTACAAAGAAGCATTCAACAGAGAGTTAAACCTATGATGGAAAGACTGAAGGGGTCCAAGCTGTAGAGAAACAGGACTGCAAACCACAAAGGGCTGAATCAGTCAAGGAGAACTGCAGGGCGGGATGAACAGGGACTAATGGAACATTTGGATAAGCTGTTGAGAAGAAAGGAGAATTCAGAGAAAAAGAACTGTCAGTGAGGTCATAATAGGAACTGTTACAGTGAACTAAATATGGCCTGGGAAGGACTCTGTACTTCTAGATTTGAGTCCCTGTGGACAAACTGCAACCTAACTTAATAGGTAGGAAGACTGAAAACCTAACTTAGGAGTATGCGCCTGTAACTATAGCTGAGTCCTGGCCAATCCCAACAGCCAAACTTCTGCCACTCACACACTGCTGAGTGTTCAGCTGTGTTCAGATAAGGCAAATGCTGAGCACTGGAACCAGTCCAGTTGCTTCTGGACCTCACTGCTGAGAATGGTAAGGGACCCAGTTGCTTCTGGACCTCACTCCTCACTTCAGATTTCTGTACATCACGTTGCCTTTATTGTCTATAAATCTTCCACCATGTAGCTGTGCTGGAGTCTCACCAAATCTGCTGTGATTCTGGGGGCTGCCTGATTCGTGAATCATTCATTGCTCAATTAAGTTCCTTTAAATTTAATTCAGCTGAAGATTTTCTTTTAATAGATGGTGTCAGAAGTGGGATCTGTGGGAGCAGGACTGCTAGGGCCTCCGGAGCTATAGTGTGGTGAGCAGCGTTGCTAGGGCTTCTAATGACCCCCAGGAGTGCTGAGGTACAAGAAAGGCACCTGCAAGGACTGCTCTGTGATGGCAGCAGTGGTCCACATGGAGCAGTTGCTACGGAGACACTGGCTGCAGTGGGGAGGAGTGGCTGGGGCTGTGCGCTCCTCGAAGCTGGTGGGAGCCAGGAAGGGGTGGGAGCCCCACCCCTTCTAAATTGGCAGGCAGGAGCCCTGCCCTCCCAGGCACAGCTGCAGCCATCCAGCCATGACTGCAAACCCGGGCATCTTTGCACTCTCAGAGGCCCAGCAAGCCCCCCTGCCCCCACAGGCTCAGTCGTACCTGGTCCCACCACCTGGCATCTCTCCACTCCCAGAGCCCACTCCAACTTCGGATACAAGTTGAGGCTGAACCCAGGCACAGTCGCAACCTGGCCCGGTTTGTGCAAGCTCAGGGCAGTGCTGACATGCCAGCCCCCTGCCACCTCGGCCCCCTCCAGAATTTGGGCAGTGACGAGCACAAGAGGGAGGTTGAGGTGGGGCTAAGAGTGGCTCAGCACTGGCCTGAAGGCACTCCTCAGCTCGAACAGCCTCGGCAATGTGGGCACAGCTAACCACAGTGCGTCTCTCTCAGCTGCTGAGAGCTGAACAGACGTTGGGATGACCTGCCTGCAGAAAGGAGTTACCCACTGCAGTTCTCCTCTGAGCTGTACTGTTGCTCAATAAAGCACCTCTTCACCTTGCTCACCTTCTACTTGCCCACATACCTCATTCTTCCTGGACTCAGGACAAGAACTCGGGACCTGCAAACTAGCAGGGCTGAAAGAGGTGTAACATAAACAGGGCTGAAACGCCCCCCTTGCTTGCCAAATTGCAGGCAAGAAGAAGAGAAGAGAGAAGGAGACAAGAGCTGTGGCCCTTCAGGGAGCCCAGACCTAGGAGCTCCCCAAGCCAGGGCTGTGATGCCTTCTTTGGGGCTCTGCAGTTCCTGCATCTCCAAGTTTCTGGGCGCCACTGCATTCCCTGATACACACAGTGGAAGCTGTTTGCAGTCGGTCTGGTCCAGCTGCAGCCTCACAGGGAGCTGGCACCTGTGCCTGTACCTGGAGCTGCCCACCTCACTGCAGCTGGCATGCTTGGCTGTGTGCAGTGGCCAGATCCCATGCTTGCTTGCTCACACACCCTTCACTGCTCTGTACCCAGCTCACCCTTGGCAGGTGTGGGATCCACACCACTAGCATGAGCCGAGTGGACGGAACGAACCCAGTGGGCCCGAGCAAAACACAGGTAAAGGTGCCACCAGCCAGAGGTTTCAGGCAGAAAAGTGACGTCACAGGATTCTGTAACACTTGTGCCCTTTGACCTCTCAGAGCAGCTGGGGATCATGGTAAATTCTCTCTCGGATTTCAGAGCTCCATGGATTTGTGTTTTGAGCTCTGAGTTTCTTTGAGCAAATTTCTGTTCCAAACTGCTATCCAGCCATGACTGGCTGGATGTTTTAGAAGTTATGACAGAAACGGGACCGGGTCCAGGATCAGATTTGATCCAGTAGTTAACTGGCTTGAATCCAGTTCCAGTTAGAGGCCCCCTACATCTGAATGGGTCAGAAGGAAAGTGGTAGCAAATGATAATATTGGAGGATTGTAAAATTTGGCTTTTCAAAATTCACAGGGATTTTTGTGTTCTACCCCTTTGTTTCATTTTCCTCGCATGCTTAGGTAGGAAAAAAAAATCATTGGCTAAGTCAATCAAGGGAACCTGGGAGTAAAGCCAATATATTAGGTAAAAATAGGATCCTTAATTTCTGGAAAACTTAGTTCCTTCTGGCTAATTCATTAGGCCTGGGAAGCAGCAAAGTCTTACAGAAATGGCAAAATCTTACTAAAGATAACTTACAGTGGAACATTCCAAATGAATAATGCCCTGAAGTGCATTTAAAAATGAGGGCTCCCAAATTAGTCTCATCTAGGGATGCCTATTAATATGCAGAAGCTTCTAAAAAGATTTAGAGGTGGCACGGCCTATCTGGGAGCAAGTTTGGGTCTTACCAGTTTGACACTGGGTGCTAAGCAAAGTGGCTCGTGTCTATGTTTTGTCACATGTATTTTGCTCTGAGCAGAATGAAAAATGTTAATTTGGTTACTCCAAGCAACCTCTTGGGCAGCATGTGGCAAAGCTGAGTGGATTCTTCCTGTGGCTCCATGATTTCCATTGTGATGCAGCTTGGCCCCAGAGCTATAATATGGAGAGGAGGGTGACAGAGCAAGAGATTATCTTTAAAAAAAAATGGCCAGGGGCAGTGGCTCACGCCTGTAATCCCAACACTTGGGGAGGCCGAGGCAGGTGGATCACCTGAGGTCAGGAGTTCAGGGCCAGCCTGACCAACAAGGAAAAACCCCGTCTCTACTAAAAACACAAAATTAGCTGGGCATGGTGTGGCATGCCTCTAATCCCAGCTACTCAGGAGGCTAGGGCGGGAGAATTGCTTGAACCTGGGAGGCAGGGGGTTGCAGTAAACCGAGATCACATCATTGCACTCCAGCCTGGGCAACAAGAGGGAAAATCCACCTCCAAAAAAGAAAAGAATACTAGATTGGCCTATAAGGTTTTATGAAAAAGTGGGTGACATTTGGCTTTCTCTCTTTAAAGAAGATTTTCAGAAAATATTAAAAAATAATGGGAGGAGGAGCCAAGATGGCCGAATAGGAACAGCTCAAGTCTACAGCTCCCAGCATGAATGACGCAGAAGACCGGTGATTTCTGCATTTCCATTTGAGGTACTGGGTTCATCTCACTAGGGAGTGCCAGACAGTGGGCGCAGGACAGTGGGTGAAGTGCACTGTGCACTAGCTGAAGCAGGGTGAGTCATTGCCTCACTCAGGAAAGTGCAAGGGGTCAGGGAGTTAGCTCCCTTTCCTGGTCAAGGAAAGGGGTGACAGACAGCACCTGGAAAATCGGGTCACTCCCACCCTAACACTGTGCTTTTCTGACGGGCTTAGGAAACGGCACACCAGGAGATTATATCTGGCACCTGGCTCGGAGGTCCTACGCACACGGAGTCTCGCTGATGGCTAACACAGCAGTATGAGATCAAACTGCAAGGCAGCAGCAAGGCTGGGGGAGGGGCACCGGCTATTGCCCAGGCTCTCTTAGGTAAACAAAGCAGCCAGGAAGCTCGAACTGGGTGGAGCCCACCACAGCTCAAGGAGGCCGTCCTGCCTCTGCAGGCTCCACCTCTGGGGGCAGGGCACAGACAAACAAAAAGACAGCAGTAACCTCTGCAGACTTAAATGTCCCTGTCTGACAGCTTTGAGGAGAGCAGTGGTTCTCCCAGCATGCAGCTGGAGATCTGAGAATGGGCAGACTGCCTCCTCAAGTGGGTCCCTGACCCCTGACCCCCAAGCAGCCTACCTGGGAGGCACCCCCCAGTAGGGGCAGACTGACACCTCACACGACCAGGTACTCCTCTGAGACAAAACTTCCAGAGGAACGATCAGACAGCAGCATTCGCGGATCACGAAAATCCACGATTTTGCAGACACCACTGCTGATAGCCAGGCAAACAGGGTCTGGAATGGGCCTCTAGCAAACTCCAACAGACCTGAAGCTGAGGGTCATGTCTGTTAGAAGGAAAACTAACAAACAGAAAGGACATCCACACCAAAAACCCATCTGTACATCACCATCATCCAAGACCAAAAGTAGATAAAACCACAAAGATGGGGAAAAAACAGAGCAGAAAAACTGGAAACTCTAAAAAGCAGAGCACCTCTCCTCCGCCAAAGGAACGCTGTTCCTCACCAGCAATGGAACAAAGCTGGACAGAGAATGACTTTGACGAGTTGAGAGAAGAGGGCTTCGGACCATCAAACTACTCCGAGCTACAGGAGGAAATTCAAACCAAAGGCAAAGAAGTTGAAAACTTTGAAAAAACTTTAGACGAATGTATAACTAGAATAACCAATATAGAGAAGTGCTTAAAGGAGCTAATGGAGCTGAAAGCCAAGGCTCGAGAACTATGTGAAGAATGCAGAAGCCTCAGGAGATGATGAGATCAACTGGAAGAAAGTGTATCAGTGATGAAAGATGAAATGAATGAAATGAAACAAGAAGGGAAGTTTAGAAAAAAAAGAATAAGAAGAAATGAACAAAGCCTCCAAGAAATATGGGACTATGTGAAAAGACCAAATCTGCATCTGATTGGTGTACCTGAAAGTGACGGGGAGAATGGAACCAAGTTGGAAATCACTCTGCAGGATATTATCCTGGAGAACTTCCCCAATCCAGCAAAGCCAGCCAACATTCAGATTCAGGAAATACAGAGAATGCCACAAAGATACTCCTCGAGAACAGCAACTCCAAGACACATAATTGTGAGATTCACCAAAGTTGAAATGAAGGAAAAAATGTTAAGGGCAACCAGAGAGAAAGGTCAGGTTACCCATAAAGGGAAGCCCATCAGAATAACTGCTGATCTCTTGGCAGAAACTCTACAAGCAAGAAGAGAGTGGGGGCCAATATTCAACATTCTTACAGAAAAGAATTTTCAACCCAGAATTTCATATCCAGCCAAACTAAGCTTCATAAGTGAAGGAGAAATAAAATACTTTACAGACAAGCAAATGCTGAGCGATTTTGTCACCACCAGGCCTGTCCTAAAAGAGCTCCTGAAGGAAGCACTAAACATGGAAAGGCACAATCGGTACCAGCCACTGAAAAAACATGCCAAATTGTAAAGAACATCAAGACTAGGAAGAAACTGCGTCAATTAACGAGCAAAATAACCAGCTAACATCATAATGACAGGATCAAATTCACACATAACAATATTAACTTTAAATGTAAATGGACTAAATGCTCCAATTAAAAGACACAGACTGGCTAATTGGATAAAGAGTCAAGACCCAACAGTGTGCTGTATTCAGGAAACCCACGTCACGTGCAGAGACACACATAGGCTCAAAATAAAAGGATGGAGGAAGATCTACCAAGCAAATGGAAAACAAAAAAAGGCAGGGGTTGCAATCCTAGACTCTGATGGAACAGACTGTAAACCAACAAAGATCAAAAGAGACAAAGAAGACCATTACATAATGGTAAAGGGATCAATTCAACAAGAAGAGCTAACTATCCTAAATATATATGCACCCAATACAGGAGCACCAAGATTCATAAAGCAAGTCCTGAGTGACCTACAAAGAGACTTAGACTCCCACACAATAATAATGGGAGACTTTAACACCCCACTGTCAACATTAGACAGATCAATAAGACAGAAAGTTCACAAGGATACCAAGGAATTGAACTCAGCCCTGCACCAAGTGGACCTAATAGACATCTACAGAACTCTCCACACCAAATCAACAGAATATACATTTTTTTCAGCACCACACCACACCTATTCCAAAATTGACCACATACTTGGAAGTAAAGCCCTCTTCAGCAAATGTAAAAGAACAGAAATTAAACTGTCTCTCAGACCACAGTGCAATCAAACTAGAACTCGGCATTAAGAAACTCACTCAAAACTGCTCAACTACATGGAAACTGAACAACCTGCTCCTGAATGACTACTGGGTACATAATAAAATGAAGGCAGAAATAAAGATGTTCTTTGAAACCAACGAGAACAAAGACACAACATACCGGAATCTCTGGGACACATTCAAAGCAGTGTGTACAGGGAAATTTATAGCATTAAATGCCCACAAGGGAAAGCAGGAAAGATCCAAAATTGACACCCTAACATCACAATTAAAAGAACTAGAAAAGCAAGAGCAAACACATTCAAAAGCTAGCAGAAGGCAAGAAATAACTAAAATCAGAGCAGAACTGAAGGAAATAGCAACAAAAAAACGCTTCAAAAAATTAATGAATCCAGGAGCTGGTTTTATGAAAGGATCAACAAAATTGATACACTGCTAGCAGGACTAATAAAGAAAAAAAGAGAGAAGAATCAAATAGACACAATAAAAATAATAAAGGGGATATCACCACTGATCCCTCAGAAATACAAACTACCATCAGAGAATACTACAAGCACCTGTACACAAATAAACTAGAAAATCTAGAAGAAATGGATAAATTCCTCCACACATACACTCTCCCAAGACTAAACCAGGAAGAAGTTGAATCTCTGAATAGACCAATAATAGGATCTGAAATTGTGGCAATAATCAATAGCTTACCAACCAAAAAGAGTCCAGGACCAGATGGATTCACAGCCAAATTCTACCAGAGGTACAAGGAGGAACTGTTACCATTCCTTCTGAAACTATTCCAATCAATAAAAAAAGAAGGAGTCCTCCCTAACTCAATTTATGAGGCCAGCATCATCCTGATACCAAAGCCGGGAAGAGACACAACCAAAAAATAGAATTTTAGACCAATATCCTTGACGAACATTGATGCAAAAATCCTCAATAAAATACTGGCAAACCGAATCCAGCAGCACATCAAAAAGCTTATCCACCATGATCAAGTGGGTTTCATCCCTGGGATGCAAGGCTGGTTCAATATATGCAAATCAATAAACGTAATCCAGCATATAAACAGAACCAAAGACAAAAACCACATGATTATCTCAATAGATGCAGAAAAGTCCTTTGACAAAATTCAACAATGCTTCATGCTAAAAACTCTCAAAAATTAGGTATTGATGGGACTTATCTCAAAATAATAAGAGCTATCTATGACAAACCCACAGTCAATATCATACTGAATGGGCAAAAACTAGAAGCATTCCCTTTGAAAACGGGCACAAGACAGGGATGCCCTCTCTCATCACTCCTATTCAATATAGTGTTGGGAGTTCTGGCCAGGGCAATCAAGCAGGAGAAGGAAATAAAGGGTATTCAATTAGGAAAAGAAGAAGTCAAATTGTCCCTCTTTGCAGATGACATGATTGTATATCTAGAAAACCCCATTGTCTCAGCCCAAAATCTCCTTAAGCTGATAAGTAACCTCAGCAAAGTCTCAGGATACAAAATCAGTGTACAAAAATCACAAGCATTCTTATACACCAATAACAGACAAACAGAGAGCCAAATCATGAGTGAACTCCCATATGCAATTGCTTCAAAGAGAATAAAATACTTAGGAATCCAATTTACAAGGGACGTGAAGGACCTCTTCAAGGAGAACTACAAACCACTGCTCAATGAAATAAAAGAGGATAAAAACAAATGGAAGAACATTCCATACTCATGGATAGGAAGAATCAATATCATGAAAATGGCCATACTGCCCAAGGTAATGTATAGATTCAATGCCATCCCCATCAAGCTACCAATGACTTTCTTCACAGAATTGGAAAAAACTACTTTAAAGCTCATATGGAACCAAAAAAGAGCCTGCATCACCAAGTCAATCCTAAGCCAGAAGAACAAAGCTGGAGACATCACCCTACCTGACTTCAAACTATACTACAAGGCTACAGTAACCAAAACAGCATGGTACGGGTACCAAAACAGAGATATAGACCAATGGAACAGAACAGAGCCATCAGAAATAATGCTGCATATCTACAACTATCTGATCTTTGACAAACCTGACAAAAACAAGGAGTGGATCCCCTATTTAATAAATGGTGCTGGGAAAACTGGCTAGCCATATGTAGAAAGCTGAAACTGGATCCCTTCCTTACACCTTATACAAAAATTAATTCAAGATGGATTAAAGACTTAAATGTTAGACCTGAAACCATAAAAACCCTGGAAGTAAAACTAGGCATTACCATTCAGGACATAGGCATGGGCAAGGACTTCATGTCTAAAACACCAGAAGCAATGGCAACAAAAGCCAAAATTGACAAATGGGATCTAATCAAACTAAAGAACTTCTGCACAGCAAAAGAAACTGCCATCAGAGTGAACAGGCAACCTACAAAATGGGAGAAAATTTTTGCAACCTACTCATCTGACAAAGGGCTAATATCCAGAATCTACAACGAACTTAAACAAATTTACAAGAAAAGAAATACAACCCCATCAAAAAGTGGGTGAAGGATATGAATAGACACTTCTCAAAAGAAGACCTTTATGCAGCCAAAAGACACATGAAAAAATGCTCATCATCACTGGCCATCAGAGAAATGCAAATCAAAACCACAATGAGATACCATCTCACACCAGTTAGAATCACAATCATTAAAAAGTCAGGAAACAACAGGTGCTGGAGAGGATGTGGAGAAATAGAAACACTTTTAAACTGTTGGTGGGACTGTAAACTAGTTCAACGATTGTGGAAGTCAGTGTGGTGATTCCTCAAGTATCTGGAACTAGAAATACCATTTGATCCAGCCATCCCATTAGTGGGTATATAACCAAAGGACTATAAATCATGCTGCTATAAACACACATACACACGTATGTTTATTGCTGCACTATTCACAATAGCAAAGACTTGGAACCAACCCAAATGTCCAACAACAATAGACTGGATTGAGAAATTGTGGCACATATACACCATGGAATACTATGCAGCCATAAAAAATGATGAGTTCATGTCCTTTGTAGGGATATGGATGAAATTGGAAATCATCATTCTCAGTAAACTATCACAAGGACAAAAAACCAATCACTGAATGTTCTCATTCATAGATGGGAATTGAACAATGAGAACACATGGACAAAGGAAGGGGAACATCACACTCTGGGGACTGTTGTGGGGTGGGGGGAGGGGGAGGGATAGCATTAGGAGATATACCTAATGCTAAATGACGAGTTAAGGGGTGCAGCACACCAGACTGGCACATGTATACATATGTAACTAACTGGCACATTATGCACATAAACCCTAAAACTTAAAGTATAATAATAATAATAATAATAATAAAATAAAATTAAAAAATGAAAAATTTGTTTGCCTTGTAAATAAACTACCAAAAAAAAGGAAAAACAAGAGGCAGATTATTTGTGGAGATAAGTCTTCCCCCTATCAATGAGTAAAGATTTTTGCCCTTTAAAAATTTTTTAAGTCATGATTTTAGGTAAATGAATGACTTACGTTGACGTGGAATTCTATTTCATAACATCAAGTGTTTAAACCTTTAATATATTTAATAGGCTTCCCAAAATCAAATTACAACTTCAAAATTTTATGTTCTGACCTCTAACTTTGGGATACTACAGAGGCCCCTGAAGCACCCAAAAGAGAGGTAAACAGGACTATTTAACATGTTAAGTCACATGGCTAGCACTGTCAAAATAAAAAATAATGTTGAACCTTCTTTAGGTTATATTCAGTGTATGTCATCAATCCATTCTAAATTTGTGTAGGATTTCTAAAATTCTTGTATTTTTTTTTTCTGAGAAGGAGTCTTGCTCTGTCACCCAGGCTGGAGTACAGTGGTGCAATCTTGGCTCACTGCAACCTCCACCTCCCGAGTTCATGCCATTCTCCTGCCTCAGCCTCCTGAGTAGCTGGGACTACAGGCACCCACCACCATGCCAGGCTAATTTTTGTATTTTTAGCAAAGACAGATTTCACTGTGTTAGCCAGGATGGTCTCGATCTCCTGACCTCGTGATCCTTCCACCTCGGCCTCCCAAAGTGCGGGATTACAGGCATGAGCCACCACATCCACCCTAATTATGGTTATTAAGTTATTGTAGACCACAGAAATAACCAAATTTCCTTGTCAATTGTCTTTATCTATAACTATTTAAAGTCATTTCCACAGTTAATTGCTTAATGGTGATGCAGTTTCTAAAAACTTCACAAGCATGCAAAATTCTAGAATATGGTGTCTCTTAGAAGATTCATGAAAGAATGAAAAGGATCCTGAAAAACACTCGTGAACACAGATTTTTAATAACTTTAATATAATGGGTAAAAATTCCCCATAAGTTCCCTGATACCCCAAGAATTGGACAGGTTAAGAATTCTCAAAAGTTAGGCTGGGTGCAGCGGCTCACGTCAGCAATCCCAGCACTTTGGGAGGCCAAGGCCAGTGGATCACTTGAGGTCAGGAGTTTGAGACCAGCCTGGCTAACGGTGAAACCCCACCTCTACTAAAAATGTAAAAATTAGTAAAAATTAGCCGGGTGTGGTGGTTTGTGCCTGTAATCCCAGCTACTCTGGAGGCTGAGGCAAGAGAATTGTTTGAACCCAGGAGGTGGAGGTTGCAGTGAGCCAAGATTTTGCCACTGCACTCCAACCTAGGTAACAGAGTGAGACTCTGTCTCAAAAAAAAGCCCAAAAGTTTAATAAATAGACCAACTGGTTTATAAAACTGCTAACCTAAGTAAAACAAAAATTGTATACCAAGGAAATATTTTGCCACATTTGCATGCTAAATCACCAATATTGAAATTGTTTAGGTATATAATTTAAATAAACTCCATGGTCTAAGTCAAATCACCTATAACTACTCATCAGTTACCAGTGCCATGCACGTAATTTGGAGAAACAGCTGGTATTCAAGAGGATGTAAGTCTAATGTTAATTAAGCACAGACTTATGAAGAACCAGGATGGCCACCTTATCCTTCTTAAGTCCTTAAAACTTTTGTTATTAAAAGTTCTGCATTCCATAACTCATCATGGAAAGAGAAAATGATCCAAATTAAATATATTGGTGTGGTGATTTCTAAACTGCTAAAATAGTTTATAACCAATGTTTAGTTTGTCAAACCTATATTTCTAGGAAAACAATCAAAACTTCAGGTACATTTGGTTACCTGATGGGCCATTTAAACATTTTATAAAGGGATTTGATTCAGTTGTCATTTTCAGTGCATGTTTTCTGATTGTATAAAAGCTCTTCCATGCGAGAGAGTTGATGTTAAAACAGTACATTATTACCCTGAAGTGTATTTTCACCAGGTAAAGAAAGCCTTTTATGGTTCGCTGAGGACAGTCAACTCCTTCAAAATCTGGAATCTGATGACTGGATCTTCTGAGAACATCAGAGAAGGACTGCCCTTGCCATCCACATGACAGCAAAACTTTAAAACCTTAAACTTTGGGTTCATAGTCTCACAACTCAGAAAGGTCCTTCCACACTTGGAACCATATACCCATTGGAACCCTTAAGGTAAAGCTAACAAGGACAGTTCCCCCCAGAAGAAGATGGCATCCTTAATGTGAACAGCTTTTCCCACGATCACAGATCAAGACTTCTCTACTATCATGAGACACTTATCTTAAGTATCTGTGCAGCTGCTAACACTTACAGCATGTGGAGAAAACATGGGGTATTATAAAAATTTGGTTGTAGGGAATTAACAAAAAAACCCACTTAGTTAAGCAAGTAAACTCTTTATCTAATTCATTCTTTAATCTATTTGATTTTAGGTGGTTTGATTTATGGGGACCCTGAGTTAGGAGCATATACCAAATTCTTGGTGTTATCCCAACAGTCATAAGAGTCTCCCTGTTGCACTGTACTTACTCAAATGTTTTAAGAGTTTGCATGCAGGCATCTCTAAAATATCAAATGGTATCTCTTCAACTGGAATGACAAGAGATTAAAAAAAAAGGGCAACCGTAAGGACACCATAACCTATGAGTGACATGCTAAACCGGAAACCCAAAACAATGGGGGTGACATGCTAAACCAGAAACCCAAAACAATGGGAGTGATGTACTAAAACGGGAACCCAAAACAATGGGAGTGACGTGCACTAAAACCAGAACCCAAAACAATGGGAGTGACGTGCTAAACAAGAAACCCAAAACAATGGGAGTGACTTGCTAAAACTGGAACCCAAAACAATGGGAGTGACGTGCCAAAAGCGGAAATGAAAACAATGGGAGTGATGTGCTTAAACCAGAACCCAAAACAATGGGAGTGACCTGCGAAACCAGAAACCCAAAACAATGGGAGTGACGTGCTAAACCAGAAACCCAAAACAATGAGAGTGATATACTAAAACTGGAACCCAAAACAATGGGGGTGACGTGCACTAAAATCAGAACCCAAAACAATGGGAGTGACTTGCTAAAACTGGAACCCAAAACAATGGGAGTGATGTGCTAAAACCGGAAATGAAAACAATGGGAGTGATGTGCTAAAACCGGAACCCAAAACAATGGGAGTGACCTGCTAAACCAGAAACCCAAAACAATGGGAGCATCCTGCTAACCCAGAAACCGAAAACAATGGGAGTGACCTGCTAAACCAGAAACCCAAAACAATGGGAGTGACGTGCTAAAACTGGAACCCAAAACAACGGGAGTGACGTGCTAAAACTGGAACCCAAAACAATGGGAGTGACCTGCTAAACCAGAAACCCAAAACAATGGGAGCATCCTGCTAAATCAGAAACTGAAAACAATGGGAGCATCCTGCTAAACCAGAAACCCAAAACAATGGGAGTGACGTGCTAAAACCAGAACCCAAAACAATGGGAGTGACGTGCTAAACCAGAACCCAAAACAATGGGAGTGACGTGCTAAAACTGGAACCCAAAACAATGGGAGTGATGTGCTAAACCAGAAACCCAAAACAATGGGAATGACGTGCTAAACCCGGAACCCAAAACAATGGTAACTAAGAGTGATGCTAAGGCCCTATATTTTAGTCACACTCGCAACTAAGTGAGAACTTGACTGAAAAGGAGGACTTTTTTTTCTAAGACAGAGTCTTGGCCTGTCCCCCAGAGTGGAGTGCAGTGGCAAAATCTTGGCTCACTGCAAGCTCCACCTCCCAGGTTCAGGCCATTCTCCTACCTCAGCCTCCTGAGTAGCTGGGACTACAGGCACCCACCACTACGCTTGGCTAATTTTTTGTATTTTTAGTAGAGATGGGGTTTCACCTTATTAGCAAGGATGGTCTCAATCTCCTGACCTCGTGATCTGCCCACCTCAGCCTCCCAAAGTGCTGGGATTACATGTGTGAGCCACCGCGCCCAGCCAAAAGGAGGAATTTTTTAAGCAAAATTATGGGAGGTCATTGTTTTGAACTAAACTCATGCAATAGGTCCCAACAGACCAAACCAAACCAAAATGGAGTCACTCATGCTAAATGTAACATAATCAAACTAAGACTTTAAGGAAACACATAAATCCTAGAACAAACCAGGTTTTGTTTTTCTCCTGTAAACAGGATGTTCCAGCATAAGAAGACACCTTCTACTCAAGTCCTTGTTCCACCTTTTCAAATCTCACTGGTCTATTTCCCAGTGGGTTTCTAAACCAAGTAAGTACATTTGCAATGGTAATAGTGACACCAGTGACTGAAGTTTTGGCCAATCTCTCAAAATTGAGAAAATAACCAAAGGGAAGGCATTGTTAAAGTGAACTAAGTATGGCCTGAGAAGGACTCCATAATTCTATATATGAGTCATTGTGGATGAACTGTAACCTACCTTAATAGGTATAGAAGAATGAAAAACTAACTTAAGAGTATGCATCTTGAACAACAGCTACATCTTGGCCAATCCCAATGGCCAAACTTCAACCACTCAGGCACTGCCAAATGTTCAAACTGTGTTCAAACAAGGCAAACACTGAGTTGTTTCTGTACCTCACTTCCGATTTCAGTATGCCATTTCCCTTTTGTCTATAAATCTTCTTCCACCACACGAATGCGCTGGAGTCTCTGTGAATCTGCTGTGATTCTGGGGACTGTCTGATTCGTGAATCGTTTATTGCTCTATTAAACTCCTTTAAAGTTTTTCTTTTAACAGAACTAACACAGATGAATTTCCAGATCATGAACAGATGTTTTGTAATACCCAACGTTGTAACATGAATAGACTCTTCCTTAGATAGATAACCTTGTTTTTAATATGAATAGACTCTCCCTTAGCTGAGAAAACCAGACAAACTCCATTTGGCTCCTTCATTTACAAGACATCAAGGGCTCCCTACCCACCCCCTTTCCTCAAGGACTTTAACTTGTGCAAGTTGACTTTCAACATATCAAAGAGTGCAATTAACTGATAAAGTGCTTAGACAAGCGATGTCTGCAGTTCCCAGCAATTTATTCAGAGATAGTATCATAAAGCCCCACATTTGTCTGGCAGATAATGCCCAGAGCCCCCTCACCTATCACTTTGTGGTGAATTTAAAGCCCCTGCACCTGGAACAGTTTGTTTTCCTGTAACCATCTGTCTTTTTAACTTTTTTGTCTGTTTTTTTCTTCTGTAAAGTTGCTGCAGCTAGAATCCCCCCTCCCCTCTCTAAACCAAATTATAAAAGAAAATCTAGTCCCTTCCTCGGGGCCGAGAGAATTTCGTGCATTAGCCGTCTCTCAGTCACCAGCTAATAAAGGACCCCTGAATTCGTCTCAAAGTGTGGCGTTTATCTCTAACTTACTCGGGTACTACAGTTTCAACTATGGTAGAAGACTTGAGTAAGTCAAATACAGTCCCCCTAAATTTGACTATTATTTAGGTTAATGGTGAGTTTAGAAGAAATAAGTTAAGACTACACAGAGTGGGCTAAAGTGCAAATAAACACTGGAAATATTTCCCAGAAAATATGACTTTGAACAGGCTGCTGCACACCCTGCATGTAGAGATAAACTAAGAAAAATGTCTGGAGAGTTATTTAAGGGCCTATGGTTAACTCAGTCCTCAAGATGTTCTGGGTTTCATCCATGAATCAAGGAGGACCTCCCAAAAGCTGTTTGGGACCACACTCTTTGAGCAATGAGCACACCTTACGATGGAAGCTGTGCTTTAGCGGCAGATGACCATTTCCACTGCACAACACGCTGTGCTTTAGCGGAAGATGACCGTTTCCACTGCACAACACTACAAGTGGTTACTGCCAGGCCGGTGTGAAATATGTTCCAGCACATAATCTATGTCACCAATGAAGGTGGTGGTTCGGACTTGGTGCACACAATCTTTCCTGTCCCACAAGAACACAGCATGCTCTCTTCTCGGGTTCCATTCCAATTACGTAACAAATATGACTGCCTTTTTTGTCTCGGCATCAGAAAGATCAGAGGAAAATTTGCACCCAACTGAGACTACTCTAAGCTCTTATAACCTGCCTATATCTACAGGTCAGCTTTATCTTATTTATGTATATTTCCTTCAACCTGAGTTTTACTTATTTCTACTTTTCCTTTTTAATTCACAGACACCCATAAACTCAGAAAATACAGTGTAAAACAAAGTGAAGAACAAGTAAGCAACTCACCAGAGATTTATTCGTTTCTTGTTGCTCTTGGAAACACCCAGAGGACACTGGAAACATAGCTGGGATAGAAGGCAAATGACGTGGATTAAGGAGAGAACTGGTGTGGTGTGGTCCCAGATTCTTCTGCCCAACGCTCTAGAGACATTACCTGGGAAAGCCCTCCTCCCTCCTGAAAAAGAAAAACTTCTCCAGGGGAGAAGAGTTCTTCACGCCTCATTAGGGGCAGCAGAGGCTCAAGTTAAGATAAGATACATAGACAAGTACATTAATTGGTAGACATTAGATGCACAATTTATTTTTGAATAAATATATGTATTACCTACTAATTTAGTAACAATATTATCTAAAGATATAATCTAATAATTTAATACAAAGAAACATAAGTTCACTAAAATAAATGTTATAGAAATATACTGGGCTGTATTAACTATTTTCCTATTAATATGTAGATTCCACAAATAACTTCATATGAGTGTTCCCGTGACAGTACCTCTTGCTTTTCTATACCTGAACATCATGGAAAGTGCATCTTGCAAACCAGCAATTTTGGCCTACAATTACGTTTTTTAAAATGTACATAATGCGTATTTCCTACAGTACACCATTCCACTCATGTTTCCCAATAACACTTTTCCTTCTATCCAAGCCCTCATATTATGCTCTGACAATAAATTGGGCTTTTCCATCTGACTTGTCCAGTGAATGGACAATGGAAAATGTGATGCAAATATCCATTGGTTCTTCCCTTTTTGGGAGAAATTGTGAAGAGGTCTGGAGCTACCCTGTTGGAGACACAGGGCCTAGCCAAGAGTCACCACAAACCACCAGATTGTGAAGGAAACTATCTTAAACCAACCAGGCTCAGTCAAGGCACCAGGTGACTAAGGCCTTTTTGTGATCCAGGCAACACAAATATATCAACTACCCAGGTGAATCCACCACACCAAAATGCAGATCCACAGAACTTCAAACAAATAAAATGGTGGTTGTTTTTTATAAGCCAGTAAGGTTTAATTAGTTCCTTAAACAGCAAGTATTAACTGTTACACCTAAGTGAACAGAATTCACTTCTGTGTTTTTAACAAAATTATGTAGGGGGAGAAAATCTTAAATTACAAATCAAATACAATCAATAGAACTTCTCAATCTAATGCTAAATTTGGTGATGGACTAGGTTTAATATATCTCAGACGCGAAAAAACGAGCTAAGATTGAAGGAATGGGACTGTGGAGAGTATTTTAATCCTCTCAAGTATGACAGGTCACTCCTGTACCACAGACCACACTTTCAGACCCCTTCAAATAAGGAATATTTCCTAAGTCCTTGCCTGTTTTTCTCAGCTGAATTCACCTCAACCTTCTGAAAGTTCGTCCAAACCTTCTACTATCACCTAGTCTTTGCAAATCTTGTGCATTCTAGGGAGTAGAATTAATATTTCCTGAGCAAGGAAAACTGGGATCTTCACCTGTGACCTTTTTTCCTCCTCTGAAGCACCAGTGAGAGGTTAGACCAGACGGCTGTTCTTTCAAGTGTGCTTCTTATTCATAGGGAACCCTCCCTTTCAAACTTTCTAACACACAGTTAAGACTGAAGTACCCTTAAGGCTGACGACCATCATCTATTACGCCATCTCCCTCGCGGAATCAGTGAGTTCTTCCCTGGAAACTAGGTCTCGTATAAACTTCTGTAAATGCGACCCAGGAGGACTAGGCAGGTCACACAGTGAAGGAGGGAACCAGAAACTTCACTTGCTAAAGAGACACCAGGAAACCCAACTAATACAAACGTCAAGTTTAAGACTAGAGGCGCACGCGTTTCACACTACTCCTCTGGGAATGGGGAACGTCTCCCGAGAACTGTGTGTTAGCACTGGGACAGATGGGCAAACTGAGCGTCATGCGGGTTGGTAACCGGGTCCCTCAGCGGCAGGACAGGAGCGCAGCCTGCAGACTCCGGGCCCAGGGCCACCGGCCTCTCCTACCCGCTCCTGTGCCTCTAGAACCCGCGTCACTGCTGGGACCCCACGCCTGTCCTCCCAGCCCCCGCCAGGGTCCGCAGCCCGCACCTGCTCTTCAGGCCCTGCCCTCCCGCGATGCGCCCACGCGTCTGTTCCCACAACTAGGGAACACTGGTCCGGCCCCCTGGGATCCCCTGAGGCTCACGGGTTCCTCCTGGCCCTTGCACCAACCCACAGGGACATAGAACCAAGCCCCAAGCCGGCCCAGCTACAGGACCGCCTCTGGGTGCCACACTTCCGGAGGAAAATGGCGGAGTGGGCCGGGCGGCGCATCCGCAGAGAGAAAAGCTGGTTCCCAAGGTCCTTGATGGTAACGTCATTGGAAGGTGACACTACAATTCCCATGAGGCTTTGCGGTCCTCCTTTAGGAACCCACACCGGACATTCTGTTTTGCCCAGCAGTTGAGTCCAGTTACCCAGAGACCCGGACTTAATGTATCAGGACTGGTCCCTACCCAGTTGACACAGATGTGGCATTCTGGTTCTTTATTAAATACTGGTTTCACAGCCTGGGACATTGTGAAAATAATGAAGAAATTTCAATAGAGGCCAATTGGTCTATGCTATTAATCAGTAACTTTTTTTTTTTTTTTGAGACAGAGTCTCACTCTGTCGCCCAGGCTGGAATGCAATGGTGCGATCTTGGCTCACTGCAACCTCCGCTTCCCGGGTTCAAGTGATTCTCCTGCCTCAGCCTCCTAAGTACCTGGGATTACAGGCGCGCGCCACCACACTCGCCTAATTTTTGTATTTTTAGTAGAGACGGGTTTTCACCATGTTGGTCAGGCTGGTCTCCAACTCCTGACCTCGTGATCCGCCCTCCTCGGCCTCCCAAGGTGCTGCGATTACAAGTGTGAGCCACTGCGCCCAGCCCTCAAGTCTATTTTTTATAGATGCATTCGAAAGCATGAAAAAAATCATGTCTCTATTTTACTTTAAAATTTTAAAAACACAACTAATGAATATGGTAATTCTCTTCCAATCTGTTATCTTTTCTCTCACTAAACTAATTTGTGAGCCTTCAATTTACACAGTTAGAAAATATGCTCTAGTGCATATACTAGGATAAAATAACAGGGTCATAAGACAGGTGCACTCCATAATCTTTGTGACAACTTTCACTTCCAGTGTCTGATAAATATTTGCCCGTAGACTCCCACGTTTCATCCATCCATCCATCAATCAAATCTACCTATCTTTATTTATTTATTGTGAGAAAGACCTGAAATTTGCCTTTCCTTCCCTGATTTCTGCCACAAACTAGGCAAGGAGTTCTGCATAGGGGTTTCTCAGAGCTCTGGCTACCACCGATGTTCCTAACAGGGAAACGCAGGCTTGAATGCTCAGGGTTGATGTGGGAGTGCGTGTGAAACGGGGGTGGGGTGAAAGGGCAGTGACGTTTGTAGGTGGGCAGATGGGGGTGTTGATAGGCTTTCAGGTAAGAGGCACGCAGGAAACTGGGAGAGGCAGCGAAAGCACCTCACACCTCAGATCACCAGAAGACGCTCCCTCCAGTGCCATGACAGTTTGCCAATGCCATGTCATCACGAGAAGTCCCCACCCCTTGCCATGGAAACAGATGGAAGTTACTGCCCATTTCTAGCTATCTCTGAATAACCCGCCCCTTAATTAGCATGCCATTAAAAGTGAATTATAAAAGTGACTACAAGCCACCCCTAGGCTGCTGCTCTGGGAGCACAACCCACGGAGGGCTCCCTGCCCTGCCGGAGTGGATGCAGGGTTGTAACACCGCCAATGCCTCCGTAGAGCTGCTTTCTTCCACCAGAGGCTTGCTTTTGGATTTCTTCCTGAGCGACGCCAAGAACCTGCCCTTCCTCAGTGTGACTCTTGCCTAAAACCTATCCCTGGTATTCTCTTTTCCTAAGCATGCCCTGACTTGTTCTTTCATCTCCTCTGATCTTGCAATTGGTCCTCAGTGACTCTATTCTGCAGATCCAGAAAACTCAACCTTAATCTTCCCAGAGCCCTGTTGTCTCTAATATTGGAATCTATAGCCTTGTTTTCTCAGACGCCTAGATTACAGGCCTCTCTCTTGAACACCTATTGGTATGGTATCCGGGGATCCTTTAAATACTTGATGATTGGCAGGGGTTAAATAGCGGAAATCAGTGCCTGACAATTCACCTTCCAGGATATGGACTGTCATTCCCTCTCTTGGTGGGCCTCAGTCTCTTATCCATAAAAGTAGAGATTGTAATACTCATTTGAATTGCAGATACCTCAACCCGAACCCACCTAATATAATGTAAAAGCCAAGAATGCAACCCCTTTCCTCACCCCGTGAAGGTAAAGCCCTCAGAGCCAAGGAGAGAAGGCTCAGGGATGGTATCTGGGTGTTTCCAACGCTAACCATGTATTGTAGTTTTTAGTGTTCAAGTTTAAGCTTCCCCAGCTTTAATTCTATTGTAACAAGATTTATTTTTGTAATTCCATTTTTGGATTCTTGATTTCTTGGTAAAGAAATACAGTTATTTTTGTATACCAATCTTATACAGTGTTACATTCTTAAATTTGTTCATGAGTCCTAATACTTTTTAGTAAATTTCTTACGATTTTCTAAATGCAAGATCATGTCATCTGTACATAAAGATAACTGTACTTCTTCTTTTCCAATCTAGATGCTGTTTATTTATTTACATTGCCAAATTGTCCCAGCTACCATTGTTATCAAGTAAAAGGGTCTCACTGCCCAAAGCACAAGAAGCCGGTACCATGACACTGAGTTTTCAAGAAAAGAAAAAGTTTAAAGTCAAACCAAAACCTAGGGTAGAGGCCGGGCGCAGTGGCTCATGCCTGTAATCCCAGCACTTTGGGAGGCCAAGGCGGGCGGATGATAGGGTCAGGAGATTGAGTCCATCCTGGCTAACACGGTGAAACCCCATCTCTACTAAAAATGCAAAAAAAAAAAATTAGCCGGGCGTGAAGGCGGGCGCCTGTAGTCCCAGCTACTTGGGAGGCTGAGGCACGAGAATGGCGTGAACCCAGGAGGCGGAGCTTGCAGTGAGCCAAGATCGCGTCACTGCACTCCAGCCTGGGAAACAGAGCGAGACTCCATTTCAAAAAAAAAAAAAACCTATGGGATACAGTAAAAACAGTACTACAGTACTAAGAGGTAAGTTTATAGAAAAAAGCACCTACATCAAAAAAAGTAGAAAAGCTTCAAATAAACAACCTAATAATGCATCTTAAATAATTAGAAAAGCAAGAACAAACCAAAACCAAAATTAGTAGAAGGAAGCATAGCAAAGGTCGGAGCAGAAATAAATGAAATTGAAATTTAGCAATATAAAATATCAATGAAATGAAAAGTTAATATTTTTAAAAGACCAACAAAATCAACAAACATTTAACCAGACTAAGAAAAAAGAGAGAAGATTCCAATACATAAAACCAGAGATTGAAAAGGAGACACTATAACTGATACTGTGGAAATTCAAAGAATCGTTAGAAACTATTATGACCGACTATATTCCAATAAATTGAAAAACCTGGAAGAAATGGCTGGGCACCGTGGCTCATGCCTGTAATCCCAACACTTTGGGAAGCCAAGGCAGGTGATCACCTGAGGTCAGGAGTTCAAGACCAGCCTGGCCAACATGGTGAAACCCCATCTCTACTACAAATACAAAAATTAGCCAGGTATGGTGGCATGCACCTGTACTTCCAGCTACTCCAGAGGCTGAGGCAGGAAAATCACTTGAACCTGGGAGGCAGAGGCTGCAGTGAGCTGAGATTGTACCACGAAGCAGCCTGGGTGACAGAGCAAGATTCCATCTCAAAAAAAAAAACCTAGAAGAAATGGATAAATGAAATTGAAGCCATAATAAAACATCTCCTAGCAAAGAAAAGCCTGGATTCAATGGCTTCACTGGCTTCATGGATTAATTTTACCAAACATTGAAGGCAGAATTACTATCAATCCTACCCAAACTATTCCAAAAAACAGAGAAGGCTGTAGTATTCCAAACTCATCCTATGAAAAAGACCATTCATCACGTCTAAGTGGGATTTATCCCGATGATGCCAACATGGTTCAACATATGCAAATCACTCAATGTGACACATCATATCAACAGAATGAAGGACAAAAACCATATGATAATTTCAATTGATAATGAAAAGCATTTAATAAAATTCAACATCCCTGTGATAAAAAGAAACCCTCAAAAAAAACTAGATATAGAAGGAACATACCACAACACAATAAAAACCAAATGCAGCAGACCCACAGCCAGTATCATCCTGAACAGGGAAAAGCTGAAAGCCTTTCTTCTAAGATCTGGAACAAGACAAGAATGTCCACTTCCAACACTGTTACTCAACACAGTACTGGAAGTCCTAGCTAGAGCAATTCAGACAAGAGAAAAACAATAAAAGGGATGCACATTGGAAAGAAGTAAAATTATTAATGTTTTATTGTTTGCAGATGACTTGATCTTATATTTGGAAAAACCTAAGGACTCCACCAAAAAACTATTAGAACTGATCAACAAATTCAGAGTCACAACATACAAAATCAAGCTACAAAAGTGAGTAGCATTTCTAAATGACAAAAATGAACAATCTAAAGAAGAAAATCAAGAATGTAAACCCATTTACAATAGCTACAAATAAAATAAAATAACTGGGAATAAACATAACAGAAGAAGTGAAAGATCTCTACAATGAAAAGTATAAAATATTGATGCAAAAAAATTAAAGAGGACACAAAAAAAATGGAAAGATTGCCCATGTTCATTTATTGGAAGAGTAAATATTATTAAAATACCCATACTTCACAAAGCAATCTACAGATTCAATGCAATCCTTATTGAAATACTAATAACACACTTCACAGAAATAGAAAAAAAATCCTAAAATTTATATAAAACCATAAGAATGGAATGCAACGGAATGGAATCAACCCGAGTGGAAAGGATTGGAATGGAAAGGAATGGAATGGAATTCAATGGAATGGAATCAAATGGAAAGAAATGGAATGGAACGGAATGGAATGGAATGGAATGGAATGGAATGGAATGGAATGGAATGGATTGGAATGGAATGGAATGGAATGGAATGGAATCAACCCGAGAGGAATGGATTGGAATGGAATGGAGTTATCCCGAGTGGAATGGAATGGAATGGAATCACCCGAGTGGAATGGAATGGAAGGGAAAGCAATGGAATGGAATGGAATAGAATTAACCTGAGAGGCATGGAATGGAAAGGAATGGAATAGAATTGAATGGAATGGAATCAACCCGATTGAAATGGAATGGAATGGAATTGTACGGAATGGAATAGAATGGAATGGAATCAACTCGAGTGGAAAGGAATGGAATGGAAAAGAATGGAATTTAATAGAAAGGAATGGAATGCAATGTCATGGAATGGAGTCAACCCGAGTGGAATGCAATGGAATGGAATGGAAGGGAAAACAGGAATGGAACGGAATCGAATGAAATCAACCCTAGTGGAACAGAATGGAATGGAATGGAATGGAATGGAATGGAATGGAATGGAATGGAATGGAATGGAATCAACTGGAATGAAAGGAAATGGAATGGAATGGAATGCAATGGAATGGAATGGAATCAACCCGAGTGGAATGCAATGGAATGGAATTGAATGGAATTGAATTGAATGTAATGTAATGGAATGGAATCAACCCAAGTGGAATGGATTCGAATGGAGTGGAATGGAATGGAACAGCACGGAATGCAATGGAATCAACTAGAATGGAATGGAATGGAATGGAATGGAATGGAATGGAATGGAATGGAATGGAATGGAACAGAATCAACATGAGTGGAATGGAATGGAATGGAATGGAATGAATACAAGGGAATTTATTGGAAACTAATGGAATGGAAAGGAAACAAACCAAGTGGAATGGAATGCAATGAATTTCAATGGAATGGAATGGAATGGAACGGAATGCAATTCAACGTAATGGAAACAAACAGAGTGGAATGGAATGGAATGGAAAAGACTGGAATGTAATGGAATGGATTGGAATCAACCCGATTCCAATGCAACGGAATGGAATTGAATGGAATGGAATGGAAGGGAATGGAATGGAATGGAAGGGAATGGAATGGAATGGAAAGGAATGGAATGAACTGGAATGGAATGGAATGGAATGGAATTTAAATGAATGGAATGGAATAGAATGGAAAGGAATGGAATCAACCCGAGTGGAGTGCAATGGAAAGGAATGGAAATGAATAGAATGGAATGGAACGGAACGGAATGGAATGAACACCAGTGTAAGGGAATGGAATGGAATGGAATAGAATGGAAAGGAACGGGATAGAATGGAATGGAATGGAATGAACACGAGTGGAATGCAATGGAATGGAATGGATTGGAATGGAATGGAATAAACCCGAGTGGAATAGAATGGAATAGAATGGAGTGGTACGGAAAGGAATTCAATGGAATGGAATGGAGTGGAATGGAATGTAAATGAATTGAAAGGAATGGAATGGAGTGGAATGGAATGGGATGGAATGGAATGGAAAGGGATCAACCCGAATGGAATGGAATGGAATGGAATGGAATGCAATTGAATGGAATGGAATGGAATGGAATGGAATGCAATGGAATGGAATGGAATGGAATTAACCCGTGTGGAATGGAAAGGTATGGAATGGAATGGAATGGAATAAAATGGAACGGAATGGAATGGAATCAACCCGAGTGAAATGCAATGGAAAGGAATGGAATGGAATCAACCCGAGTGGAACGGAATGGAATGGAATGGAATGGAATCAACCCGAGTGGAATGGAGTGGAATGGAATGCAGTGGAATGGAATGGAATGGAAGGCATTGGAATCAACTGGAATGGAATGGAACGGAATGGAATGGAATAGAATGGAATCAATCTGGGTGGAATGGAATGGAATGGAATGGAGTGGAATGGAATGGAATGGAATGGAATGGAGTGGAATGGAATGGAATGGAGTGTAATGGAATGGAATGGAATGGAATGAAATGGAATGGAATGGAATGGAATCAACCCGAATGGAATGGAATGGAATGGAATGGAATGGAATGGAATGGAATGGAATGGAATGGAATGGAATGGAATCAACACAAGTGGAATGGAATGGAAAGGAATGCAATGGAATAGAATGGAATGTTATGGAATCCACCCGAGTGGAATGGTATGGAATGGAATGGAATGGAATGGAAAGGAATAAAATAGATTGGAATAGAATGGCATCAACCCGAGTGAAATGGAATGGAATGCAATGGAATGGAATGGAATGGAATGGAATGGAATCAACCCGAGTGGAACGGAATGGAGTGGAATGGAATGGAATGGAATGGAATGGAATCAACCAGAGTGGAATGGAAAGGAGTAGAATGGAATGGAATGGAATGGAATGCAATGGAATCAACTGGAATGGAATGGAACGTAATGTAAGGGAATGGAATGAATGGAATCAACATGACTGGAATGGAAAGGAATGGAATGGAATGGAAAAGAAATGAATGGAATGGAAACAACCGAGTGTAATAGAATGAAAAGGAATGGAATGGAATGGAATGGAAAGCAATGGAATTCAAAGGAATGGAATTAACTCGAGTGGAATAGAATGGAATGGAATGGAATGGAACGGAATGGAATGGATTGGAATGGAAAGAAATTCTACGGAATGGAATCAACCAGAATGGAATGGAATGGAATGGAATGGCATGGAATGGATTGGAATGGAATGGATTGGAATCAACCCGAGTCGAATGGAATGGAATGGAATGGAATGGAATGGAATGGAATGGAATGGAATGGAATGGAATGGAATCGAATGGAATCAACTGGAATGGAATGAATGGAATGGAATGGAATGGAATGGAATGGAATGGAATGGAATCAATTGGAGTGGAATGGAATGGAATGGAATGGAATGGAATGGAATGGAATGGAAAGGAATGGAATGGAATCAACCCGAATGGAATGGAATGGAATTGAATGGAATGGAATCAAATGGAAAGGAATGGAATGGAATGGAATGGAACGGATTGGAATGGAATGGAATGGAATCAACCCGAGTGGAATGGAATGGAATGGAATGCAATGGAATGGAATGGTATGGGATCAACCATAGTGGAATGGTATGGAATGAAATGGAACGGAACGGAATGGAATGGAATCAACCCGAATGGAATAGAACGGAATGGAGTGGAATGGTATGGAATGGAATGGAATAGAAAGGAATCAACCCGAAGGGTATGGAATGGAATGGAATGGAATGGAATGGAATGCAATGGAATGGAATGGAATGCAATGGAATGGAATCAACCCGAGTGGAATGCAATGGAATGAATGGAATGGAATGGAACGGAACGGAATGGAACGGAACGGAATTGAATGGAATGGAAACAACCCGAGTGGAAAGGAATGGAATGGAAAGGAATGGAATTGAATTGAATGGAATGGAATGGAATGGAATGGAATGGAATGGAATGGAATGGAATAACATGCAATCAACTTTGGTGGAATGGTATGGAATGGAATGGAATGGAGTGGAATGGAACGGAATGGAATGGAATGGAATAAAATGGCATGGAATGGAACGGAATCAACCCGAATGGAATGGAGTGGAATGGAGTGGAATCGTATGGAATGGAATGGAATGGAAAGGAATCAACCCGAAGGGTATGGAATTGAATGGAATGGAATGGAATGGAAAGTAATGGAATCAACCCGAGTGGAATGCAACGGAATGAAACGGAATGGAATGGAACGGAAAGGAACGGAACGGAACATAATTGAATGGAATGGAATCAACCCGAGTGGAAAGGAATGGAATGGATGGAATGGAATGGAATAACATGCAATCAACTTGGTGGAATGGTATGGAATGGAATGGAATGGAATAAAAGGGTATGGAATGGAACAGAATCAACCTGAATGGAATGGAACAGAATGGAGTGGAATGGTATGGAATGGAATGGAATGGAAAGGAATCAACCCGAAGGGTATGGAATGGAATGGAATGGAATGGAATGGAATGGAATGGAAGGGAATGGAATCAACCCCAGTGGAATGCAATGGAAGGAAATGGAATGGAATGGAATGGAATGGAATGGAACGGAACGGAACGGAATTGAATAGAATGGAATCAACCCAAGTGGAAAGGAACGGAATGGAATGGAATGGAATGGAATGGAATGGAATGGAATGGAATGGAATGGAATGGAATAGCATGCAGTCAACTTTGGTGGAATGGTATGGAATGGAATGGAATGGAATGAAATGGAATGGAATGGAATAAAAGGGCATGGAATGGAATGGAATCAACCCGAGAGGAATGGAATGGAATGGAATGGAAAAGAATCAAACCGAGTGGAATGGAATGGAATGGAATGGAATGGAATGGAATGGAATGGAATGGAATAACATGCAATCAAATTTGGTGGAATGGTATGGAATGGAATGGAGTGGAATGGAACGGAATGGAATGGAATGGAATAAAAGGGCATGGAATGGAACGGAATCAACCCGAATGGAATGGAGCGGAATGGAGTGGAATGGTATGGAATGGAATGGAATGGAATGGAATGGAAAGGAATCAACCCGAAGGGTATGGAATTGAATGTAGTGGAATGGAATGGAAAGTAATGGAATCAACCCGAGTGGAATGCAATGGAATGAAACGGAATGGAATGGAACGGAAAGGAATGGAACAGAACGGAACGGAATTGAATGGAATGGAATCAACCCGAGTGGAAAGGAATGGAATGGGTGGAATGGAATGGAATGGAATGGAATAACATGCAATCAACTTTGGTGGAATGGTATGGAATGGAATGGAATAACATTCAATCAACTTTGGTGGAATGATATGGAATGGAATGGAATGGAATAAAAAGGCATGGAATGGAACAGAATCAACCCGAATGGAATGGAACAGAATGGACGGGAATGGTATGGAATGGAATGGAATGGAAAGGAATCAACCCGAAGGGTATGGAATGGAATGGAATGGAATGGAATGGAAAGGAATGGAAAGGAATGGAATCAACCCCAGTGGAATGCAATGGAAGGAAATGGAATGGAATGGAATGGAATGGAACGGAACGGAACGGAACGGAATTGAATGGAATTGAATCAACCCAAGTGGAAAGGAACGGAATGAAATGGAATGGAACGGAATGGAATGGAATGGAATAGCATGCAGTCAACTTTGGTGGAATAGTATGGAATGGAATGGAATGGAATGGAATGGAATGGAATGGAATGGAATGGAATGGAATAAAAGGGCATGGAATGGAATGGAATCAACCCGAGAGGAATGGAATGGAATGGAATGGAAATGAATCAAACCGAGTAGAATGGAATTGAATGGAATGGAATGGAATGGAATGGAAACAATGCAATGCAATGGTATCAACTGGAATGGAATGCATTGGAATGGAATGGAATGGAATCACCCTGAGTGGAAAGGAATAGAATGGAATGGAATGGAAAGGAACGGAATTGAATCAACCCGAGTGGAATGGAATGGAATGGAATGGAATGGAATGGAATGGAATGGAATGGAATCAACCTGAGTAGAATGGAATGGAATGAAATGCAATAGAATGGAATGGAATGGAATGGAATGGAATGGAATGGAATGGAACAGAACGGAATGGAATGGAATGGAATTGATTGAATCCGAGTGGAACTGAAAAAAATGGAATGCATTGGAATGGAATGGAATGGATTCAACCCGAGTGGAATGTAATGAATAGGAATGGAGTGGAATGCAACGGAATGGAATGGAATGTAATGGAATGGAACGGAATGGAATGGAGTCAACCTGAATGGAATGGAATGGAATGGAATGGAATGGTATGGAATGGAATGGAATGGAAAGGTATGAACCCAAATGGAATGCAATGGAATGGAATGGAAAGGTATGAACCCAAATGGAATGCAATGGAATGGAATGAAATGGAATGGAATGGAATGGAATGGAATGGAATGGAATGGAATGGAATGGAATGGAATGGAATCACCCCGAGTGGAATGCAATGGAATGGAATGGAATGGAATGGAATGGAATGGAATGGAATGGAACGGAATGGAATGGAACAGAATGGAAAGGAATGGAATGGAATCAACCCGAGAGGAAAGGAATGGAATGGAATGAAATGGAAAGGAATGGAAAGGATTTAAATGGAATGGAATGGAATGGATTGGAATGGAAAGGAAAGGAATGAAATGCAATGGAATGGTATGGAATCAAATTTAGTGGAATGCTATGGAATGGAACGGAAGGGAATGGAATGGAATGGATTGAAATGGAATGGAATCAACCCAAGTGTAAGGGAATGTAATGGAATAGATAGGAATGGAAAGGAATGGAATGCAATGGAATCAACTGGAATGGAATACAATGGAATGGAACGGAATCAACTTGAGTGAAATGGAATGGAATGGAATGGAATGGAAACTAATGAAATGGAATGGAAACGACCCGAGTGGAATGGAATGCAATGGAATGGAATGGAATGGAATGGAATGGAATGGAATGGAATGGAATGGAATGGAATTCAACGTAATGGAAACAACCAAAGAGGAATGGCATGGAATGGAAAGACTTGAATGTAATGGAATGGATTAGAATCAACCCGATTAGAAAGTAATGGAATGCAATGGAATGGAATGGAATTTAATGGAATGGAATGGAATGGAATGGAATAGAATGGAACGGAATGGAATGGAACGGAACGGAATGGAATGGAATGGAATGGAATCAACTCGAGTGCAATGGAATGGAATGGAATGGAATAGAATGGAATGGAATGGTATGGAATGCAATGGAATGGATTTGAATGGAATGGAACGGAACGGAACGGAATGGAATGGAATGGAATGGAATGGAATGGAATGGACCCCAATGGAATGGAATGGAATGGAATGGAATGGAATGGAATGGATTGGAATGGAATGGAACGGAATTAAACAGAGTAGAATGGAATGTAACGGAATGGAGTGGAATGGAATGGAATGGAATGGAATGGAATGGAATGGAATGGAATGGAATGGAATGGAATCAACCCGAGTGGAATGGAATGGAATGGAATGGAATGGAATGGAATGGAATGGAATGGAATGGAATGGAATGGAATGGATTGGAATGGAATGGAATGTAATCAACCCGAGTGGAATGGAATGGAATGGAATGGAATGGAATGGCATGGTATCAACCCTAGTGGAATGGTATGGAATGGAATGGAATGGAACGGAATGGAATGGAATCAACCCGAATGGAAAGGAATGGAAAGGAGTGGAATGGAATGGATTGGAATGGAATGGAATGGAATCAACGCGAGTGGAATGGAATGGAATGGAATGCAATGGAATGGAATGGCATGGAATCAACCCTAGTGGAATGGTGTGGAATGGAATGGAACGGAACGGAATGGAAGGGAATCAACCCGAATGGAATGGAAAGGAATGGAGTGGAATGGTATGGAATGGAATGGAATGGAAAGGAATCAAACCGAAGGGAATGGAATGGAATGGAATGGAATGGAATGGAATGGAATGAAATCAACCCGAGTGGAATGCAATGGAATGAAACGGAATGGAATGGAATGGAACGGAATGGAATGGAACGGAATTGAATGGAATGGAAACAACCCGAGTGGAAAGGAATGGAATGGAATGGAATTGAATGGAATGGAATGGAATTGAATGGAATGGAATGGAATGGAATGGAATGGAATGGAATAACATACAATCAACTTTGGTGGAATGGTATGGAATGGAATGGAATAGAATGGAATGGAATGGAATAAAAGGGCATGGAATGGAACGGAATCAACCCGAATGGAATGGAGCGGAATGGAGTGGAATGATATGGAATGTAATGGAATGGAAAGGAATCAAACCAAAGGGTATGGAATTGAATGGAATGGAATGGAATGGAATTGAAAGGAATGGAATCAACCCGAGTGGAATGCAATGGAATGAAATGGAATGGAATGGAAACGAACGGAACGGAACGGAACGGAATTGAATGGAATGGAATCAAAACGAGTGGAAAGGAATGGAATGGAATGGAATGGAATGGAATAACATGCAATCAACTTTGGTGGAATGGTAAGGAATGGAATGGAACGCAATGGAATGGAATGGAATGGAATGGAATAAAAGGGCATGGAATGGAACAGAATCAACTCGAATGAAATGGAACGGAATGGAGTGGAATCTATGGAATGGAACGGAATGGAAAGGAATCAATCCGAAGGTTATGGAATGGAATGGAATGGAATGGAATGGAATGGAATGGAATCAACCTGAGTGGAATGCAATGGAATAAAATGGAATGGAATGGAATGGAACGGAACGGAACGGAATGGAACGGAATTGAATGGAATGTAATCAACCCGAGTGGAAAGGAATGGAATGGAATGGAATGGAATGGAATGGAATGGAATGGAATAGAATGGAATGGAATGGAATAGCATGCAGTCAACTTTGGTGGAATGGTATGGAATGGAATGGAATGGAATGGAATGGAATGGAATGGAATAAAGGGGCATGGATTGGAATGGAATCAACCCAAGAGGAATGGAATGGAATGGAATGGAATGGAATGGAATTGAATGGAACGGAAATGAATAAAACCGAGTGGAATGTAATGTAATGTAATGGAATGGAATGGAACGGAATGGAAACAATGCAATGCAATGGTATCAACTGGAATGGAATGCATTGGAATGGAATGGAATGGAATCAACCTGAGTGGAAAGGAATGGAATGGAATGGAAAGCAATGGAATTCAAAGGAATGGAATTAACTCGAGTGGAATAGAATGGAATGGAATGGAATGGAATGGAATCGAATGGTATGGAATGGATTGGAATGGAAAGAAATTCAACGGAATGGAATCAACCAGAATGGAATGGAATGGAATGGAATGGAATGGAATGGAATGGAATGGAATGGATTGGAATGGAATGGATTGGAATCAACCCGAGTCGAATGGAATGGAATGGAATGGAATGGAATGGAATGGAATGGAATGGAATCAACCCCAATGGAATGGAATGGAATGGAATAGAATGGAATCAACTCGAATGGAATGGAATGGAATGGAATGGAATGGAATGGAATGGAATGGAATGGAAAGGAATGGAATGGAATCAACCCGAATGGAATGGAATGGAATGGATTGGAATGGAATGGAATGGAATCAACCCGAGTGGAATGGAATGGAATGGAATGGAATGCAATGGAATGGAATGGTATGGGATCAACCCTAGTGGAAAGGTATGG
Source organism: Homo sapiens (assembly GCF_000001405.40). Classification (NCBI taxonomy): domain Eukaryota; kingdom Metazoa; phylum Chordata; class Mammalia; order Primates; family Hominidae; genus Homo; species Homo sapiens. The sequence continues at coordinate 49,147,240 of NC_000004.12, read as the reverse complement.
AATGCAATGGAACGGAATGGAAAGAAATGGAATCAACCTAAATGGAATAGAACGGAATGGAGTGGAATGGGATGGAATGGAATGGAATGGAAAGGAATCAACCCGAAGGGTATGGAATGGAATGGAATGGAATGGAATGGAACGGAACGGAACGGAATGGAATTGAATGGCATGGAAACAACCCGAGCGGAAAGGGATGGAATGGAATGGAATGGAATGGAATTGAATCGAATGGAATGGAATAGAATGGAATAACATGCAATCAACTTTGGTGGAATGGTATGGAATGGAATGGAATGGAATGGAAGGGAATGGAATAAAAGGACATGGAACAGAACGGAATCAACCCGAATGGATTGGAGCGGAATGGAGTGGAATGGTATGGAATGGAATGGAATGGAAAGGAATCAACCTGAAGGCTATGGAATTGAATGGAATGGAATGGAATGGAAAGAAATGGAATCAACCCGAGTGGAATGCAATGGAATGAAACGCAATGGAATGGAACGGAAAGGAATGGAACGGAACGGAATGGAATTGAATGGAATGGAATCAAACCGACTGGAAAGGAAAGGAATGGAATGGAATAGAATGGAATGGAATGGAATGGAATGGAATGGAATGGAATGGAATGGAATGGAATGGAATAGAATGGAATAACATGCAATCAACTTTGGTGGAATGGTATGGAATGGATTGGAATGGAATAAAAGCATGGAATGGAACAGAATCAACCCGAATGGAATGGAACGGAATGGAGTGGAATGGTATGCAATGGAATGGAATGGAAAGGAATCAACCCGAAGGGTATGGAATGGAATGGAATGGAATGGAATGGAATGGAATGGAATGGAATGGAATCAACCCCAGTGGAATGCAATGGAAGGAAATGGAATGGAATGGAATGGAACAAAATGGAACAGAACGGAACGGAATTGAATGGAATGGAATGTAATCAACCCAAGTGGAAAGGAACGGAATGGAATGGAATGAAATGGAATGGAATGGAATGGAATGGAATGGGATAGCATGCAATCAACTTGGTGGAATGGTATGGAATGGAATGGAATGGAATGGAATGGTATGGAATGGAATGGAATGGAATGGAATGGAATGGAATGGAATGGAATAAAAGGGCATGGAATGGAATGGAATCAACCCGAGAGGAATGGAATGGAATGGAATGGAAATGAATCAAACCAAGAGGAATGGAATGGAATGGAATGGAATGAAAACAATGCAATGCAATGGTATCAACTGGAATGGAATGAATTGGAATGGAAAGGAATGGAATCACCATGAGTGGAATGGAATGGAAAGGAATGGAATGGAATGGAAACTAATGAAACGGAATGGAAACAACCCGAGTGGAATGGAATACAATGGAATGGAATGGAATGGAATGGAATGGAATGGAATGGAATACAACAAAATGGAAACAACCCGAGTGGAATGGCATGGAATGGAAAGGATTTGAATATAATGGAATGGATTGGAATCAACCCGATTAGAAACTAATGGAATGGAATGGAATGGAATGGAATGGAATCGACCCGAGAGGAATGGAATGGAATGGAATGGAATTTAATGGAATGGAATGGAATGGAATGGAATGGAATGGAATGGAATGGAATGGAACGGAACGGAACGTAATGGAATGGAATGGAATGGAATCTACACGAGTGGAATGGAATGGAATGGAATTTAATGGAATGGAATGGAATAGAATGGTATGGAATCAACCCGAGTGGAATGGTATAGAATGGAATGGAATAGAATGGTATAGAATCAACCCGAGTGGAATGGTATAGAATGGAATGTAATGGAATGAAATGGAATGGAATAAAATGGAATGGAATGGAATGGAATGGAAACTAATGAAATGGAATGGAAACAACCCGAGTGGAATGGAATGGAATGGAATGGAATGGAATGGAATGGAATGGAATGGAATGGAATGGAATTCAATGGAATGGAAACAACACAAGAGGAATGGCATGGAATGGAAAGACTTGAATGTAATGGAATGGATTAGAATCAACCCGATTAGAAGGTTGGAATGGAATGGAATGGAATGGAATGGAATGGAATGGAATGGAATGGAATGGAATGGAATGGATTGGAAGGGAATGGAACGGAATTAACCAGAGTAGAATGGAATGTAATGGAATGGAGTGGAATGGAATGGAATGGAATGGAATGGAATGGAATCAACACGAGTGGAATGGAATGGAATGGAATGCAATGGAATGGAATGGCATGGAAACAACCCTAGTGGAATGGTATGGAATGGAACGGAACGGACCGGAATGGAATGGAATCAACCTCGAATGGAATGGAAATGGAATGGATTAGAATCAACCCGATTAGAAGGTTGGAATGGAATGGAATGGAATGGAATGGAATGGAATGGAATGGAATGGAATGTAAAGCAATGGAACGGAATGGAATGCAACGGAACGGAATGGAATGGAATGGAATGGAATCAACTCGAGTGGAATGGAATGGAATGGAATGGAACGGAATGGAATGCAACAGAACGGAATGGAATGGAATGGAATGGAATCAACTCGAGTGGAATGGAATGGAATGGAATGGAATAGAATGGAATGGAATGGTATGGAATGCAATGGAATGGAATGGAATGGAATGGAATGGAATGGAATGGAACGGAACGGAACAGAATGGAATGAAATGGAATGGACCCCAATGGAATGGAATGGAATGGAATGGAATGGAATGGAATGGAATGGAATGGAATGGAATGGATTGGAAGGGAATGGAACGGAATTAACCAGAGTAGAATGGAATGTAATGGAATGGAGTGGAATGGAATGGAATGGAATGGAATGGAATGGAATCAACACGAGTGGAATGGAATGGAATGGAATGCAATGGAATGGAATGGCATGGAAACAACCCTAGTGGAATGGTATGGAATGGAACGGAACGGACCGGAATGGAATGGAATCAACCCGAATGGAATGGAATGGAATGGAGTGGAATGGTATGGAATGGAATGGAATGGAAAGGAATCAACGCGAAGGGTATGGAATGGAATGGAATGGAATGGAATGGAATGGAATGGAATGGAATGAAATCAACCCGAGTGGAATGCAATGGAATGAAATGGAATGGAATGTAACGGAACGGAACGGAACAGAATGGAATGGAATGGAATCAACCCGAGTGGAAAGGAATGGAATGGAATGGAATTGAATGGAATGGAATGGAATGGAATGGAATGGAATGGAATGGAATGGAATGGAATAACATGCAATCAACTTTGGTGGAATGGTATGGAATGGAATGGAATAGAATGGAATGGAATGGAATAAAGGGGGATGGAATAGAACGGAATCAACCCGAATAGAATGGAGCGGAATGGAGTGGAATGATATGGAATGGAATGGAATGGAAAGGAATGGAATCAACCCGAGTGGAATGCAATGGAATGAAATGGAATGGACTGGAACGGAACGGAACGGAACGGAATGGAATTGAATGGAATGGAAACAACCCGAGTGGAAAGGAATGGAATGGAATGGAATGGAATTGAATGGAATGGAATGGAATGGAATGGAATGGAATGGAATGGAATGGAATGGAATGGAATGGAACATGCAATCAACTTTGGTGGAATGGTATGGAATGGAATGGAATGGAATGGAATAAAAGGGCATGGAATGGAACGGAATTAAACCGAATGGAATGGAGCGGAATGGAGTGGAATGGTATGGAATGGAATGGAATGGAAAGGAATCAAACCGAAGGGTATGGAATGGAATGGAATGGAATGGAAAGGAATGGAATCAACCCTAGTGGAATGCAATGGAATGAAACGCAATGGAATGGAACGGAAAGGAACGGAACGGAACGGAATTGAATGGAGTGGAATCAACCCGAGTGGAAAGGAATGGAATGGAATGGAATGGAATGGAATAACATGCAATCAACTTTGGTGGAATGGTATGGAATGGAATGGAATGGAATAAAAGGGCATGGAATGGAACAGAATCAACCCGAAAGGAATGGAACGGAATGAAGTGGAATGGTATAGAATGGAATGGATTGGAAAGGAATCAACCCGAAGGGTATGGAATGGAATGGAATGGAATGGAATGGAATGGAATGGAATCAACCCCAGTGGAATGCAATGGAATGGAATGGAATGGAATGGAATGGAACGGAACGGAACGGAAAGGAATTGAATGGAATGGAATCAACCCAAGATAAAAGGAACGGAATGGAATGGAATGGTATGGAATGGAATGAAATGGAATAGCATGCAATCAACTTTGGTGGAAAGGTATGGAATGGAATGGAATGGAATGGAATGGAATGGAATGGAATGGAATGGAATAAAAGGGCATGGAATGGAATGGAATCAACACGAGAGGAATGGAAAGGAATGGAATGGAAATGAATCAAACCGAGTGGAATGGAATGGAATGGAATGGAATGGAATGGAATGGAATGGAAACAATGCAATGCAATGGTATCAACTGGAATGGAATGAATTAGAATGGAAAGGAAAGGAATCACCATGAGTGGAATGGAATGGAAAGGAATGGAATGGAAACTAATGGAACGGAATGGAAACAACCCGAGTGGAATGGAATGAAATGGAATGGAATGGAATGGGATGGAATGGAATGGAATACAACAAAATGGAAACAAACCGAGTGGAATGGCATGGAATGGAAAGGATTTGAATATAATGGAATGGATTGGAATCAACCCGATTAGAAACTAATGGAATGGAATGGAATGGAATGGAATGGAATGGAATGGAATGGAATGGAATGGAATCTACCCGAGTGGAATGGAATGGAATGGAATTTACTGGAATGGAATGGAATAGAATGGTATGGAATCAACCCGAGTGGAATGGTATAGAATGGAATGTAATGAAACGGAATGGAATGGAATAAAATGGAATGGAATGGAATGGAAACAACCCGAGTGGAATGGAATGGAATAACCGGAGAGGAATGGAATGGAATGGAGTGGAATGGAATGGAATGGAATGGAATGGAATGGAATGGAATCAACCCGAGTGGAATGGAATGGAATGGAATAGAATGGAATGGAATAGAATGGAATGGAATGGAATCAACCCGAGTGGAATGGAATGGAATGGAATGCAATGGAATGGAATGGCATGGAATCAACCCTAGTGGAATGGTATGGAATGGAATTGAACGGACCGGAATGGAATGGAATCAACCCGAATGGAATGGAATGGAATGGAGTGGAATGGTATGGAATGGAATGGAATGGAAAGGAATCAACGCGAAGGGAATGGAATGGAATGGAATGGAATGGAATGGAATGGAATGGAATGGAATGAAATCAACCCGAGTGGAATGCAATGGAATGAAATGGAATGGAATGGAATGGAATGGAACGGAACAGAATGGAATGGAATGGAATCAACCCGAGTGGAAAGGAATGGAATGGAATGGAATTGAATGAAATGGAATGGAATGGAATGGAATAACATGCAATCAACTTTGGTGGAATGGTATGGAATGGAATGGAATAGAATGGAATGGAATGGAATAAAGGGGGATGGAATAGAACGGAATCAACCCGAATAGAATGGAGCGGAATGGAGTGGAATGATATGGAATGGAATGGAATGGAAAGGAATGGAATCAACCCGAGTGGAATGCAATGGAATGAAATGGAAGGGAATGGAACGGAACGGAACGGAACGGAATGGAATTGAATGGAATGGAAACAACCCGAGTGGAAAGGAATGGAATGGAATGGAATGGAATGGAATGGAATGGAATGGAATGGAATGGAATGGAATGGAAAGGAATGGAATGGAATGGAATGGAACATGCAATCAACTTTGGTGGAATGGTATGGAATGGAATGGATTGGAATGGAATAAAAGGGCATGGAATGGAACGGAATCAAACAGAATGGAATGGAGCGGAATGGAGTGGAATGGTATGGAATGGAATGGAATGCAAACGAATCAAACCGAAGGGTATGGAATGGAATTGAATGGAATGCAAAGGAATGGAATCAACCCTAGTGGAATGCAATGGAATGAAACGCAATGGAATGGAACGGAAAGGAACGGAACGGAATGGAACGGAATTGAATGGAGTGGAATCAACCCGAGCGGAAAGGAATGGAATGGAATGGAATGGAATAACATGCAATCAACTTTTTGGAATGGTATGGAATGGAATGGAATGGAATAAAAGGGCATGGAATGGAACAGAATCAACCCGAATGGAATGGAACGGAATGAAGTGGAATGGTATAGAATGGAATGGAATGGAAAGGAATCAACCCGAAGGGAATGGAATGGAATGGAATGGAATGGAATGGAATGGAATGGAATGGAATGGAATGGAATCAACCCCAGTGGAATGCAATGGAATGGAATGGAATGGAACGGAACGGAACGGAATGGAACGGAATTGAATGGAATGGAATCAACCCAAGAGGAAAGGAACGGAATGGAATGGAATGGAATGGAATGGAATGGAATGGAATGGAATGGAATGGAATAGCATGCAATCAACTTTGGTGGAAAGGTATGGAATGGAATGGAATGGAATGGAATGGAATGGAATGGAATGGAATGGAATGGAATGGAATCAACCCCAGTGGAATGCAATGGAATGGAATGGAATGGAATGGAACGGAACGGAACGGAACGGAACGGAACGGAATGGAATGGAATGGAATGGAATAGCATGCAATCAACTTTGGTGGAAAGGTATGGAATGGAATGGAATGGAATGGAATGGAATGGAATGGAATGGAATGGAATGGAATAAAAGGGCATGGAATGGAATGGAATCAACACGAGAGGAATGGAAAGGAATGGAATGGAAATGAATCAAACCGAGTGGAATGGAATGGAATGGAATGGAATGGAATGGAATGGAAACAATGCAATGCAATGGTATCAACTGGAATGGAATGAATTAGAATGGAAAGGAAAGGAATCACCATGAGTGGAATGGAATGGAAAGGAATGGAATGGAAACTAATGGAACGGAATGGAAACAACCCGAGTGGAATGGAATGAAATGGAATGGAATGGAATGGGATGGAATGGAATGGAATACAACAAAATGGAAACAAACCGAGTGGAATGGCATGGAATGGAAAGGATTTGAATATAATGGAATGGATTGGAATCAACCCGATTAGAAACTAATGGAATGGAATGGAATGGAATGGAATGGAATGGAATGGAATGGAATGGAATCTACCCGAGTGGAATGGAATGGAATGGAATTTACTGGAATGGAATGGAATAGAATGGTATGGAATCAACCCGAGTGGAATGGTATAGAATGGAATGTAATGAAACGGAATGGAATGGAATAAAATGGAATGGAATGGAATGGAAACAACCCGAGTGGAATGGAATGGAATAACCGGAGAGGAATGGAATGGAATGGAGTGGAATGGAATGGAATGGAATGGAATGGAATGGAATGGAATGGAATCAACCCGAGTGGAATGGAATGGAATGGAATAGAATGGAATGGAATGGAATGGAATGGAATGGAATCAACCCGAGTGGAATGGAATGGAATGGAATGCAATGGAATGGAATGGCATGGAATCAACCCTAGTGGAATGGTATGGAATGGAATGGAACGGACCGGAATGGAATGGAATCAACCCGAATGGAATGGAATGGAATGGAGTGGAATGGTATGGAATGGAATGGAATGGAAAGGAATCAACGTGAAGGGAATGGAATGGAATGGAATGGAATGGAATGGAATGGAATGGAATGGAATGAAATCAACCCGAGTGGAATGCAATGGAATGAAATGGAATGGAATGGAATGGAATGGAACGGAACAGAATGGAATGGAATGGAATCAACCCGAGTGGAAAGGAATGGAATGGAATAGAATTGAATGAAATGGAATGGAATGGAATGGAATAACATGCAATCAACTTTGGTGGAATGGTATGGAATGGAATGGAATAGAATGGAATGGAATGGAATAAAGGGGGATGGAATAGAACGGAATCAACCCGAATAGAATGGAGCGGAATGGAGTGGAATGATATGGAATGGAATGGAATGGAAAGGAATGGAATCAACCCGAGTGGAATGCAATGGAATGAAATGGAAGGGAATGGAACGGAACGGAACGGAATGGAATTGAATGGAATGGAAACAACCCGAGTGGAAAGGAATGGAATGGAATGGAATGGAATGGAATGGAATGGAATGGAATGGAATGGAATGGAATGGAATGGAAAGGAATGGAATGGAATGGAATGGAACATGCAATCAACTTTGGTGGAATGGTATGGAATGGAATGGATTGGAATGGAATAAAAGGGCATGGAATGGAACGGAATCAAACAGAATGGAATGGAGCGGAATGGAGTGGAATGGTATGGAATGGAATGGAATGGAAAGGAATCAAACCGAAGGGTATGGAATGGAATTGAATGGAATGCAAAGGAATGGAATCAACCCTAGTGGAATGCAATGGAATGAAACGCAATGGAATGGAACGGAAAGAAACGGAACGGAATGGAACGGAATTGAATGGAGTGGAATCAACCCGAGTGGAAAGGAATGGAATGGAATGGAATGGAATAACATGCAATCAACTTTTTGGAATGGTATGGAATGGAATGGAATGGAATAAAAGGGCATGGAATGGAACAGAATCAACCCGAATGGAATGGAACGGAATGAAGTGGAATGGTATAGAATGGAATGGAATGGAAAGGAATCAACCCGAAGGGTATGGAATGGAATGGAATGGAATGGAATGGAATGGAATGGAATGGAACGGAATGGAATCAACCCCAGTGGAATGCAATGGAATGGAATGGAATGGAACGGAACGGAACGGAATGGAACGGAATTGAATGGAATGGAATCAACCCAAGAGGAAAGGAACGGAATGGAATGGAATGGAATGGAATGGAATGGAATGGAATGGAATAGCATGCAATCAACTTTGGTGGAAAGATATGGAATGGAATGGAATGGAATGGAATGGAATGGAATGGAATGGAATGGAATCAACCCCAGTGGAATGCAATGGAATGGAATGGAATGGAATGGAATGGAATGGAATGGAATGGAATCAACCCCAGTGGAATGCAATGGAATGGAATGGAATGGAATGGAACGGAACGGAACGGAACAGAACGGAATGGAATGGAATGGAATGGAATGGAATGGAATAGCATGCAATCAACTTTGGTGTAAAGGTATGGAATGGAATGGAATGGAATGGAATGGAATGGAATGGAATGGAATGGAATGGAATAAAAGGGCATGGAATGGAATGGAATCAACACGAGAGGAATGGAAAGGAATGGAATGGAAATGAATCAAACCGAGTGGAATGGAATGGAATGGAATGGAATGGAATGGAATGGAATGGAATGGAAACAATGCAATGCAATGGTATCAACTGGAATGGAATGAATTAGAATGGAAAGGAAAGGAATCACCATGAGTGGAATGGAATGGAAAGGAATGGAATGGAAACTAATGGAACGGAATGGAAACAACCCGAGTGGAATGGAATGAAATGGAATGGAATGGAATGGGATGGAATGGAATGGAATACAACAAAATGGAAACAAACCGAGTGGAATGGCATGGAATGGAAAGGATTTGAATATAATGGAATGGATTGGAATCAACCCGATTAGAAACTAATGGAATGGAATGGAATGGAATGGAATGGAATGGAATGGAATGGAATCTACCCGAGTGGAATGGAATGGAATGGAATTTACTGGAATGGAATGGAATAGAATGGTATGGAATCAACCCAAGTGGAATGGTATAGAATGGAATGTAATGAAACGGAATGGAATGGAATAAAATGGAATGGAATGGAATGGAAACAACCCGAGTGGAATGGAATGGAATAACCGGAGAGGAGTGGAATGGAATGGAGTGGAATGGAATGGAATGGAATGGAATGGAATGGAATGGAATGGAATGGAATCAACCCGAGTGGAATGGAATGGAATGGAATGGAATGGAATGGAATGGAAAGGAATGGAATCAACCCGAGTGGAATGCAATGGAATGAAATGGAATGGAATGGAATGGAACGGAACGGAACGGAACGGAATTGAATGGAATGGAATCAACCCGAGTGGAATGGAATGGAATGGAATGGAATGGAATGGAATGGAATGGAATGGAATGGAATGGAAAGGAATGGAATGGAATGGAATGGAATAACATACAATCAACTTTGGTGGAATGGTATGGAATGGAATGGAATGGAATGGAACAAAAGGGCATGGAATGGAACAGAATCAACCCGAATGGAATGGAACGGAATGGAGTGGAATGGTATGGAATGGAATGGAATGGGAAGGAATCAACCCGAAGGGTATGGAATGGAATGGAATGGAATGGAATGGAATGGAATGGAATGGAATGGAATGGAATGGAATGGAATAAACCTGAGTGGAATGCAATGGAAAGAAATGGAATGGAACAGAATGGAATGGAATGGAATGGAACGGAACGGAACGGAATGGAATTGAATGGAATGGAATCAACCCAAGTGGAATGGAATGGAATGGAATGGAATGGAGTGGAATGGAATGGAATGGAATAGAATGGAATGGAATAGCATGCAATCAACTTTGTAGGAATGGTATGGAATGGAATGGAATGGAATGGAATGGAATGGAATGGAATGGAATGGAATGGAATAAAAGGGCATGGAATGGAATGGAATCAACCCGAGACGAATGGAATGGAATGGAATGGAATGGAATGGAATGGAATTGAATGGAATGGAAATGAATCAAACCGAGTGGAATGTAATGGAATGGAATAGAAAGGAATGGAATGGAAACAATGCAATGCAATGGTATCAGCTGGAATGGAATGCATTGGAATGGAAAGGAATTGAATCACCCTGAGTGGAAAGGAATGGAATGGAATGGAATGGAATGGAATACAATAAAATGGAAACAACCCGAGTGGAATGGCATGGAATGGAAAGGACTTGAATATAATGGAATGGATTGGAATCACCCGATTAGAAACTAATGGAATGGAATGGAATGGAATGGAATGGAATGGAATGGAATGGAATGGAATGGAATCTACCCAAGTGGAATGGAATGGAATGGAATTTAATGGAATGGAATGGAACGGAATGGAATGGAATGGAATGGAATGGAATGGAATGGAATGGAACAGAATGGTATGGAATCAACCCGAGTGGAATGGTATAGAATGTAATGTAATGGAATGGAACGGAATAAAATGGAATGGAATGGAATGGAAACAACCCGAGTGGAATGGAATGGAATGGAATGGAATAACCGGAGAGGAATGGAATGGAATGGAGTGGAATGGAATGGAATAGAATGGAATGGAATGGAATGGATTAGAATGAAATGGAAAGGAATGGAATGGAAACAAACCGAGTGGAATGGAATGGTATGGAATGGAATGGAATAATATGCAATCAACTTTGGTGGAATGGTATGGAATGGAATGGAATGGAATGGAATGGAATGGAATGGAATGGAATGAAAGGGCATGGAATGGAATGGAATCAACCAGAATGGAATGGAGCGGAATGGAGTGGAATGATATGGAATGACATGGAATGGAAGGGAATCAACCCGAAGGGTATGGAATGGAATGGAATGGAATGGAACGGAACGGAACGGAATTGAATGGAATGGAATCAACCCGAGTGGAAAAGGAATGGAAGGGAATGGAATGGAATGGAATAGAATGGAATGGAATAACATGCAATCAACTTTGGTGGAATGGTATGGAATGGAATGGAACGGAATGGAATGGAATGGAATGGAATAAAAGTGCAAGGAATGGAACGGAATCAACCCGAATAGAATAGAAGGGAATGGAGTGGTATGGTATGGAATGGAATGGAATGGAAAGGAATCAACTCGAAGGGAATGGAATGGAATGGAATGGAATGGAATGGAATGGAATGGAATGGAATGGAATCATCCCGAGTGGAATGCAATGGAATGAAATGGAATGGAATGGAACGGAACAGAGAGGAACGGAACGGAATTGAATTGAATGGAATGAACCCGAGTGGAAAGGAATGGAATGGAATGGAATGGAATGGAATGGAATGGAATGCAGTGGAATGGAATAACATGCAGTCAACTTTGGTGGAATGGTATGGAATGGAATGGAATGGAATGGAATAAAAGGGCATGGAATGGAACAGAGTCAACCCGAATGGAATGGAACAGAATGGAGTGGAATGGTATGGAATGTAATGAAATGGAAAGGAATCAACCCGAAGGGTATGGAATGGAATGGAATGCAATGGAATGGAATGGAATGGAATGGAATGGAATGGAATGGAATGGAATGGAATGGAAAGGAATGGAATCAACCCGAGTGGAATACAATGGAATGAAATGGAATGGAATGGAAAGGAATGGAACGGAATTGAAAGGAATGGAATCAACCCGAGTGGAATGGAATGGAATGGAATGGAATGGAATGGAATGGAATGGAATGGAATGGAATGGAATAACATGCAATCAACTTTGGTAGAATGGTATGGAATGGAATGGAATGGAATGGAATGGAATGGAATGGAATTGAATAGAATGGAATAAAAGGGCATGGAATGGAACCAAATCAACCCGAATGGAATGGAACGGAATGGAGTGGATTGGTATGGAATGGAATGGAATGGAAAGGAATCAATCCGAAGGGAATGAAATGGAATGGAATGGAATGGAATGGAATGGAATGGAATGGAATGGAATGGAATGGAATCAACCCGAGTGGAATGCAATGGAATGAAATGTAATGAAATGGAATGGCACGGAACGGGACAGAACGGAACGGAATTGAATGGAATGGAATCAACCCAAGTGGAAAGGAATGGAACGGAATGGAATGGAATAGCATGCAATCAAATTTGGTGGAATGGTATGGAATGGAATGGAATGGAATGGAATGGAATGGAATGGAATGGAATGGAAATGAATCAAATCAAGTGGAATGGAATGGAATGGAATTTAATGGAATGGAATGGAAACAATGCAATTCAATGGTATCAACTGGAATGGAATGCATTGGAATGGAATGGAATGGAATCAACCCGAGTCGAATGGAATGGAATGGAATGCAATGAAATGGAATGGTATGGAATCAACCCTAGTGGAATGGTATGGAATGGAATGGAACGGAACGGAATGGAATGTAATCAACCCGAATGGAATGGAATGGAGTGGAATGGTATGGAATAGAATGGAATGGAAAGGAATCAACCCGAAGGGTATGGAATGGAATGGAATGGAATGGAATGGAATGGAATGGTATGGAATCAACCCGAGTGGAATGCAATGGAATGAAATGCAATGCAATGGAACGGAATGGAACGGAATGGAATGGAACGGAATTGAATGTAATGGAATCAACCCGAGTGGAAAGGAATGGAATGGAATGGAATTGAATGGAATGAAATGGAATGGAATGGAATAACATGCAATCAACTTTGGTGGAATGGTATGGAATGGAATGGAATGGAATGGAATGGAATGGAATGGAATGGAATGGAATGGAATAAAAGGGCATGGAATGGAACGGAATCAACCCGAATGGAATGGAGCGGAATGGAGTGGAATGATATTTAATGGAATGGAAAGGAATCAACCCGAACGGTATGGAATTGAATGGAATGGAATGGAATGGAAAGGAATGGAATGAACTCGAGTGGAATGCAATGGAATGAAATGGAATGGAATGGAATGGAATGGAACGGAACAGAACGGAATTGAATAGAATGGAATCAACTCGAGTGGAATGGAATGGAATGGAATGGAATGGAATGGAATGGAATGGAATGGAATAACATGCAATCAACTTCGGTGGAATGGTATGGAATGGAATGGAATGGAATGGAATGGAATGGAATGGAATGGAATAACATGCAATCAACTTTGGTGGAATGGTATGGAATGGAATGGAATGGAATGGAATGGAATAAAAGGGCATGGAATGGAACAGAATCAACCCGAATGGAATGGAACGGAATGGAGTGGAATTGTATGGAATGGAATGGAATGGAAACGAATCAACCCGAAGTGTATGGAATGGAATGGAATGGAATGGAATGGAATCAACCCGAGTGGAAAACAATGGAATGAAATGGAATGGAATGGAATGGAATGGAACGGAACGGAACGGAATTGAATGGAATGGAATCAACCCAAGTGGAAAGGAATGGAATGGAATGGAATGGAATGGAATGGAATGGAATGGAATGGAATGGAATAGAATGGAATGCTATGGAATGGAATAGCATGCAATCAACTTTGGTGGAATGGTGTGGAATGGAATGGAATGGAATGGAATGGAATGGAATGGAATGGAATGGAATAAAGGGGCGTGGAATGGAATGGAATCAACCCGAGAGGAATGAAATGGAATGGAATGGAATGGCAATGAATAAAACGGAGTGGAATGGAATGGAATGGAATGGAATGGAATGGATTGGAATGGAATGGAAACAACGCAATGCAATGGTATCAACTGGAATGGAATGCATTGGAATGGAATGGAATGGAATCACCCTGAGTGGAAAGGAATAGAATGGAATGGAATGGAAAGGAATGGAATGGAATGGAAACTAATGGAAAGGAATGGAAACAACCCGAGTGGAATGGAATACAATGGAATGGAATGCAATGGAATGGAATGGAATGCAATGGAATGGAATGCAATGGAATGGAATGGAATGGAATGGAATGGAATGGAATGGAATACAACAAAATGGAAACAACCCGAGTGGAATGGCATGGAATGGAAAGGACTTGAATATAATGGAATGGATTGGAATCAACCCGATTAGAAACTAATGGAATGGAATGGAATGGAATGGAATCTACCCGAGTGGAATGGAATGGAATGGAATTTAATGGAATGGAATGGAATGGAATGGAATGGAATGGAATGGAATGGAATGGAATGCAGTGGAACGGAATGGAATGGAATATAATGGAATCTACCCGAGTGGAATGGAATGGAATGGAATTTATTGGAGTGGAATGGAATAGATTGGTATGGAATCAACCTGAGTGGAATGGTATAGAACGGAATGTAATGGAACGGAATGGAATGGAATAAAATGGAATCGAATGGAATGGAAACAACCCGAGTGGAATGGAATGCAATGGAATGGAATAACCGGAGAGGAATGGAATGGAATGGAGTGGAATCGAATGGAATAGAATGGAATGGAATGGAATGGAATGGAATGAAATGGAAAGGAATGCAATGGAAACAACCCGAGTGGAATGGAATGGAATGGAATGGAATGGAATGGAATGGAATGGCACGGAAACAATGCAATGCAATGGTATCAACTGGAATGGAATGCATTGGAATGGAATGGAATGGAATCACCCTGAGTGGAAAGGAATGGAATGGAATGGAATGGAAACGAATGGAATGGAATGGAAACTAATGGAACGGAATGGAAACAACCCGAGTGGAATGGAATGCAATGGAATGGAATGGAAAGGAATGGAATGGAATGGAATGGAATGGAATGGAATGGAATGGAATGGAATGGAATACAACAAAAGGGAAACAACCCGAGTGGAATGGCATGGAATGGAAAGGACTTGAATAGAATGGAATGGATTGGAATCAACCCGATTAGAAACTAACGAAATGGAATGGAATGGAATCTACCCGAGTGGAATGGAATGGAATGGAATGGAACATGCAATCAACTTTGGTGGAATGGTATGGAATGGAATGGATTGGAATGGAATAAAAGGGCATGGAATGGAACGGAATCAAACAGAATGGAATGGAGCGGAATGGAGTGGAATGGTATGGAATGGAATGGAATGGAAAGGAATCAAACCGAAGGGTATGGAATGGAATTGAATGGAATGCAAAGGAATGGAATCAACCCTAGTGGAATGCAATGGAATGAAACGCAATGGAATGGAACGGAAAGAAACGGAACGGAATGGAACGGAATTGAATGGAGTGGAATCAACCCGAGTGGAAAGGAATGGAATGGAATGGAATGGAATAACATGCAATCAACTTTTTGGAATGGTATGGAATGGAATGGAATGGAATAAAAGGGCATGGAATGGAACAGAATCAACCCGAATGGAATGGAACGGAATGAAGTGGAATGGTATAGAATGGAATGGAATGGAAAGGAATCAACCCGAAGGGTATGGAATGGAATGGAATGGAATGGAATGGAATGGAATGGAATGGAACGGAATGGAATCAACCCCAGTGGAATGCAATGGAATGGAATGGAATGGAATGGAACGGAACGGAATGGAATGGAATGCAATGGAATGGAATCTACCTGAGTGGAATGGAATGGAATGGAATAAAATGGAATGGAATGGAATGGAAACAACTCGAGTGGAATGGAATGGAATGGAATGGAATAACCAGAGAGGAATGGAATGGAATGGAGTGGAATGGAATGAAATAGAATGGAATGGAATGGAATGGAATGGAATGGAATGGAATGGAATGGAATAGAATGAAATGGAAAGGAATGGAATGGAAACAACCCGAGTGGAATGGAATGGAATGGAATGGAATGGAATGGAATGGAATGGAATGGAATAAAAGGGCATGGAATGGAACGGAATCAACCCGAATGGAATGGAGCGGAATGGAGTGGAATGGCATGGAATGGAATGGAATGGAAAGGAATCAACCTGAAGGGTATGGAATGGAATGGAATGGAATGGAATGGAATGGAATGGAATGGAATCAACCCGAGTGGAATGCAATGGAATGAAATGGAATGGAATGGAACGGAACGGAACGGAATTGAATGGAATGGAATCAACCCGAGTGGAAAGGAATGGAATGGAATGGAATGGAATAACATGCAATCAATTTTGGTGGAATGGTATGGAATGGAATGGAGTGGAAAGGAATGGAATAAAAGGGCATGGAATGGAATGGAATCAACACAAATGGAATGGAGCGGAATAGAGTGGAATGGTATGGAATGGAATGGAATGGAAAGGAATCAACCCGAAGGGTATGGAATGGAATGGAATGGAATGGAATGGAATGGAATGGAATGGAATGGAATGGAAAGGAATGGAATCAACCCGAGTGGAATGCAATGGAATGAAATGGAATGGAATGGAATGGAACGGAACGGAACGGAACGGAATTGAATGGAATGGAATCAACCCGAGTGGAATGGAATGGAATGGAATGGAATGGAATGGAATGGAATGGAATGGAAAGGAATGGAATGGAATGGAATGGAATAACATACAATCAACTTTGGTGGAATGGTATGGAATGGAATGGAATGGAATGGAACAAAAGGGCATGGAATGGAACAGAATCAACCCGAATGGAATGGAACGGAATGGAGTGGAATGGTATGGAATGGAATGGAATGGGAAGGAATCAACCCGAAGGGTATGGAATGGAATGGAATGGAATGGAATGGAATGGAATGGAATGGAATAAACCTGAGTGGAATGCAATGGAATGAAATGGAATGGAACAGAATGGAATGGAATGGAACGGAACGGAACGGAATGGAATTGAATGGAATGGAATCAACCCAAGTGGAATGGAATGGAATGGAATGGAATGGAATGGAATGGAATGGAATGGAATGGAATGGAGTGGAATGGAATGGAATGGAATAGAATGGAATGGAATAGCATGCAATCAACTGTGTTGGAATGGTATGGAATGGAATGGAATGGAATGGAATGGAATGGAATGGAGTGGAATGGGATGGAATAAAAGGGCATGGAATGGAATGGAATGGAATCAACCCGAGACGAATGGAATGGAATGGAATTGAATGGAATGGAAATGAATCAAACCGAGTGGAATGTAATGTAATGGAATAGAAAGGAATGGAATGGAAACAATGCAATGCAATGGTATCAGCTGGAATGGAATGCATTGGAATGGAATGGAATTGAATCACCCTGAGTGGAAAGGAATGGAATGGAATGGAATGGAATGGAATGGAATGGAATGGAATCGAAAGGAATGGAATGGAATGGAAACTAATGGAACGGAATGGAAACAACCAGAGTGGAATGGAATGCAATGGAATGGAATGGAATGGAATGGAATGGAATGGAATGGAATGGAATGGAATGGAATGGAATACAACAAAATGGAAACAACCCGAGTGGAATGGCATGGAATGGAAAGGACTTGAATATCATGGAATGGATTGGAATCACCCGATTAGAAACTAATAGAATGGAATGGAATGGAATGGAATGGAATGGAATGGAATGGAATGGAATGGAATACAACAAAATGGAAACAACCCGAGTGGAATGGCATGGAATGGAAAGGACTTGAATATAATGGAATGGATTGGAATCACCCGATTAGAAACTAATGGAATGGAATGGAATGGAATGGAATGGAATGGAATGGAATGGAATGGAATAAACCTGAGTGGAATGCAATGGAAAGAAATGGAATGGAACAGAATGGAATGGAATGGAATGGAACGGAACGGAACGGAATGGAATTGAATGGAATGGAATCAACCCAAGTGGAATGGAATGGAATGGAATGGAATGGAGTGGAATGGAATGGAATGGAATAGAATGGAATGGAATAGCATGCAATCAACTTTGTAGGAATGGTATGGAATGGAATGGAATGGAATGGAATGGAATGGAATGGAATGGAATGGAATAAAAGGGCATGGAATGGAATGGAATCAACCCGAGACGAATGGAATGGAATGGAATGGAATGGAATGGAATTGAATGGAATGGAAATGAATCAAACCGAGTGGAATGTAATGGAATGGAATAGAAAGGAATGGAATGGAAACAATGCAATGCAATGGTATCAGCTGGAATGGAATGCATTGGAATGGAAAGGAATTGAATCACCCTGAGTGGAAAGGAATGGTATGGAATGGAATGGAATAACATGCAATCAACTTTGGTGGAATGGTATGGAATGGAATGGAATGGAATGGAATGGAATGGAATGGAATGGAATGGAATGGAACAGAATGGTATGGAATCAACCCGAGTGGAATGGTATAGAATGTAATGTAATGGAATGGAACGGAATAAAATGGAATGGAATGGAATGGAAACAACCCGAGTGGAATGGAATGGAATGGAATGGAATAACCGGAGAGGAATGGAATGGAATGGAGTGGAATGGAATGGAATAGAATGGAATGGAATGGAATGGATTAGAATGAAATGGAAAGGAATGGAATGGAAACAAACCGAGTGGAATGGAATGGTATGGAATGGAATGGAATAATATGCAATCAACTTTGGTGGAATGGTATGGAATGGAATGGAATGGAATGGAATGGAATGGAATGGAATGAAAGGGCATGGAATGGAATGGAATCAACCAGAATGGAATGGAGCGGAATGGAGTGGAATGATATGGAATGACATGGAATGGAAGGGAATCAACCCGAAGGGTATGGAATGGAATGGAATGGAATGGAACGGAACGGAACGGAATTGAATGGAATGGAATCAACCCGAGTGGAAAAGGAATGGAAGGGAATGGAATGGAATGGAATAGAATGGAATGGAATAACATGCAATCAACTTTGGTGGAATGGTATGGAATGGAATGGAACGGAATGGAATGGAATGGAATGGAATAAAAGTGCAAGGAATGGAACGGAATCAACCCGAATAGAATAGAAGGGAATGGAGTGGTATGGTATGGAATGGAATGGAATGGAAAGGAATCAACTCGAAGGGAATGGAATGGAATGGAATGGAATGGAATGGAATGGAATGGAATCATCCCGAGTGGAATGCAATGGAATGAAATGGAATGGAATGGAACGGAACAGAGAGGAACGGAACGGAATTGAATTGAATGGAATGAACCCGAGTGGAAAGGAATGGAATGGAATGGAATGGAATGGAATGGAATGGAATGGAATGGAATGGAATGGAGTGGAATGGAATAACATGCAGTCAACTTTGGTGGAATGGTATGGAATGGAATGGAATGGAATGGAATAAAAGGGCATGGAATGGAACAGAGTCAACCCGAATGGAATGGAACAGAATGGAGTGGAATGGTATGGAATGTAATGAAATGGAAAGGAATCAACCCGAAGGGTATGGAATGGAATGGAATGCAATGGAATGGAATGGAATGGAATGGAATGGAATGGAATGGAATGGAATGGAATGGAAAGGAATGGAATCAACCCGAGTGGAATACAATGGAATGAAATGGAATGGAATGGAAAGGAATGGAACGGAATTGAAAGGAATGGAATCAACCCGAGTGGAATGGAATGGAATGGAATGGAATGGAATGGAATGGAATGGAATGGAATGGAATGGAATAACATGCAATCAACTTTGGTAGAATGGTATGGAATGGAATGGAATGGAATGGAATGGAATGGAATGGAATGGAATAGAATGGAATAAAAGGGCATGGAATGGAACCAAATCAACCCGAATGGAATGGAACGGAATGGAGTGGATTGGTATGGAATGGAATGGAATGGAAAGGAATCAATCCGAAGGGAATGGAATGGAATGGAATGGAATGGAATGGAATGGAATGGAATGGAATGGAATGGAATGGAATCAACCCGAGTGGAATGCAATGGAATGAAATGTAATGAAATGGAATGGCACGGAACGGGACAGAACGGAACGGAATTGAATGGAATGGAATCAACCCAAGTGGAAAGGAATGGAACGGAATGGAATGGAATAGCATGCAATCAAATTTGGTGGAATGGTATGGAATGGAATGGAATGGAATGGAATGGAATGGAATGGAATGGAAATGAATCAAATCAAGTGGAATGGAATGGAATGGAAACAATGCAATTCAATGGTATCAACTGGAATGGAATGCATTGGAATGGAATGGAATGGAATGGAATCAACCCGAGTCGAATGGAATGGAATGGAATGCAATGAAATGGAATGGTATGGAATCAACCCTAGTGGAATGGTATGGAATGGAATGGAACGGAACGGAATGGAATGTAATCAACCCGAATGGAATGGAATGGAGTGGAATGGTATGGAATAGAATGGAATGGAAAGGAATCAACCCGAAGGGTATGGAATGGAATGGAATGGAATGGAATGGAATGGAATGGTATGGAATCAACCCGAGTGGAATGCAATGGAATGAAATGCAATGCAATGGAACGGAATGGAACGGAATGGAATGGAACGGAATTGAATGTAATGGAATCAACCCGAGTGGAAAGGAATGGAATGGAATGGAATTGAATGGAATGAAATGGAATGGAATGGAATAACATGCAATCAACTTTGGTGGAATGGTATGGAATGGAATGGAATGGAATGGAATGGAATGGAATGGAATGGAATAAAAGGGCATGGAATGGAACGGAATCAACCCGAATGGAATGGAGCGGAATGGAGTGGAATGATATTTAATGGAATGGAAAGGAATCAACCCGAACGGTATGGAATTGAATGGAATGGAATGGAATGGAAAGGAATGGAATGAACTCGAGTGGAATGCAATGGAATGAAATGGAATGGAATGGAATGGAATGGAACGGAACAGAACGGAATTGAATAGAATGGAATCAACTCGAGTGGAATGGAATGGAATGGAATGGAATGGAATGGAATGGAATGGAATGGAATAACATGCAATCAACTTCGGTGGAATGGTATGGAATGGAATGGAATGGAATGGAATGGAATGGAATGGAATGGAATAACATGCAATCAACTTTGGTGGAATGGTATGGAATGGAATGGAATGGAATGGAATGGAATAAAAGGGCATGGAATGGAACAGAATCAACCCGAATGGAATGGAACGGAATGGAGTGGAATTGTATGGAATGGAATGGAATGGAAACGAATCAACCCGAAGTGTATGGAATGGAATGGAATGGAATGGAATGGAATCAACCCGAGTGGAAAACAATGGAATGAAATGGAATGGAATGGAATGGAATGGAACGGAACGGAACGGAATTGAATGGAATGGAATCAACCCAAGTGGAAAGGAATGGAATGGAATGGAATGGAATGGAATGGAATGGAATGGAATGGAATAGAATGGAATGCTATGGAATGGAATAGCATGCAATCAACTTTGGTGGAATGGTGTGGAATGGAATGGAATGGAATGGAATGGAATGGAATGGAATAAAGGGGCGTGGAATGGAATGGAATCAACCCGAGAGGAATGAAATGGAATGGAATGGAATGGCAATGAATAAAACGGAGTGGAATGGAATGGAATGGAATGGAATGGAATGGATTGGAATGGAATGGAAACAACGCAATGCAATGGTATCAACTGGAATGGAATGCATTGGAATGGAATGGAATGGAATCACCCTGAGTGGAAAGGAATAGAATGGAATGGAATGGAAAGGAATGGAATGGAATGGAAACTAATGGAAAGGAATGGAAACAACCCGAGTGGAATGGAATACAATGGAATGGAATGCAATGCAATGGAATGGAATGCAATGGAATGGAATGCAATGGAATGGAATGGAATGGAATGGAATGGAATGGAATGGAATACAACAAAATGGAAACAACCCGAGTGGAATGGCATGGAATGGAAAGGACTTGAATATAATGGAATGGATTGGAATCAACCCGATTAGAAACTAATGGAATGGAATGGAATGGAATGGAATCTACCCGAGTGGAATGGAATGGAATGGAATTTAATGGAATGGAATGGAATGGAATGGAATGGAATGGAATGGAATGGAATGGAATGGAATGCAGTGGAACGGAATGGAATGGAATATAATGGAATCTACCCGAGTGGAATGGAATGGAATGGAATTTATTGGAGTGGAATGGAATAGATTGGTATGGAATCAACCTGAGTGGAATGGTATAGAACGGAATGTAATGGAACGGAATGGAATGGAATAAAATGGAATCGAATGGAATGGAAACAACCCGAGTGGAATGGAATGCAATGGAATGGAATAACCGGAGAGGAATGGAATGGAATGGAGTGGAATCGAATGGAATAGAATGGAATGGAATGGAATGGAATGGAATGAAATGGAAAGGAATGCAATGGAAACAACCCGAGTGGAATGGAATGGAATGGAATGGAATGGAATGGAATGGAATGGCACGGAAACAATGCAATGCAATGGTATCAACTGGAATGGAATGCATTGGAATGGAATGGAATGGAATCACCCTGAGTGGAAAGGAATGGAATGGAATGGAATGGAAACGAATGGAATGGAATGGAAACTAATGGAACGGAATGGAAACCACCCGAATGGAATGGAATGCAATGGAATGGAATGGAAAGGAATGGAATGGAATGGAATGGAATGGAATGGAATGGAATGGAATGGAATGGAATGGAATGGAATACAACTGAAGGGAAACGACCCGAGTGGAATGGCATGGAATGGAAAGGACTTGAATAGAATGGAATGGATTGGAATCAACCCGATTAGAAACTAACGAAATGGAATGGAATGGAATCTACCCGAGTGGAATGGAATGGAATGGAATTTAATGGAATGGAATGGAATGGAATGGAATGGAATGGAATGGAACGGAACGGAATGGAATGGAATGCAATGGAATGGAATCTACCTGAGTGGAATGGAATGGAATGGAATAAAATGGAATGGAATGGAATGGAAACAACTCGAGTGGAATGGAATGGAATGGAATGGAATAACCAGAGAGGAATGGAATGGAATGGAGTGGAATGGAATGAAATAGAATGGAATGGAATGGAATGGAATGGAATGGAATGGAATGGAATGGAATGGAATGGAATAGAATGAAATGGAAAGGAATGGAATGGAAACAACCCGAGTGGAATGGAATGGAATGGAATGGAATGGAATGGAATGGAATGGAATGGAATGGAATGGAATGGAATAAAAGGGCATGGAATGGAACGGAATCAACCCGAATGGAATGGAGCGGAATGGAGTGGAATGGCATGGAATGGAATGGAATGGAAAGGAATCAACCTGAAGGGTATGGAATGGAATGGAATGGAATGGAATGGAATGGAATGGAATGGAATGGAATGGAATCAACCCGAGTGGAATGCAATGGAATGAAATGGAATGGAATGGAACGGAACGGAACGGAATTGAATGGAATGGAATCAACCCGAGTGGAAAGGAATGGAATGGAATGGAATGGAATAACATGCAATCAATTTTGGTGGAATGGTATGGAATGGAATGGAGTGGAAAGGAATGGAATAAAAGGGCATGGAATGGAATGGAATCAACCCAAATGGAATGGAGCGGAATAGAGTGGAATGGTATGGAATGGAATGGAATGGAAAGGAATCAACCCGAAGGGTATGGAATGGAATGGAATGGAATGGAATGGAATGGAATGGAATGGAAAGGAATGGAATCAACCCGAGTGGAATGCAATGGAATGAAATGGAATGGAATGGAATGGAACGGAACGGAACGGAACGGAATTGAATGGAATGGAATCAACCCGAGTGGAATGGAATGGAATGGAATGGAATGGAATGGAATGGAATGGAATGGAATGGAATGGAAAGGAATGGAATGGAATGGAATGGAATAACATACAATCAACTTTGGTGGAATGGTATGGAATGGAATGGAATGGAATGGAACAAAAGGGCATGGAATGGAACAGAATCAACCCGAATGGAATGGAACGGAATGGAGTGGAATGGTATGGAATGGAATGGAATGGGAAGGAATCAACCCGAAGGGTATGGAATGGAATGGAATGGAATGGAATGGAATGGAATGGAATGGAATAAACCTGAGTGGAATGCAATGGAATGAAATGGAATGGAACAGAATGGAATGGAATGGAACGGAACGGAACGGAATGGAATTGAATGGAATGGAATCAACCCAAGTGGAATGGAATGGAATGGAATGGAATGGAATGGAATGGAATGGAATGGAATGGAATGGAGTGGAATGGAATGGAATGGAATAGAATGGAATGGAATAGCATGCAATCAACTGTGTTGGAATGGTATGGAATGGAATGGAATGGAATGGAATGGAATGGAATGGAGTGGAATGGGATGGAATAAAAGGGCATGGAATGGAATGGAATCAACCCGAGACGAATGGAATGGAATGGAATTGAATGGAATGGAAATGAATCAAACCGAGTGGAATGTAATGTAATGGAA
This sequence comes from Homo sapiens, assembly GCF_000001405.40. Classification (NCBI taxonomy): domain Eukaryota; kingdom Metazoa; phylum Chordata; class Mammalia; order Primates; family Hominidae; genus Homo; species Homo sapiens. Next base: position 49,122,057 of record NC_000004.12, on the reverse strand, counting down.
TAGAAAGGAATGGAATGGAAACAATGCAATGCAATGGTATCAGCTGGAATGGAATGCATTGGAATGGAATGGAATTGAATCACCCTGAGTGGAAAGGAATGGAATGGAATGGAATGGAATGGAATGGAATGGAATGGAATGGAATCGAAAGGAATGGAATGGAATGGAAACTAATGGAACGGAATGGAAACAACCAGAGTGGAATGGAATGCAATGGAATGGAATGGAATGGAATGGAATGGAATGGAATGGAATGGAATGGAATGGAATGGAATACAACAAAATGGAAACAACCCGAGTGGAATGGCATGGAATGGAAAGGACTTGAATATCATGGAATGGATTGGAATCACCCGATTAGAAACTAATAGAATGGAATGGAATGGAATGGAATGGAATGGAATGGAATGGAATGGAATGGAATACAACAAAATGGAAACAACCCGAGTGGAATGGCATGGAATGGAAAGGACTTGAATATAATGGAATGGATTGGAATCACCCGATTAGAAACTAATGGAATGGAATGGAATGGAATGGAATGGAATGGAATGGAATGGAATGGAATCTACCCAAGTGGAATGGAATGGAATGGAATTTAATGGAATAGAATGGAACGGAATGGAATGGAACAGAATGGTATGGAATCAACCCGAGTGGAATGGTATAGAATGTAATGTAATGGAACGGAACGGAATAAAATGGAATGGAATGGAATGGAAACAACCCGAGTGGAATGGAATGGAATGGAATGGAATAACCGGAGAGGAATGGAATGGAATGGAGTGGAATGGAATGGAATAGAATGGAATGGAATGGAATGGATTAGAATGAAATGGAAAGGAATGGAATGGAAACAAACCGAGTGGAATGGAATGGAATGGAATGGAATGGAATGGAATGGAATGGAATGGAATCAACCCGAGTGGAATGGAATGGAACGGAATATAATGGAATGGAATGGAATCATCCCGAGTGGAATGGAATGGTATGGAAAGCAATAGAATGGAATGGAACAGAACGGAATGAAATGGAATGGAATAGATTGAATGCGAGTGGAATTGAATGGAATGGAATGGATTGGAATGGAATGGAATGGATTGGAGTGGAATGGAATGGAATCAACACGAATGGAATGGAACGGAAAGGAATGGAATGGAAAGGAACGGAATGGAATCAACCCGAGTGGAATGGAATGGAATGGAACAGAATTGAATCCAATGGAATCAACTGGAATGGAATGGAATAGAATCAATCTCGGTTGAATTGAATGTAATGTAATGGAGTGGAATGGAATGGAAAGAAGTGGAATGGAATGGAATGGAATGGAATGGAATGGAATGGAATAGAATGGAATGGAATGGTATAGAATCAACCCGAATGGAATGGAACGGAATGGAATGGAATGGAAAGGAAGAGAATAGAATGGAATCAACCCGAATGGGATGGAATGGAATGGAATGGAATGGAATGGAATGGAATGGAATGGAATGGAATGGAATCAACCGGAGTGGAGTGGAACGGAATGGATTGGAATGGAATGGAATGGAATGGAATGGAATGGAATGAAATGGAAAGGAACGGAATGGAATCAAACCGAGTGGAATGGAATGGAATGGAATGGAATGGAATGGAATGGAATGGAATGGAATGGAATCCACCTGAGTGGAATGGAATTGAACAGAATATAATGGAATTGAAAGGAATCATCCCGAGTGGAATGGAATGGTATCTAATGCAATGGACTGCAATGGAACAGAACGGAATGGAATGGAAAGAATAGATTGAATCCAGGTGGAATTGAATGGAATGGAATGGATTGGAAAGGAATGGAATGGATTGGAATGGAAAGGAATGGATTCAACCCGAGTGGAATGTAATGGATTGGAATGGAGTGGAATGGAATGGAATGGAATCAACACGAAAGGAATGGAACGGAACGGAATGGAATGGAATGGAATGGTATGGATTGGAATGGCATCAACACGAATGGAATGGAACGGAATGGAATAGAATGGAATGAAATGGAATGGAATGGAATGGAATGCAATGGAATGGAATGCAATGGAAAGGAATGGAATGGAATCAACCCAAGTGGAATGGAATGGAATGGAATGGAATGGAATGGAATGGAATGGAAGGGAATCAACACGAGTGGAATGGAATGGAATGGAATGCAATAGAATGGAATGGAATGGAATGGAATGGGATGGAATGGAATGGAATCAACACAAATGGAATGGAATGGAAAGGAATAGAATGGAAAGGAATGGAATGCAATGGAATGGAAAGAAATGGAATAAACCCGAATGGAATGGAATGGAATGGAGTGGAATGGAATAAACACCAGTGGAATGAAATCGAATGGAATGAAATGGAATGGAATGGAATCAACCCGAGTAGAATGTAACAGAATGGAATGGAATGGAATGGAATGGAAAGGAATGGAATCAACTGGAATGGAATGAAATGGAATGGAATGGAGTGGAATGGAATGGAATGCAATGGAATCAACACGAATGGAATGCAATGGAATGGATTGGAATGGAATGGAATGGAATGGAACGGAACGGAATGGAATGGAATGAACCCGAATGCAATGGAACGGAATGCAATGGATTGGAATGGAATGGAATGGAATCAACCAGAGTGCAATGAAATGTAATGGAATGGAGTGGAATGGAATGGAATTGAATGGAATGGAATCAACCCGAATGGAATGGAATGGAATGGAATGGAATGGAATGGAATGGAATGGAATGGAATGGAATGCATTTGAATGGAATGGAACGCAATGGAATCAACTGGAATGGAATGAAATGGAATGGAATGGAAAGGAACTGAATCAACCTGAATGGAATGGAATGGAATGGAATGGAATGGAATGGAATGGAATGGAATCAACTGGAATGGAATGGAATAGAATGGAATCAACCCGAGTGGATTGGAAAAAATGGAATGGAATGGAATGGAATCAAGCCGAGTGGAACGGAATGGAATGGAATGGAAAGGAATGGAATGGAATGGAATCAACCCGAGTGGAAAGGAATGGAATGGAATGGAATGGAATGGAATGGAATGGAACGGAATGGAATGGAATGGAATGGAATGCAATGGAATCAACTGGAATGGAATGGAATGGAATGGAATGGAATGGAATGGAATGGAATGGAACGGAATCAACCTGAGTCAAATGGAATGGAATGGCATGGAATGGAATGGAATGGAATGGAATGGAATAGAATAGAATGGAAAGGTATGGAATGCAATGGAATGGAATTGAATGGAATGGAACGGAACGGAACGGAATGGAATGGAATGGAATGGACCCCAATGGAATTGAATGGAATGGAATGGATTGGAATGGAATGGAACGGAATTAACCTGAGTGGAATGGAATGTAATGGAATGGAGTGGAATGGAATGGAATGGAATGGAGTGGAATGGAATGGAATGGAATGGAGTGGAATGGAATGGAATGGAATGGAATGGAAAGGAATCAACTCGAAGGGAATGGAATGGAATGGAATGGAATGGAATGGAATGGAATGGAATGGAATGGAATGGAATCATCCCGAGTGGAATGCAATGGAATGAAATGGAATGGAATGGAACGGAACAGAAAGGAACGGAACGGAATTGAATGGAATGGAATGAACCCGAGTGGAAAGGAATGGAATGGAATGGAATGGAATGGAATGGAATGGAATGGAATGGAACAACATGCAATCAACTTTGGTGGAATGGTATGGAATGGAATGGAATGGAATGGAATAGAATGGAATAAAAGGGCATGGAAAGAACCAAATCAACCCGAATGGAATGGAACGGAATGGTATGGAATGGAATGGAATGGAAAGGAATTAACCCGAAGGGAATGGAATGGAATGGAATGGAAAGGAATGGAATGGAATTAACCCTAGTGGAATGCAATGGAATGAAATGTAATGAAATGGAATGGAATGGAACGGGACAGAACGGAACGGAATTGAATGGAATGGAATCAACCCAAGTGGAAAGGAATGGAATTGAATGGAATGGAACGGAATGGAATGGAATAGCATGCAATCAACTTTGGTGGAATGGTATGGAATGGAATGGAATGGAATGCAATGGAATGGAAATGAATCAAACCGAGTGGAAAGGAATGGAATTGAATGAAATGGAATGGAATGGAATGGAACGGAATGGAAACAATGCAATTCAATGGTATCAACTGGAATGGAATGGAATTGAATGGAATGGAATGGAATGGAATGGAACGGAATGGAAACAATGCAATTCAATGGTATCAACTGGAATGGAATGCATTGGAATGGAATGGAATGGAATCAACACGAGTGGAATGGAATGGAATGGAATGGAATGGAATGGAATGGAATGGAATGGTATGGAATCAACCCTAGTGGAATGGTATGCAATGGAATGGAACGGAACGGAATGGAATGCAATCAACCCAAATGGAATGGAATAGAATGGAGTGGAATGGTATGGAATGGAATAGAATGGAAAGGAATCAACCTGAAGGGTATGGAATGGAACGGAATGGAATGGAACGGAATGGAATGGAATGGAATGGAATGGAATGGAATGGAATAAAAGGGCATGGAATGGAACGGAATCAACCCGAATGGAATGGAGCGGAATGGAGTGGAATGATATTTAATGGAATGGAAAGGAATCAACCCGAAGGGTATGGAATAGAATGGAATGGAATAGAATGGAAAGGAATGGAATCAACTCGAGTGCAATGCAATGGAATGAAATGGAATGGAATGGAATGGAACGGAACAGAACAGAACGGAATTGAATAGAATGGAATCAAACTGAGTGGAAAGGAATGGAATGGAATGGAATGGAATGGAATGGAATGGAATAACATGCAATCAACTTTTGTGGAATGGTATGGAATGGAATGGAATGGAATGGAATGGAATGGAATGGAATAAAAGGACATGGAATGGAACAGAATCAACCTGAATGGAATGGAACGGAATGGAGTGGAATTGTATGGAATGGAATGGAATGGAAAGGAATCAACCCGAAGTGTATGGAATGGAATGGAATGGAATGGAATGGAATGGAATCAAACCGAGTGGAATGCAATGGAATGAAATGGAATGGAATGGAATGGAATGGAATGGAATGGAATGGAATGGAATGGAACGGAATGGAACGGAACAGAATTGAATGGAATGGAATCAACCCAAGTGGAAAGGAATGGAATGGAATGGAATGGAATGGAATGGAATGGAATGGAATGGAATGGTATGGAATGGAATAGCATGCAATCAACTTTGGTGGAATGTTATGGAATGGAATGGAATGGAATGGAATGGAATGGAATGGAATGGAATGGAATGGAATGGAATAAAGGGGCATGGAATGGAATGGAATCAACCCGAGAGGAATGAAATGGAATGGAATGGAATGGAATGGAATGGAATGGCAATGAATAAAATCGAGTGGAATGAAATGGAATGGAATGGAATGGAATGGAATGGAATGGAATGGATTGGAATGGAATGGAAACAACGCAATGCAATGGTATCAACTGGAATGGAATGCATTGGAATGGAATGGAATGGAATCACCCTGAGTGGAAAGGAATAGAATGGAATGGAACGGAAAGGAATGGAATGGAATGGAAACTAATGGAAAGGAATGGAAACAACCAAGTGGAATGGAATGCAATGGAATGGAATGCAATGGAATGGAATGGAATGGAATACAACAAAATGGAAACAATCCGAGTGGAATGGCATGGAATGGAAAGCACTTGAATATAGTGGAATGGATTAGAATCAACCAGATTAGAAACTAATGGAATGGAATGGAATGGAATGGAATCTACCCGAGTGGAATGGAATGGAATGGAATTTAATGGAATGGAATGGAATGCAATGGAACGAAATGGAATGGAATCTACCCGAGTGGAATGGAATGGAATGGAATTTAATGGAATGGAATGGAATGCAATGGAACGAAATGGAATGGAATCTACCCGAGTGGAATGGAATGGAATGGAATTTAATGGAGTGGAAAGGAATAGGATGGTATGGAATCAACCTGAGTGGAATGGTAAAGAATGGAATGTAATGGAACGGAATGGATTGGAATAAAATGGAATCGAATGGAATGGAAAAAACCCGAGTGGGAAGGAATGCAATGGAATGGAATAACCGGAGAGGAATGGAATGGAATGGAGTGGAATCGAATGGAATTGAATGGAATGGAATGGAATGGAATAGAATGAAATGGAAAGGAATGGAACGGAAACAACACGAGTGGAATGGAATGGAAAGCAATAGAATGGCATGGAAACAATGCAATGCAATGGTATCAACTGGAATGGAATGCATTGGAATGGAATGGAATGGAATCGCCCTGAGTGGAAAGGAATGGAATAGAATGGAATGGAAAGGAATGGAATGGAATGGAAACTAATGGAACGGAATGGAAACAACCCGAGTGGAATGGAATGCAATGGATTGGAATGGAATGGAATGGAATGGAATACAACAAAATGGAAACAACCCGAGTGGAATGGCATGGAATCGAAAGGACTTGAATAGAATGGAATGGATTGGAATCAACCCGATTAGAAACTAATGGAATGGAATGGAATGGAATCTACCCGAGTGGAATGGAATGGAATGGATTTTAATGGAATGGAATGGGATGGAATGGAATGGAATGGAATGGAATGGAATGGAATGGAACGGAACGGAATAGAATGGAATGCAATGGAATGGAATCTACCCGAGTGGAATGGAATGGAATGGAATTTAATGGAATGGAATGGAATAGAATGGTATGAAATCAACCCGAGTGGAATGGTATAGAATGGAATGTAATGGAACGGAATGGAATGGAATAAAATGGAATGGAATGGAATGGAAACAACTCGAGAGGAATGCAATGGAATGGAATAAAAGGGCATGGAATGGAATCACCCTGAGTGGAAAGGAATGGAATGGAATGGAATGGAAAGCAATGGAATGGAATGGAAACTAATGGAATGGAATGGAAAAAACCCGAGTGGAATGGAATGCAATGGATTGGAATGGAATGGAATGGAATAAAACAAAATGGAAACAACCCGAGTGGAATGGCATGGAATAGAAAGGACTTGAATAGAATGGAATGGATTGGAATCAACCCGATTAGAAACTAATGGAATGGAATGGAATGGAATCTACCCGAGTGGAATGGAATGGAATGGAATTTAATGGAATGGAATGGAATGGAATGGAGTGGAATGGAATGGAATGGAACGGAACGGAATGGAATGGAATGCAATGGAATGGAATCTACCCGAGTGGAATGGAATGGAATGGAATTTATTGGAATGGTATGGAATAGAATGGTATGAAATCAACCCAAGTGGAATGGTATAGAATGGAATGTAATGGAACGGAATGGAATGGAATAAAATGGAATGGAATGGAATGGAAACAACTCGAGTGGGATGGAATGGAATGGAATGGAATAACCGGAGAGGAATGGAATGGAATGCAGTGGAATGGAATGGAATAGAATGGAATGGAATGGAATGGAATAGAATGAAATGGAAAGGAATGGAATGGAAACAACCCGAGTGGAATGGAATGGAATGGAATGGAATGGAATGGAATGGAATGGAATGGAATGGAATGCAATGGAATGGAATAAAAGGGCATGGAATGGAACGGAATCAACCCGAATGGAATGGAGCGAAACGGAGTGGAATGGGATGGAATGGAATGGAATGGAAAGGAATCAACCTGAAGGGTATGGAATGGAATGGAATTGAATGGAATCAACCCGAGTGGAATGCAATGGAATGAAATGGAATGGAATGGAACGGAACGGAACGGAATTGAATGGAATGGAACCAACCCGAGTGGAAAGGAATAGAATGGAATTGAATGGAATAACATGCAATCAACTTTGGTGGAATGGTATGGAATGTAATGGAATGTAATGGAATGGAATGGAATGGAATGGAATAAAAGGGCATGGAATGGAACGGAATCAACCCGAATGGAATGGAGTGGAATGGAGTGGAATGGTATGGAATGGAATGGAATGGAAAGGAATCAAACCGAAGGGTATGGAATGTAATGGAATGGAACGGAATGGAATGAAAAGGAATGGAATGGAATCAACCCGAGTGGAATGCAATGGAATGAAATGGAATGGAATGGAATGCAACGGAACGGAACGGAACGGAATTGAATGGAATGGAATCAATCCGAGTGGAATGGAATGGAATGGAATGGAATGCAATGGAATGGAATGGAATGGAATGGAATGGAATAACATGCAATCAACTTTGGTGGAATGGTATGGAATGGAATGGAAAGGAATGGAATGGAATAACATGCAATCAACTTTGGTGGAATGGTATGGAATGGAATGGAATGGAATGGAATGGAATGGAATAAAAGGGAATGGAATGGAACAGAATCAACCCGAATGGAATGGAATGGAATGGAGTGGAATGGTATGGAATGGAATGGAATGGGAAGGAATCAACCCGAAGGGTATGGAATGGAATGGAATGGAATGGAATGGAATGGAATGCAATGGAATGGAAAGGAATGGAATGGAATCAACCTGAGTGGAATGCAATGGAATGAAATGGAATGGAACAGAATGGAATGGAATGGAACAGAACGGAACGGAACGGAATTGAATGGAATGGAATCAACCCAAGTGGAATGGAATGGAATGGAATGGAATGGAATGGAATGGAATGGAATGGAATGGAATGGAATGGAATGGAATAGCATGCAATCAACTTTGGTGGAATGGTATGGAATGGAATGGAATGGAATGAAAATGAATCAAACCGAGTGGAATGTAATGTAATGGAATGGAAAGGAATGGAATGGAAACAATACAATGCAATGGTATAAACTGGAATGGAATGCATTGGAATGGAACGGAATTGAATGACCCTGAGTGGAAAGGAATGGAATGGAATGGAATGGAAAGGAAAGGAATGGAATGGAATGGAAACTAATGGAATGGAATGGAAACAACCAGAGTGGAATGGAATGCAATGGAATTGAATGCAATGGAATGGAATGGAATGGAATACAACAAAATGGAAACAACCCGAGTGGAATGGCATGGAATGGAAAGGACTTGAATATAATGGAATGGATTGGAATCAACCCGATTAGAAACTAAAGGAATGGAATGGAATGGAATGGAATGGAATCTACCAAAGTGGAATGGAATGGAATGGAATTTAATGGAATGGAATGGAATGGAATGGAATGGAATGGAATGGAATGGAATGGAACGGAATTGAATGGAATGGAATGGAATAGAATGGAATGGAATGGATTGGAATGGAATGGAATGGAATCAACCCGAGTGGAATGGAATGGAATGGAGTGGAGTGGAATGGAATGGAATGGAAAGGAATGGAATGAAATGGAATGGAAAGGAATCAGCCCGAGTGGAGTGGAATGGAATGGAATTTCATGGAATGGAATGGAATAAAATGGAATGGAATGGAATGGAATCAACTCGAGTGAAATTGAATGGAATGAAATGGAATGGAATCAACCGGAGTGGAGTGGAATTTAATGGAGTGGAATGGAATGGAATGGAATGGAATGGAATGGAATGGAATGGAATGGAATGAAATGGAAAGGAACGGAATGGAATCAACCCGAGTGGAATGGAATGGAATGGAATGGAATGGAATGCAATCCACCCGAGTGAAATGGAATGGAATGGAATGCAATGGAATTGAACGGAATATAATGGAATTGAATGGAATCATCCCGAGTGGAATGGAATGGTATCTAATGCAATGGAATGGAATGGAACAGAACGGAACGGAATTGAATGGAATGGAATCAACCCGAGTGGAAAGGAATGGAATGGAATTGAATGGAATAACATGCAATCAACTTTGGTGGAATGGTATGGAATGGAATGGAATGGAATAGAATGGAATGGAATGGAATGGAAAGGAATCAAACTGAAGGGTATGGAATGTAATGGAATGGAACGGAATGGAATGAAAAGGAATGGAATGGAATCAACCCGAGTTTAATGCAATGGAATGAAATGGAATGGAATGGAATGGAACGGAACGGAACGGAATTGAATGGAATGGAATCAATCCGAGTGGAATGGAATGGAATGGAATGGAATGGAATGGAATGGAATGGAATAACATACAATCAACTTTGGTGGAATGGTATGGAATGGAATGGAAAGGAATGGAACGGAATAACATGCAATCAACTTTGGTGGAATGGTATGGAATGGAATGGAAAGGAATGGAATGGAATGGAATAAAAGGGAATGGAATGGAACAGAATCAACCCGAATGGAATGGAACGGAATGGAGTGGAATGGTATGGAATGGAATGGAATGGGAAGGAATCAACCCGAAGGGTATGGAATGGAATGGAATGGAATCAACCTGAGTGGAATGCAATGGAATGAAATGGAATGGAACAGAATGGAATGGAATGGAACGGAACGGAACGGAACGGAACGGAATTGAATGGAATGGAATCAACCCAAGTGGAATGGAATGGAATGGAATGGAATGGAATGGAATGGAATGGAATGGAATGGAATAGCATGCAATCAACTTTGGTGGAATGGTATGGAATGGAATGGAATGGAATGGAATGGAATGGAATGGAATGGAGATGAATCAAACCGAGTGGAATGTAATGTAATGGAATGGAAAGGAATGGAATGGAAAGAATACAATGCTATGTTATCAACTGGAATGGAATGCATTGGAATGGAACGGAATTGAATCACCCTGAGTGGAAAGGAATGGAATGGAATGGAATGGAAAGGAAAGGAATGGAATGGAATGGAAACTAATGGAATGGAATGGAAACAACCAGAGTGGAATGCAATGCAATGGAATGGAATGGAATGGAATACAACAAAATGGAAACAACCCGAGTGGAATGGCAGGGAATGGAAAGGACTTGAATATAATGGAATGGATTGGAATCAACCCGATTAGAAACTAAAGGAATGGAATGGAATGGAATGGAATGGAATGGAATGGAATGGAATGGAATCTACCCAAGTGGAATTTAATGGAATGGAATGGAATGGAATGGAACGGAATTGAATGGAATGGAATGGAATAGAATGGTATGGAATCAACCCGAGTGGAATGGAATAGAATGGAATGGAATGGAATGGAATGGAATAGAATGAAATTGAAAGGAATGGAATGGAAACAACACGAGTGGAATGGAATGGAATGGAATGGAATGGAATGGAATGGAATGAACCCGAATGGAATGGAATGGAATGGAATGGAATGGAATGGAATGGAATGGAATGGATTGGAATGGAATGGAATGGAATCAACCCGAGTGGAATGGAATGGAATGGAGTGGAGTGGAGTGGAATGGAATGGAATGGAAAGGAATGGAATGAAATGGAATGGAAAGGAATCAACCTGAGTGGAGTGGAATGGAATGGAATTTCATGGAATGGAATGGAATAAAATGGAATGGAATGGAATGGAATCAACTCGAGTGAAATGGAATGGAATGAAATGGAATGGAATCAACCGGAGTGGAGTGGAATTTAATGGAGTGGAATGGAATGGAATGGAATGGAATGGAATGGAACGGAATGGAATGGAATGGAATGAAATGGAAAGGAACGGAATGGAATCAACCCGAGTGGAATGGAATGGAATGGAATGCAATGGAATTGAATGGAATATAATGGAATTGAATGAAATCATCCCGAGTGGAATGGAATGGTATCTAATGCAATGGACTGGAATGGAACAGAACGGAATGGAATGGAAAAAATAGATGATTGAATCCAAGTCGAATTGAATGGAATGGAATGGATTGGAAAGGACTGGAATGGATTGGAATGGAAAGGAATGGATTCAACCCGAGTGGAATGTAATGGATTGGAATGGAGTGGAATGGACTGGAATGGAATCAACACAAATGGAATGGAACGGAATGGAATGGAATGGAATGGAATGGAATGGAATGGTATGGAATGAAATGGAAAGGAACGGAATGGAATCAACCCAAGTGGAATGGAATGGAATGGAATGGAAGGGAATCAACACGAGTGGAATGGAATGGAATGGAATGCAATGGAATGGAATGGAACGCAATGGAATGGAATGGAATGGAATGGAATGGAATGGAATCAACCCGAGTGGAGTGGAATGGAATGGAAGGAATCAACCCAAGTGGAATGGAATGGAATGGAATGGAAAGGAGTTGAAAGGAATGGAATGGAATGGAGTGGAATGGAATGGAATGGAATGGAATGGAATCAACCCGAGTGGAATGGAATGGAATGGAATGGAATGGAATGGAATGGAATGGAATGGAATAGAATGGAATGGAATCAACCGGAGTGGAGTGGAATGGAATGGATTGGAATGGAATGGAATGGAATGGAATAGAATGAAATGGAAAGGAACGGACTGGAATCAACCCGAGTGGAATGGAATGGAATGGAATGGAATGGAATGGAATGGAATGGAATGGAATGGAATGGAATCCACCCGAGTGGAATGGAATGGAATGGAATGCAATGGAATTGAACGGAATTTAATGGAATTGAATGGAATCACCCCGAGTGGAATGGAATGGTATCTAATGGAATGGACTGGAATGGAACAGAACGGAATGGAATGGAAAGAATAGAATGAATCCATGTGGAATTGAATGGAATGGAATGGATTGGAAAGGAATGGAATGGATTGGAATGGAAAGGAATGGATACAACCCGAGTGGAATGTAATGGATTGGAATGGAGTGGAATGGAATGGAATGGAATCAACACGAAAGGAATGGAACGGAATGGAATGGAATGGAATGGTATGGATTGGAATGGCATCAACACGAATGGAATGGAACGGAATGGAATGGAATGGAATGGAATGCAATGGAATGGAATGCAATCGAAAGGAACGGAATGGAATCAACACAAGTGGAATGGAATGGAATGGAATGGAAGGGAATCAACACGAGTGGAATGGAATGGAATGGAATGGAATGCAATAGAATGGAATGGAATGGAATGGGATGGAATTCAATGGAATCAACCCGAGTGGAATGGAATGGTATGGAATGCAATGGAATGGAGTGGAACAGAACGGAATGGAATAGAATGGAATTGATTGAATCCGAGTGGAATTGAATGAAAGGGAATGCATTGGAATGGAATGGAAAGGATTCAACCCGAGTGCAATGTAATGGGTTGGAATGCAGTGGAATGGAATGGAATGGAATCAACACAAATGGAATGGAATGGAATGGAATAGAATGGAAAGGAATGGAATGCAATGGAATGGAATGGAATGGAATGAAATGGAATAAACCCGAATGGAATGGAATGGAATGGAATGGAGTGGAATGGAATAAACACCAGTGGAATGAAATCGAATGGAATGAAATGGAATGGAATGGAATCAAACCGAGTAGAATGGAATGGAATGGAATGGAAAGGAATGGAATGGAAAGGAATGGAATCAACTGGAATGGAATGAAATGGAATGGAATGGAGTGGAATGGAATGGAATGCAATGGAATCAACACGAATGGAATGGAATGGAATGGAATGGAATGGAATGGAATGGAATGGAATCAACCCGAGTGGAATGGAATGGAATGGTATGGAATCAACCCGAGTGGAATGGTATGGAATGGAATGGAATGGAACGGAACGGAACGGAACGGAATGGAATGGAATGGAATGGAATGGAATCAACCGGAGTGGAGTGGAATGGAATGGATTGGAATGGAATGGAATGGAATGGAATGGAATGGAATGGAATGGAATGGAGTGGAATGGAATGGAATGAAATGGAAAGGAACGGACTGGAATCAACCCGAGGGGAATGGAATGAAATGGAATGGAATGGAATGGAATGGAATGGAATGGAGTGGAATCCACCCGAGTGGAATGGAATGGAATGGAATGCAATGGAATTGAACGGAATATAATGGAATTGAATGGAATCACCCCGAGTGGAATGGAATGGTATCTAATGCAATGGACTGGAATGGAACAGAACGGAATGGAATGTAAAGAATAGATTGAATCCATATGGAATTGAATGGAATGGAATGGATTGAAAGGAATGGAATGGATTGGAATGGAAAGGAATGGATTCAACCCGAGTGGAATGTAATGGATTGGAATGGAGTGGAATGGAATGGAATGGAATGGAATGGAATCAACACGAAAGGAATGGAACGGAATGGAATGGAATGGAATGGAATGGAATGGTATGGATTGGAATGGCATCAACACGAATGGAATGGAACGGAATGGAATGGAATGGAATGGAATGGAATGCAATGGAATGGAATGCAATCGAAAGGAACGGAATGGAATCAACCCAAGTGGAATGGAATGGAATGGAATGGAATGGAATGGAATGGAATGGAAGGGAATCAACACGAGTGGAATGGAATGGAATGGAATGCAATAGAATGGAATGGAATGGAATAGGATGGAATTCAATGGAATCAACCCGAGTGGAATGGAATGGTATAGAATGCAATGGAATGGAGTGGAACAGAACGGAATGGAATAGAATGGAATTGATTGAATCCGAGTGGAATTGAATGGAAGGGAATGCATTGGAATGGAATGGAAAGGATTCAACCCGAGTGCAATGTAATGGATTGGAATGCAGTGGAATGGAATGGAATGGAATGGAATGGAATGGAATGGAATGGAATCGACACAAATGGAATGGAATGGAATGGAATAGAATGGAAAGGAATGGAATGGAATGGAATGAAATGGAATAAACCCGAATGGAATGGAATGGAATGGAGTGGAATGGAATAAACACCAGTGGAATGAAATCGAATGGAATGAAATGGAATGGAATGGAATCAACCCGAGTAGAATGGAATGGAATGGAATGGAAAGGAATGGAATGGAAAGGAATGCAATCAACTGGCATGGAATGATATGGAATGGAATGGAATGGAATGGAATGGAATGGAATAGAATCAACTCGAGTGGAATGGAATGTAATGAAATTGAGTGGAATGGAATGGAATTGAATGGAATGGAATGGAATGCTGTGGAATGGAAATAGAATGAAATAAAAACGAATAGAATGGAACGGAATGGAATGGAACGGAATGGAATGTAATGGAATGGAATGGAATGGAATGGAATGGAATGGAATGAAATGGAAAGGAACGGAATGGAATAAACCTGAGTGGGACGGAATGGAATGGAAAGGAATCAACCCGAGTGGAATGAAATGTAATGTAATGCAATGGAATGGAGTGGAATCAACCTGAGTCGAATGCAATGGAATGGAATAGTATGGAGTGGAATGGAATGGAATGGAATGGAAAGGAATGGAATGGAATGGAATGGAACGTAATGGAATCCAACGGAATCAACTGGAATTGAATAGCATAGAATGGAATGGAATGGTATGGAATCAATCCCGGTGGAATGGAACGGAATGTATGGAGTGGAATGGAATGGAAAGGAGTGGAATGGAATGGAATGGAATGCAGTGGAATTTAATAGAATAGAATCAACCCGAATGGAATGGAACGGAATGGAATGGAAAGGAATGGAATGGAATGGAATGGAATGGAATGGAATGGAATGGAATGGAATGGAATGGAATTATCCCGAGTGGAATGGAATGGTATGGAATGCAATGGAATGGAATGGAACAGAACGGAAAGGAATGGAATGGAATAGATTGAATCCGAGAGGAATTGACTGGAGTGGAATGGATTGGAATGGAATGCAAGGGATTCAACCCAGTTGAATGTCATGGATTGGAAAGGAGTGGAATGGAATGGAATGGTATCAACACGAATGGAATGGAACGGAATGGAATGGAATGGAATGGAATGGAATGGAATGGAATGGAATGGAATGGAATGGAATGGAAACAAGACAAATGGAATGGAACGGAATGGAATGGAATGGAATGCTGTGGAATCGAATGGAATGGAATGAAATAAACACGAATAGAATGGAACGGAATGGAATGGAATGGAATGGAATGGAATGGAATGGAATGGAATGGAATGAAATGGAAAGGAACGGAATGCAATTAACCCGAGTGGAACGGAATGAAATGGAAAGGAATCAATCCGAGTGGAATGAAATGGAATGTAATGCAATGCAATGGAGCGGAATCAACCTGAGTCGAATGCAATGGAATGAAATGGAAAGGAGTGGAATGGAATGGAACGGAATGGAATGGAATGGAATGGAATGGAATGTAACTGAATGGAATCCAATGGAATCAACTGGAATGGAATAGCATAGAATGGAATGGAATGGAATGGAATCAATCCGGGTGGAATGGAATGGAATGTATGGAGTGGAATGGAATGGAATGCAGTGGAATGGAATGGAATGGAATGCAGTTGAATTTAATGGAATGGAATCAACCCGAATGGAATGGAAAGGAATGGAATGGAATGGAATGGAATGGAATGGAATGGAATGGAATGATCAACCCGAATGGGATGGAATGAAATGGAATGTAATGGAATGCAATGGAATGCTATGGAATCAACCCGAGTGTAAGGGAAATGCATGGAATGGAATGGAATGGAATGGAATGGAATGGAATCAACCCAAGTGCAATGGAATGGAATGGAATGCAACGGAATCAACCCGAGTGGAATGGAAGGGAAAGGAATGGAATGAAATGGAATGGAAAGGAATGGAATGGAATCAACCCGAATGGAATGTAATGGAATGGAAAGGAATGAATGGAATAGAATGGAATGGTATGGAATCAACCCGAGTGGAATGGAATGTACTGGAATGGAATAGAATGGAATGGAATGCAATGGAATGGAATGGAATGGAAAGGAACGGAATGGAATGCAATGGAATGGAATAGAATGGAATGGAATGGAATGAACCCGAATGGAATGGAATGGAAAGGAATGCAATGGAATAAAATGAAATGGAATCAACCCGAATGGAATGGAACGGAATGGAATGGAAAGGAATGGAATGGAATGGAATTGAATGGAATGGAATGGAATGGAACAGAACCGAAAGGAATGGAATGGAATAGATTGAATCCGAGAGGAATTGACTGTAGTGGAATGGATTGGAATGGAATGCAAGGGATTCAATCCAGTTGAATGTCATGGATTGGAAAGGAGTGGAACGGAGTGGAATGGAAAGCAGTGGAATGGAATGGAATGGAATCAACACGAATGGAATGGAACGGAATGGAATGGAATGGAATGGAATGGAGTGGAATAGAAACAACACGAATGGAATGGAACGGAACGGAATGGAATGGAATGCTGTGGAATGGAAAGAATTGGAATGAAATAAACACGAATAGAATGGAATGGAATGGAATGGAAAGGAAAGGAATGCAATGCAATGGAATGGAATGGAAAGGAAACAACATGAATAGAATGGAACGGAATGGAATGGAATGCTGTGGAATGGAATGGAATGGAATGAAATAAACACGAATAGAATGGAACGGAACGGAATGGAATGGAATGGAATGGAATGGAATGGAATGGAATGGAGTGAAATGGAAAGGAACAGAATGGAATTAACTCGAGTGGAATTGAATGGAATGGAAAGGAATCAACCCGAGTGGAATGAAATGGAATGTAATGCAATGGAATGGAGCAGAATCAACCTGAGTGGAACGGAATGGAATGGAATGGAATGGAATGGAATGGAATGGAATGCAATGGAACGGAATGGAATGGAATCATCCCGAGTGGAATGGAATGGTATGGAATGCAATGGAATGGAATGGAACAGAACGGAAAGGAATGGAATGGAATAGATTGAATCTGAGAGGAATTGACTGGAGTGGAATGGATTGGAATGGAATGCAAAGGATTCAACCCAGTTGAATGTCATGGATTGGAAAGGAGTGGAATGGAATGGAATGGAAAGGAGTGGAATGGAATGGAATGGAATGGAGTAAAATGGAAAGGAACAGATTGCAATTCACCCGAGTGGAATTGAATGGAATAGAAAGGAATCAACCCGAGTGGAATGAAATGGAATGTAATGCAATGGAATGGAGCGGAATCAACCTGAGTGTAAGGGAATGGAATGGAATGGAATGGAATGGAATGGAATGGAATGGAATCAACCCGAATGGAATGGAACGGAATGGAATGGAACGGAATGGAAAGGAATGGAATGGAATGGAATGGAACGGAATGGAATCATCCGAAGTGGAATGGAATGGTATGGAATGCAAGGGAATGGAATGGAACAGAACGGAAAGGAATGGAATGGAATAGATTGAATCCGAGAGGAATTGACTGGAGTGGAATGGACTGGAATGGAATGCAAGGAATTCAACCCAGTTGAATGTCATGGATTGGAAAGGAGTGGAATGGAATGGAATGGAATCAACACGAATGGAATGGAACGGAATGGAATGAAATGGAATGGAATGGAATGGAATGGAATGGAATGGAATGAACCCGAATGGAATGGAATGGAATGGAATGGAATGGAATGGAATGGAATGGAATGGAATAGAATCAACTCGAGTGGAATGGAATGTAATGGAATTGAGTGGAATGGAATGGAATTGAATGGAATGGAATGGAATGCTGTGGAATGGAAATAGAATGAAATAAAAACGAATAGAATGGAACGGAATGGAATGGAACAGAATGGAATGGAATGGAATGGAATGGAATGGAATGGAATGGAATGAAATGGAAAGGAACGGAATGGAATCAACCCGAGTGGAATGGAATGGAATGGAATGCAATGGAATTGAACGGAATATAATGGAATTGAATGGAATCATCCCGAGTGGAATGGAATGGTATCTAATGCAATGGACTGGAATGGAACAGAACGGAATGGAAAGGAAAAAATAGATGATTGAATCCAAGTCGAATTGAATGGAATGGAATGGATTGGAAAGGACTGGAATGGATTGGAATGGAAAGGAATGGATTCAACCCGAGTGGAATGTAACGGATTGGAATGGAGTGGAATGGACTGGAATGGAATCAACACAAATGGAATGGAACGGAATGGAATGGAATGGAATGGTATGGAATGGAATGGAATGGTATGGAATGAAATGGAAAGGAACGGAATGGAATCAACCCAAGTGGAATGGAGTGGAATGGAATGGAATGGAATGGAAGGGAATCAACACGAGTGGAATGGAATGGAATGCAATGGAATGGAATGGAATGGAATGGAATGGAATGGAATGGAATGGAATCAACCCGAGTGGAGTGGAATGGAATGGAAGGAATCAACCCAAGTGGAATGGAATGGAATGGAATCGAAAGGAGTGGAAAGGAATGGAATGGAATGGAGTGGAATGGAATGGAATGGAATGGAATCAACCCGAGTGGAATGGAATGGAATGCTATGGAATCAACCCGAGTGGAATGGTATGGAATGGAATGGAATGGAATGGAACGGAATGGAATGGAATAAAATGGAATGGAATGGAATGGAATCAACCCGAGTGGAATGGAATGGAATGGAATGGAATGGAATGGAATGGAATGGAATGGAATGGAATGGAATAGAATGGAATGGAATCAACCGGAGTGGAGTGGAATGGAATGGATTGGAATGGAATGGAATGGAATGGAATGGAATGGAATGGAATGGAATGGAATGAAATGGAAAGGAACGGACTGGAATCAACCCGAGTGGAATGGAATGGAATGGAATGGAATGGAATGGAATGGAGTGGAATGGAATGGAATCCACCCGAGTGGAATGGAATGGAATGGAATGCAATGGAATTGAACGGAATTTAATGGAATTGAATGGAATCACCCCGAGTGGAATGGAATGGTATCTAATGGAATGGACTGGAATGGAACAGAACGGAATGGAATGGAAAGAATAGAATGAATCCATGTGGAATTGAATGGAATGGAATGGATTGGAAAGGAATGGAATGGATTGGAATGGAAAGGAATGGATACAACCCGAGTGGAATGTAATGGATTGGAATGGAGTGGAATGGAATGGAATGGAATCAACACGAAAGGAATGGAACGGAATGGAATGGAATGGAATGGTATGGATTGGAATGGCATCAACACGAATGGAATGGAACGGAATGGAATGGAATGGAATGGAATGCAATGGAATGGAATGCAATCGAAAGGAACGGAATGGAATCAACACAAGTGGAATGGAATGGAATGGAATGGAAGGGAATCAACACGAGTGGAATGGAATGGAATGGAATGGAATGCAATAGAATGGAATGGAATGGAATGGGATGGAATTCAATGGAATCAACCCGAGTGGAATGGAATGGTATGGAATGCAATGGAATGGAGTGGAACAGAACGGAATGGAATAGAATGGAATTGATTGAATCCGAGTGGAATTGAATGAAAGGGAATGCATTGGAATGGAATGGAAAGGATTCAACCTGAGTGCAATGTAATGGATTGGAATGCAGTGGAATGGAATGGAATGGAATGGAATGGAATCGACACAAATGGAATGGAATGGAATGGAATAGAATGGAAAGGAATGGAATGCAATGGAATGGAATGGAATGGAATGAAATGGAATAAACCCGAATGGAATGGAATGGAATGGAGTGGAATGGAATAAACACCAGTGGAATGAAATCGAATGGAATGAAATGGAATGGAATGGAATCAACCCGAGTAGAATGGAATGGAATGGAATGGAAAGGAATGGAATGGAAAGGAATGCAATCAACTGGCATGGAATGAAATGGAAAGGAATGGAATGGAATGGAATAGAATCAACTCGAGTGGAATGGAATGTAATGAAATTGAGTGGAATGGAATGGAATTGAATGGAATGGAATGGAATGCTGTGGAATGGAAATAGAATGAAATAAAAACGAATAGAATGGAACGGAATGGAATGGAACGGAATGGAATGGAATGGAATGGAATGGAATGGAATGGAATGGAATGAAATGGAAAGGAACGGAATGGAATAAACCTGAGTGGGACGGAATGGAATGGAAAGGAATCAACCCGAGTGGAATGAAATGTAATGTAATGCAATGGAATGGAGCGGAATTAACCTGAGTCGAATGCAATGGAATGGAATAGTATGGAGTGGAATGGAATGGAATGGAATGGAAAGGAATGGAATGGAATGGAATGGAACGTAATGGAATCCAACGGAATCAACTGGAATGGAATAGCATAGAATGGAATGGAATGGTATGGAATCAATCCCGGTGGAATGGAACGGAATGTATGGAGTGGAATGGAATGGAAAGGAGTGGAATGGAATGGAATGGAATGCAGTGGAATTTAATAGAATAAAATCAACCCGAATGGAATGGAACGGAATGGAATGGAAAGGAATGGAATGGAATGGAATGGAATGGAATGGAATGGAATGGAATGGAATTATCCCGAGTGGAATGGAATGGTATGGAGTGCAATGGAATGGAATGGAACAGAACGGAAAGGAATGGAATGGAATAGATTGAATCCGAGAGGAATTCACTGGAGTGGAATGGAATGGAGTGGAATGCAAGGGATTCAACCCAGTTGAATGTCATGGATTGGAAAGCAGTGGAATGGAATGGAATGGAAAGGAGTGGAATGGAATGGAATGGAATCAACACGAATGTAATGGAACGGAATAGAATGAAATGGAATGGAATGGAATGGAATGGAATGGAAAGGAACGGAATGGAATTAACCCGACTGGAACGGAATGGAATGGAAAGGAATCAACCCGAATGGAATGAAATGGAATGTAATGCAATGGAATGGAGCAGAATCAACCCGAGTCGAATGCAATGGAATGGAATGGAAAGGAGTGGAATGGAATGGAACGGAATGGAATCCAATGGAATCAGCTGGAATGGAATAGCATAGAATGGAATGGAATGGAATGGAATCAATCCGGGTGGAAAGGAATGGAATGTATGGAGTGGAATGTAATGGAATGGAGTGGAATGTAATGGAATGGAATGCAGTGGAATTTAATGGAATGTAATCAACCCGAATGGAATGGAGCAGAATGGAATGGAATCGAATGCAATGGAATGGAATGGAATGGAATCAACCCGAATGGGATGGAATGGAATGGAATGGAATGGAATACAATGGAATGCTATGGAATCAACCCGAGTGTAAGGGAAATGCATGGAATGGAATGGAATGGAATGGAATGAAACGGAATGGAATGGAATCAACCCAAGTGCAATGGAAAGGAATGGAATGCAACGGAATCAACCCGAGTGGAATGGAATGGAAAGGAATGGAATGAAATGGAATGGAAAGGAATGGAATGGAATCAACCGAATGGAATGGAATGGAATGGAAAGGAATGAATGGAATGGAATGGAATGGAATGGAATGGAATGGAATGGAATGGAATCAACCCGAGTGGAATGGAATGGACTGGAATGGAATAGAATGGAATGGAATGGAATGGAATGGAATGCAACGGAATCAACCCGAGTAGAATGGAATGGAAAGGAATGGAATGAAATGGAATGGAAAGGAATGGAATGGAATCAACCCGAATGGAATGGAATGGAATGGAAAGGAACGAATGGAATGGAATGCAATGGAATGGAATGGAATGGAATGGAATGGAATGGAATGGAATGGAAAGGAATGGAATGGAATGGAATGGTATGGAATCAACCCGAGTGGAATGGAATGGACTGGAATGGAATAGAATGGAATGGAATGGAATGGAATCAACCCAAATGGGATGGAATGGAATGGAATGGACTGGAATGGAATGCAGTGGAATGGAATGGAATGTAACTGAATGGAATCCAATGGAATCAACTGGAATGGAATAGCATAGAATGGAATGGAATGCAATGGAATCAATCCGGGTGGAATGGAATGGAATGTATGGAGTGGAATGGAATGGAATGGAGTGGAATGGAATGGAATGGAATGCAGTGGAATTTAATGGAATGGAATCAACCCGAATGGAATGGAAACGAATGGAATGGAATGGAATGGAATGGAATGGAATGGAATGGAATGGAATGGAATGGAATGGAATCAACCCGAATGGGATGGAATGAAGTGGAATGTAATGGAATGGAATGGAATGGAATGGAATCAACCCGAATGGGATGGAATGAAATGGAATGTAATGGAATGCAATGGAATGCTATGGAATCAACCCAAGTGTAAGGGAAATGCATGGAATGGAATGGAATGGAATGGAATCAACCCATGTGCAATGGAATGGAATGGAATGCAACGGAATCAACCCGAGTGGAATGGAATGGAAAGGAATGGAATGAAATGGAATGGAAAGGAATGGAATGGAATCAACCCGAATGGAATGGAATGGAATGGAAAGGAATGAATGGAATGGAATGGAATGGAATGGAATGGAATGGAATGGTATGGAATCAACCCGAGTGGAATGGAATGGACTGGAATGGAATAGAATGGAATGGAATGGAATGGAATGCAATGGAATGGAATGGAATGGAAAGGAACGGAACGGAACGGAATGGAATGGAATGGAATGGAATGGGATGGAATGGAATGGAATGGAATGAACCCGAATGGAATGGAATGGAAAAGAATGCAATGGAATAAAATGGAATGGAATCAACCCGAATGGAATGGAACGGAATGGAATGGAAAGGAATGGAATGGAATGGAATGGAATGGAATGGAATGGAATGGAATGGAACAGAACGGAAAGGAATGGAATGGAATAGATTGAATCCGAGAGGAATTGACTGTAGTGGAATGGATTGGAATGGAATGCAAGGGATTCAACCCAGTTGAATGTCATGGATTGGAAAGGAGTGGAATGGAGTGGAATGGAAAGGAGTGGAATGGAATGGAATGGAATCAACACGAATGGAATGGAACGGAATGGAATGGAATGGAATGGAATGGAATGGAATGGAATGGAATAGAAACAACACGAATGGAATGGAACAGAACGGAATGGAAAGGAATGCTGTGGAATGGAAAGAATTGGAATGAAATAAACAGGAATAGAATGGAACGGAATGGAATGGAAAGGAATGGAATGCAATGGAATGGTATGGAAAGGAAACAACACGAATAGAATGGAACGGAATGGAATGGAATGCTGTGGAATGGAATGGAATGGAATGAAATAAACACGAATAGAATGGAACGGAATGGAATGGAATGGAATGGAATGGAATGGAATGGAGTGAAATGGAAAGGAACAGAATGGAATTCACCCGAGTGGAATTGAAAGGAATGGAAAGGAATCAACCCGAGTGGAATGAAATGGAATGTAATGTAATGGAATGGAGCGGAATCAACCTGCGTGGAATGGAATGGAATGGAATGGAATGGAATGGAATGGAATGGACCGGAACGGAATGGAATGGAATGGAATGGAATGGAATGGAATGGAATGGAACGGAACGGAATGGAATGGAATGGAATCATCCCGAGTGGAATGGAATGATATGGAATGCAATGGAATGGAATGGAACGGAACAGAAAGGAATGGAATGGAATAGATTGAATCCGAGAGGAATTGACTGGAGAGGAATGGATTGGAATGGAATGCAAGGGATTCAACCCAGTTGAATGTCATGGATTGGAAAGAGTGGAATGGAATGGAATGGAAAGGAGTGGAATGGAATGGAATGGAATGGAGTGAAATGGAAAGGAACGGATTGGAATTAACCCGAGTGGAATTGAATGGAATGGAAAGGAATCAACCCGAGAGGAATGAAATGGAATGTAATGCAATGGAATGGAGCGGAATCAACCTGAGTGGAATGGAATGGAATGGAATGGAATGGAATGGAATGGAATGGAATGGAATGGAATGGAATGGAATGGAATGCAATTGAATGGAATGGAATGGAATCAACCCGAATGGAATGGAACGGAATGGAAAGGAATGGAATGGAATGGAATGGAACGGAATGGAATGGAATGGAATGGAATCATCCCGAGTGGAATGGAATGGTATGGAATGCAATGAAATGGAATGGAACAGAACGGAAAGGAATGGAATGGAATAGACTGAATCCAAGAGGAATTGACTGGTGTGGAATGGACTGGAATGGAATGCAAGGAATTCAACCCAGTTGAATGTCATGGATTGGAAAGGAGTGGAATGGAATGGAATGGAAAGGAGTGGAATGGAATGGAATGGAATGGAATCAACACGAATGGAATTGAACGGAATGGAATGAAATGGAATCGAATGGAATGGAATGGAATGGAATGGAATGGAATGGAATGGAATGAACCCGAATGGAATGGAATGGAATGGAATGGAATGGAATGGAATGGAATGGAATGGAATGGAATAGAATCAACTCGAGTAGAATGGAATGTAATGGAATTGAGTGGAATGGAATGGAATTGAATGGAATGGAATGGAATGCTGTGGAATGGAATGGAATGAAATAAAAACGAATAGAATGGAACGGAATGGAATGGAACGGAATGGAATGGAATGGAATGAAATGAAATGAAATGGAAAGGAACGGAATGGAATAAACCCGAGTGGGACGGAATGGAATGGAAAGGAATCAACCAGAGTGGAATGAAATGTAATGTAATGCAATGGAATGGAGCGGAATCAACCTGAGTCGAATGCAATGGAATGGAATGGTATGGAGTGGAATGGAATGGAATGGAATGGAATGGAATGGAATGGAATGGAACGGAATGGAATCCAACGGAATCAACTGGAATGGAATAGCATAGAATGGAATGGAATGGTATGGAATCAATCCCGGTGGAATGGAACGGAATGTATGGAGTGGAAAGGAATGGAATGGAGTGGAATGGAATGGAATGGAATGCAGTGGAATTTAATGGAATGGAATCAACCCGAATGGAATGGAACGGAATGGAATGGAAAGGAATGGAATGGAATGGAATGGAATGGAATGGAATGGAATGGAATCAACCCGAATGGGATTGAATGGAATGGAATGTAATGGAATGCAATGGAATGCTATGGAATCAACCGGAGTGTAAGGGAAATGCATGGAACGGAATGGAATGGAATGGAATGGAATGGAATGGAATGGAGTGAAATGGAAAGGAACGGAATGGAATTAACCCGAGTGGAATTGAATGGAATGGAAAGGAATCAACCCGAGTGGAATGTAATGCAATGGAATGGAGCGGAATCAACCTGAGTGGAATAGAATGGAATGGAATGGAATGGAATGGAAGGGAATGGAATGCAATGGAACGGAATGGAATGGAATGGAATGGAAACATCCCGAGTGGAATGGAATGGTATGGAATGCAATGGAATGGAATGGAACAGAACGGAAAGGAATGGAATGGAATAGATTGAATCCGAGAGGAATTGACTGGAGTGGAATGGATTGGAATGGAATGCAAGGGATTCAACCCGAATGGGATGGAATGGAATGGAATGGAATGGAATGCAATGGAATGCTATGAAATCAACCCGAGTGTAAGGGAAATGCATGGAATGGAATGGAATGGAATGGAATCAACCCAAGTGCAATGGAATGGAATGGAATGCAACAGAATCAACCCGAGTGGAATGGAATGGAAAGGAATGGAATGAAATGGAATGGAAAGGAATGGAATGGAATCAACCCGAATGGAATGGAATGGAATGGAAAGGAATGAATGGAATGGAATGGAATGGAACGAATGGAATGGAAGGGAATGGAATGGAATGGTATGGAATCAAACCGAGTGGAATGGAATGGACTGGAATGGAATAGAATGGAATGCAATGGAATGGAATGGAATAGAATGGAATCAACCAGAATGGAATGGAATGGAATCGAATGGAATGGAATGGAATGGAATGCTATGGAATCAACCCCGAGTGTAATGGAAATGAATGGAATGGAATGGAATGGAATGGAATGGAATGGAATGGAATGGAGTGGAATGGAAGACAATGGAATGGAATGGAATGGAATGGAATGGAATGGAATGGAATGGACCTGAACGGAATGGAATTGAATGGCATGGAATGAACCCGAATGGAAAGGAATGGAATGGAATGGAATGGAAAGGAATAGAATCAACTCGAGTGGAATGGAATGTAATGGAATGGAGTGGAATGGAATGGAATTGAATGGAATGGAATGGAATGGAATCAACCTGAATGGAATGGAATGGAATGGAATGGAATGGAATGGAATGGAATGGAATGGCATGGAATCAACCCGAGTGGAATGGAATGGAATGGAATTCAATGGAATGGAATGGAATGGAATGGTATGGAATCAACCCGAGTGGAATATTATCGAATGGAATGGAATGGAACGGAATGGATTGGAATAAAATGGAATGGAATGGAATGGAATCAACCAGAATGGGATGGAATGGAATGGAATGGAATGGAATGGAATGGAATGGAATGGAGTGGAATGGAATGGAAACATCCCGAGTGGAATGGAATGGTATGGAATGCAATGGAACGGAATGGAACAGAACGGAATGGAATGGAAAGGAATGGAATGGAATGGAATGGAATGGAATGGAATGGAATGGAATGGAATGGAATCAACCCGAATGGGATTGAATGGAATGGAATGTAATGGAATGCAATGGAATGCTATGGAATCAACCGGAGTGTAAGGGAAATGCATGGAACGGAATGGAATGGAATGGAATGGAATGGAATGGAATGGAATGGAATGGAGTGAAATGGAAAGGAACGGAATGGAATTAACCCGAGTGGAATTGAATGGAATGGAAAGGAATCAACCCGAGTGGAATGTAATGCAATGGAATGGAGCGGAATCAACCTGAGTGGAATAGAATGGAATGGAATGGAATGGAATGGAAGGGAATGGAATGCAATGGAACGGAATGGAATGGAATGGAATGGAAACATCCCGAGTGGAATGGAATGGTATGGAATGCAATGGAATGGAATGGAACAGAACGGAAAGGAATGGAATGGAATAGATTGAATCCGAGAGGAATTGACTGGAGTGGAATGGATTGGAATGGAATGCAAGGGATTCAACCCGAATGGGATGGAATGGAATGGAATGGAATGGAATGCAATGGAATGCTATGAAATCAACCCGAGTGTAAGGGAAATGCATGGAATGGAATGGAATGGAATGGAATCAACCCAAGTGCAATGGAATGGAATGGAATGCAACAGAATCAACCCGAGTGGAATGGAATGGAAAGGAATGGAATGAAATGGAATGGAAAGGAATGGAATGGAATCAACCCGAATGGAATGGAATGGAATGGAAAGGAATGAATGGAATGGAATGGAATGGAACGAATGGAATGGAAGGGAATGGAATGGAATGGTATGGAATCAAACCGAGTGGAATGGAATGGACTGGAATGGAATAGAATGGAATGCAATGGAATGGAATGGAATAGAATGGAATCAACCAGAATGGAATGGAATGGAATCGAATGGAATGGAATGGAATGGAATGCTATGGAATCAACCCCGAGTGTAATGGAAATGAATGGAATGGAATGGAATGGAATGGAATGGAATGGAATGGAATGGAATGGAATGGAGTGGAATGGAAGACAATGGAATGGAATGGAATGGAATGGAATGGAATGGAATAGAATGGACCTGAACGGAATGGAATTGAATGGCATGGAATGAACCCGAATGGAAAGGAATGGAATGGAATGGAATGGAAAGGAATAGAATCAACTCGAGTGGAATGGAATGTAATGGAATGGAGTGGAATGGAATGGAATTGAATGGAATGGAATGGAATGGAATCAACCTGAATGGAATGGAATGGAATGGAATGGAATGGAATGGAATGGAATGGCATGGAATCAACCCGAGTGGAATGGAATGGAATGGAATTCAATGGAATGGAATGGAATGGAATGGTATGGAATCAACCCGAGTGGAATATTATCGAATGGAATGGAATGGAACGGAATGGATTGGAATAAAATGGAATGGAATGGAATGGAATCAACCAGAATGGGATGGAATGGAATGGAATGGAATGGAATGGAATGGAATGGAATGGAGTGGAATGGAATGGAAACATCCCGAGTGGAATGGAATGGTATGGAATGCAATGGAACGGAATGGAACAGAACGGAATGGAATGGAACGGAATAGATTGAATCAGAGAGTAATTGAATGGAGAGGAATGGATTGGAATGGAATGCAATGGATTCAACCTAGTTGAATGTCATGGATTGGAAAGGAATGGAATGGAATGGAATGGAATGGAGTGGAATCAACACGAATGGAAAGGAACGGAATGGAATGGAATGCAATGGAATGGAATGGAATGGAATGGAATGGAATGGAATGGAATGGAATGGAATGGAATGGAATCAACCCGAGTGGAATGGAATGGAATGGAATGCAATGGAATGAAACGTAATATAATGGAATAGAATGGAAACATCCCGAGTGGAATGGAATGGTATGGAAGGCAATGGAACAGAATGTAACAGAACGGAATGGAATGGAACGGAATAGAATAAATCAGAGAGGAATTGAATGGAGAGGAATGGATTGGAATGGAATGCAATGGATTCAACGCTAGTTGAATATCACGGATTGGAAAGGAACGGAATGGAATGGAATGGAATGGAATGGAATGGAATGGAATGGAATGGAGTGAAATGGAATGGAGTGGAATGGAATAGAATCAACTTGAGTGGAAGGGAATGTAATGGAATGGAGTGGAATGGAATGGAATGGAATGGAATGGAATGGAATGGAATGGAATGGAATGGAATCATCCCGAGTGGAATGGAATGGTATGGAATGCAATGGAATGGAATGCAACAGAACGGAATGGAATGGAATCAACCCAAGTGCAATGGAATGGAATACAATGCAACGGAATCAACCCGAGTGGAATGGAATAGAAAGGCATGCAATGGAATCGAATGGAAAGCAATGGAATGGAATCAACCCGACTGGAACGGAATGGAATGGAAAGGAATGAAGGGAATGGAATGGAATGGAAAGGTATGGAATCAACCCGAGTGGAATGGAATGGAATGGAATGGAATGGAATGGAATGGAATGGAATGGAATGGAATGGAATGGAATGGAATGGAATGGAGTGGAATGGAAGGCAATGGAGTGGAATGGAAGGCAATGGAATGGAATGGAATGGAATGGAATGGAATGGAATGGAATGGAATGGAATGGAACAGAATGGAATTGAATGGCATGGAATGAACCCGAATGGAATGGAATGGAATGGAATGGAATGGAATAGAATCAATTCGCGTGGAATGGAATGTAATGGAATGGAGTGGAATGGAATGGAATGGAATGGAATGGAATGGAATGGAATGAACCCAAGTGCAATGGAATGGAATAGAATGCAACGGAATCAAACCGAGTGGAATGGAATAGAAAGGCATGCAATGGAATCGAATGGAAAGCAATGGAATGGAATCAACCCGACTGGAATGCAATGGAATGGAAAGGAATGAAGGGAATGGAATGGAATGGAAAGGTATGGAATCAACCCGAGTGGAATGGAATGGAATGGAATGGAGTGGAATGGAATGGAATGGAGCGGAATGGAAGGCAATGCAATGGAATGGAATGGAATAGAATGGAACGGAACGGAATGGAATTGAATGCCATGGAATGAACCCGAATGCAATGGCATGGATGGAATGGAATGGAATGGAATGGAATGGAATGGAATGGAATGGAATGGAATGGAATAGAATCAACTCGAGTGGAATGGAATGTAATGGAATGGAGTGGAATGGAATTGAATTGAATGGAATGGCATGGAATGGAATGGAATGGAATGGTATCAACACGACTGGAATGGAATGGAATGGAATGGAATGGAATCAACCCGTGTAGAATGGAATGGAATGGAATGCAATGGAATGAAACGGAATATAATGGATATTGGTTTTTCATTATAGGCCTCAATGGGCTCCTAAATGTTCTTGCACAGCTTCTACTAAAAAAGTGTTTCCAACCTGTTAAATCAAAGGAAAGGATTATCTCTGTGAGATGAATCCACACATGGCAAAGCATTTTAACAGATTCTTTCTAGTTTTTAGTGTGGGATATTGGTTTTTCACTGCAGGCCTCAATGGACTCCCAAATGTTTCTGTGCATATTCTACAAAAAGAGTGTTTCCCAACTGCTGAATAAAAAAGAAAGGATTAACTCTGTGAGCTTAATACACACACAGCAAGGTGTTTTCACAGATAGATTCCTTCTAGTTTTTATCAAGGAATATCAGTTTCTCACTACAGGTATCAATGGGCTCCCAAATGTCCCTGCACAGATTCTACAAAAAGAGTGTTTCCAACCTGCCAAATTTAAATAAAGTTTTAACTCTATGAGATGACTCTACACATCACAAAGCTGCTAATTCAAATATAGGTTTAACTTTGTGAGATGAATTCACAAATTGCAAATCAATTTCACAGGTAGCTTCTTTCCAGTTTTTTTCACAGGATATCAGTTTTGCACTATAGGCCTTAATGACTTTAAAAGTGTCCCTGAGCATTCTACAAAAACAGTGTTTTTAACGTGCTGAATCAAAAGAATGGCTTAACTCTGTGAGATGAATCCACAGTGTGCAAAGCATTTTCACAGATAGCTTCTTTTTAGTTTTTATCATGATATATTCAATTTATCACTATAGTCCTCAAAAAGTTTCCTAATGTCCTAATAAAATGCCAAGCGTTTTCAAAGATAGCATCTTCCTAGTATTTATCATGGACATTTGATTCATCATTGTAGGCCTAAATGAACTCCCAAATGTCCTTGTGCAGAATCTACAAAAAGAGTGTTTCCAACATACTTAATTAAAGGAAAGTTTTAACTGTGTGAGATAAGTCCACTAAGCACAAAGCATTTTTACAGATAGATTATTTTTGTTTTTATTCTGTGGTATTCAGTTTATCACTATAGGCCTCAATGTGCTCCCAAATGTCCCTGTGAAGATCTACAAAAAGAGGGTTTCCAACCTGCTGAATAATAAGAAAGGTTTAACACTTTGAGATGAAACTACACATTGGAAAACGTTTTTACAGAGACCTTCTTTCTAATTTTTATAACAGGATATCTGTTTTGCACTAATAGGCCTCATTAGGCTCCTGAATGTCCCTGTGCAGATTCTACAAAAACAGTGTTTCTGAACCTGCTCAATCAAAAGAAAGGTTTAACGCTGTGAGATGAATCCACAAAGTGCAAAGTGTTTTTCACAGAGTGCTGCTTTCTAGTTTTCATCATGGGATGTCGATTTTGCACTATAGGGCTCATTGGGCTCTGAAATGTCTTTGTGCAGACTCTACAAAATGAGTGTTTCCAACCTGCTGAATCAAAAAAGGTTTAACACTGGGATGAATCCAGAAAGCACAAAGCATTCTCACAGATAGCTTCTTTTTTGGTTTTTGTTTGTTTGTTTGTTTGCAGGATTATTGGTTTATCACTCTAAGTCCCAATGGGCTCCCAAAAGTCCCTGCACAGATTCTACAAGAAAAGTGTTTCCAACCACCTGAATCAAAATAAAGGTGTAACTCTGTTAGATTAATCCACACATCCTGAGTGTTTTTACAGGGAGCTTCTTTCTAGTTTTTATCACGAAATATCAGTTTTTCACTACAGGCACCAATGGGCTCCGAAGTGTCCCTATACAGATTCTACAAGAAGAGTGTTTCCTACCTGCTGAATCAAAAGAAAGGTTAAAATCTGTGAGGTGAATCCACAAAGCACAAAGCATTATCATAGATAGCTTCTTTTCAGTTTTTATCAAAGGATATTCAGTTTATCACTATAGGCTTCAATGGGCTTAGAAATGTCCTTGCACAGATTCTACAAAAAGAGTGTTTCCAACCTGATGAATCAAAAGAAAGGTTTAATCCTGTGAAATGAATCTACAAAGCACAAAGAACTTTTAAGAATAGCTTTTTTGTTGTTTTAATTGCAGGATAATCAGTTTATCACTCGAGGCCTCAATAGGCACTAAGTGTCACTAAACAGATACTACAAAAAGAGTGTTTCCAACCTGCTGAATTAAAAGAAAGGTTTAAATTTGTGAGATGAATCCTCAAGGTGTAAAGTGTTTTCACAGATAGCTTCTTTTTAGTTTTTATTGTGGGATATTCAGTTTATCACTATAGGCCTCAATAGAACACCAAATGTCCTTGTGCAGATTCTACAAAAAGAGTGTTTCCAACCTGCTGCCTCAAAAGAAAGGTTAAACTCTGTGAGATGAATCCACACATTGCAAAGCATTTTCTCAGATACTTCCCTCTAGTTTTTATCATGGAGTTTTCTTTTCTTCACTATAGGCCTCAATGGACTCAGAAATCTTCCTACTAAGATTCTCCAGGAAGAATATTTTCATCCTACTGAATCAAAAGAATGTTTTAACTTGTGGAATGAATCCATAAAGTGGAAAGCACTTTCACAGATATCTTTTTTAGTTTTTATTGCAGAAAACTCTTTTTATCACTATAGGCCTCAATGGGCTCCCAAAAGACCCTGCACAGATTCTACAAAAAGAGTCTTTTGAACCTGCTGATTCAAAGGAAAGTTTTAACTCTGTGAGATGATCCACAAAGCACAAAGCATTTTCATAGATAGCTTCTTTTTAGTTTTTATCACAGGATATTCTGATTATCACTATATGTCTCAAGGGACTCCCAAATATCCTTGTGCAGATACTACAAAAAGAGTGATTCCAACCTGATGAATCAAAACAGTGGTTTAACTCTGTGAGATGAATGAATAAAGTGCAAAGCATTTTAACAAGTAGCTTCTTTCTTGTTTTTATCACATGACACCTGTTTTTCACTATACAACTCATTGTGTTTCAAAATGTCTTTGCATAGATTGTACAAAAAGAGTGTTTCCAACCATCTGAATCAAAAAAAAAAGGTTTAACTATGTGAGATGAATCCACAAAGCACAAAGCATTTAACAGTTAGCTTCTTTTGAGTTTTTATCATGGGATATCAGATTTTCACTATAGGCCTCAATGGATTCTGATGTGTCCCTGCACAGATTCTACTAAAAGAGTGTTTCCAACCTGCTGAATCAAAAGAAACATTTAACTCTGTGAGATAATTCCACAAAGTTCAAAGCATTTTCACAGAAAACTTCTTTTTAGTTTTTATCATGGGATTATAAGTTCATCACTACAGGCCTCAATGGGTTCCCAAATGCCCCTGCGCAGATTCTACAAAAAGAGGGTTTCCAACGAGATGAATCAAAAGAAAGGTTTAACTTTGTGAGATAAATCAACACTTCACAAAGCATTTCCACAGATAGCTTCATTTTAGTTATTTGGGGGGAATAATTGGTTTTTAGCTATAGGCCTTAATTGGCTTCCAAATGTCCCTTTGCAGATTCTAGAACAAGAGTGTTTCCAACCTGCTGATTTAAAAGACAGGTTTATCTCTGTGATATGAATCCACACATGGCAGAGCCTTTTCACAGACAGCTACTTTATAGTTTGTATTGTGGGATATTTGATTTTTCACTAAAGGCCTGAATGGGTTCCCAAATGTCCTTTGCAGATTATACAAAAATAGTGTTTCCAACCAGTTGAATCAAAAAAAGGTTTAACTCTGTGAGGTAAATCCACACACTGCAAAGCATTAGCACAAATAGCTTCTTTCTAGTTTTTTGGGGGTAATATTCAGTTTTTCACTATAGGCCACAATGGGCTCCCAAATGTCCCTTCATAGATTCTACAGGAAGTGTGTTTCAAACATGCTGAATAAAAGAAAGGTTTAACTCTGCCAGATGAATCCACTCATTGCAAAACGTTTTCACAATAGCCTCCTTCTAGTTTGTGTCATGGAATATTTGGTTTTTCACTATATGCCTAAATGAGTTCCCAAATGTCCATTTGCAGATTCTACAAAAAGAATGTTTCCAATCAACTGAATCAAAAGAAAGGTTTACCTCTGTGAGATGAGTCCACACATCACAAGCGTTTTCAAAGGAAGTTTCTTTCTAGTTTTTTCATGTGATATTCTGTTTTTCACTGTAGGCCTCAACGGGCTTTCAAATGTCCTTCTTAAATTCTACAAACTGAGTGTTTCCAACATGCTGAATAGAAAGAAAGGTTTAAATCTATGAGCTGAATCCACACATTGTGAAGTGTTTTCACAGATAACTTCTTTATAGTTTTGATTATGGGATATTTAATTTTCTACTATATACCCCAATGGGCTCCAAAATATACCTTCACAGATTCTACAAAAAGAGTATTTCCAACATGCTGAATCAAAAGAAAGGTGTAAGTCTGTAAGATGAAACCACATTGCATAGTGTTTACACAGATAGCTTTCTTCAAGTTTTTATCATGGGATATTCAGTTTTTGACTATAGGCCTAAAAGGGCTCCTATATGTCCTTTCACCGATTCTACAAAAAGAGGCTTTCCAACCTGCTGAATCAAAAGAAGTGTTTAACTCTGTGAGATACATCCACACATCTCGAAGCCTTTCCACAGATAGCTTCTTTCTAGTTTTTGTCACGGGATATTCAGGTCTTCAATAAAGGCCTCAATGGACTCCCAAATGTCCCTTTGCAAATGCTATAAAAATAGTGTTCCCAACCTGCTGAATCAAAGAATTGTTCAACTTGGTGAGTTGAATCCACACATTGCAAAGTGTTTCCTCAGATCACTTTTTCTAGTTTTTCTTGTGGTATATTCGGCTTTTCACTCTAGGCCTCAATGGCCTCCCATATGTGCCTTGGCAGAATCTACAAAAAAAAAAAGTGTATTCAACCTTTCAATAGAAAGTTTTAACTTTGTGAGATGAATCCACACTTCACAGAGCGTTTCCACAGGTAGTTTTTTTCTAGTTTTCATTTCAGAATAGTCAGTTTTTCAGTATAGGCATCAATGGACCCCAAAATGTCCGTTCACAGATTCTATAAGAAGAGTGTTTCCAACATGCTGAATGTAAAGAAAGGTTTATCTAGATTTGATTTATCCACACATGGCAAAGCATTTTCACAGATATATTCTTTCTAGTTTTTATTGCGGGATACTCGGTTTTTCCATGTGTGCCTCTAAGAGCTTCCAAATATCCCTGTACACATTCTACAACAAGAGTGTTTCCAACCTGCTGAATCAAAATTAAGGTTTACTTCTGCGAGATGAATCCACACATCACAAAGCATGTCCTCAAATAGCTTTGAGGGTTTTTTGTTGCTGTTTTTTGTTTTTTTGTTTTTGTTTTTGTTTTTGTTTTTGTTTTTGTTTTTTTTTGGCCAAGGGGGAAATATTCAGTTTTCCCTACAGGGCTCTATTGGCTCACAAATGTCCCTTTGCAGATGCTTCCAAAAGAGTGTTTCCAACCTGCTGAATCAAAAGGAAGGTTTAACTCTTTGAGTTGAATCCTCACATCCCAATCATTTTCACATATATCTTATTTCTAGTTTTTACACAGAATATTTGGTTTTTCACTATAGGCCTCAATGGGCTTCCAAATGTCCCTTTGCAGATTCTACAAAAACATTGTTTCATACCTGCTCAATCAAAAGAAAGGTTTAACTCTTTGAGATGATTTCACACATCACAAACTGTTTTCACAGACAGCTTTTTCTAGTTTTTATCTGGGGATTTTCAGTTTTTCACTATAGGCCTCAAGTGGCTCCCGAATTTCCCTTCACAGATTCTAAATAACGAGTGTTTTCAACCTACAGAATCAAAAGAATGGCTTACCATTGTGAGATGAATCCTCACATTACAAAGCATTTTCAAAAATAGCTTCTTTCTAGTTTATATCACAAAATATTCAGTTTTTCAATATAGGCCTCCATGGGCTCTCAAATGTCCCTTCTCATATTCTACCAAGAGAGTGTTTCCAACCTGCAGAATCAGAGCAAAGGTTTAACTCTTTGAGATGTATCCTCACATGGCAAAGCGTTTTTACACACAGCTTTTTTCTGGTTTTTATCACGGGATATTAGGTTTTTCACTATGGGCCTCAGTGGGCTCCCAAAATGTCCCTTTGCACATTCTACAAAAAGAATGTTTCCTACCTACTGAATCGAAAGAAAGGTTTACCTCCATGAGACAAATCCACCCATGGCAAAGCATTTCACAATTCATTTCATTCTACTTTTTAATCACAGGATATACAATTTATCACTATAGGCCTCAAGGGCTCCAAAATATCTTTCATACATTTCCAAAGAGAGTGTTTGCAAAGAAATGTTTAACTCTGTAAAATGAATCCACACATTGCAAAGTGTTTTTCACAGATAGTTTCTTTTCAGTGTGTATGGTGGGATTTTCAGTTTTTCACTACAGGCCTCAATGGGCTCCCAATTATCCCTGGGCAGGTTCTACAATAAGAGTGTTTCCAACCTGCAAATAAAAAGAAAGGTTAAACTTCGTTAGATGGATCCCACATTCCATAGTCTTTCCACAGATAGCTACTTTTTTTTTTTTCGAGGAATATTTGGTTTTTCACCAAAGTCCTCAATGGGCTTTTTTTTTTTTTTTTGAGATGGAGTTTCGCTCTGTCACCCAGGCTGGAGTGCAGTGGTGTGATCTTGGCTCACTGCAAGCTCTGCCTCCCGGGTTCATGCCATTCTCATTCTTCAGCCTCCCAAGTAGCTGGTACTACAGGCGCCTGCCCCAACGCCCAGTTAATTTTTTCTATTTTTTAGTAGAGACGGGGTTTCACCATGTTAGCCAGGATGGTCTTGATCTCCTGACCTCATGATCTGCCTCGCCCTCACAAAGTGCTGGGATTACAGGTGTGAGCTACCACGCCCAGCCCTCAATGGGCTTTTAAATGTCCCATCACAGATTCTACAAAAAAAGATTTTCCATCCTGCTGAATCAAAGTAAAGATTCAACTCTGGGAGATGAATGCATAAATTGCAAAGAGTTTCCACATATAGTTTCTTTTTAGTTATTTTTTGTGTGTGTGTGTGAATATTCGTTTTCACTACAGGCCTCAAGGGTTCTCAAATGTCTCTTCACAGATTCTACAAAAACAGCATTTCCAGGGTGCTGAATCAAAAGAAAGGTTTAACTCTGTGAGATGAATCCACACATTGCAAAGCGTTTTCACAGAGAGCTTCTTTCTAGTTTTTATCCTGGGATATTCACTTTTTCACTATAGGACTCAATGGACTCCCAAATATCTTTTGTAGATTCTACAAAAGAAATGTTTGCAACATGGTGAATCAAAAAAAAGGTTTAATCTTCTAAATGAATCCACACATTGGAAAGCATTTTCCCAGATAGATTCTTGCTAGTTTTTATCACAGTATATTCGGTTTTTTGCTATTGGGCTCAATGGGCTCCCAAATGTCTTTTGTTGATTTTCCAAAAAGTGTGTTTCCAACCTGCTGAATAAAAAGAAAAGTTTAACTCTGTGAGATGAATCCACACATCAAGAATCATTTTCACAGAGCTTCTTTCTAGTTTTTGCTACAGGATATTCAGTTTTTCATTATAGGCCATAATGGGCTCCCAAATGTCCCTTCACAGATTCTACAAAAAAAAAAAAGTGTTTCCAAGCTGCTGACTCAAAAAAAAGGTTTAATTCTGTGACATGAATCCACACATCACAAAGCATTTCCAGAGATAGGTTCTTTCATGTATACATATGTAACAAACCTGCACATTGTGCACATGTACCCTAGAACTTAAAGTATAATAATAAAAAAAAAGAAAGAAAGAAAGAAACGATGCAAGCAAAAAAAAAAAAAGAAAAGAAATCTACCTGGTGGTCTACTCGAGTTCTGCTGAGTTGCCACCCAAGCCACAAATCCAAGTCCTTCCCACTATTGCCTTCCATTTCCACAAGCAAAAAAGTCTCTCCCCATGGCCACCACTGCCCCAGGCCTGCAATGAGTCCTGCCTGGGTACTGCCAATGTTCACTCAAGGCCCAGTGGCTCTTCAGTCATCTTGTGGTAAATGCTGCCATGCCTGAGACTCACCCTATTAAGGCAGTGGGCTTCCCTCTGGCCCAGGGCAGGTCCAGAAATACCATTCAAGATCCAAGGCCTGGAATCAGAGACCCCAAGAGCCTACTTGGTGTTCTGTCTCACTGGCTGAGCTGGTACCTGAGTTGCAAGACAAAGTGCCTTTTACTCTTCGCTTTACTCTTCTACTCCTTTTCTCAAGCAGAAAGAATCTATCCCCATAGCCACCACAGATGGGAATGTGGTGGATCAAATTTAAAACCAGTATGTCTCTGAGTATTACCCAAGGCATGGTGAGTACTGCCTGCCTACCATTACTGATTATTCAGGGTCCAAACGCTCTTTAGCCAGCAGATGATAAATTCTGCCAGGACTGGGTCCTTCTCTTCAAGGCAACTGGTTCCCTTCTGGCCCAAAGCATGTCTAGAAATGTCACTTGGGAGCTAGGGCTTGGAATGGCTGCCTCAAAACTCTGCCCAGTGCCCTAACCTACTGTGGCTGAGCTGGCATCCAAGTTGCAAGACAAAATCCTCTTTATTATTCCCTCTCTTCTCCTCAAGTGGAGGGAAGGAATCTCTCCCAGAGCTTTGAGCTGTGCTACCGGAGGTTGGGAGAGAAGTGGCACAAGCACTCCTTTGGCCACACTGGCTGGTGTTTCATTAGGTTGCATGTCGCCCAAGTCCACTGGCTCTGAGACCAGCACAGAACCAGGACTTGCTCAGCAGGTCTTGCTATTTCTTCTGCCCTAGACTGCCTTTCAAGTTTATTTAGGACCCCCAGAGCACTTTAGCCTGCCCTGAAAGGGCTTCCAGATGGGTGATTCTCCTCTGACTAGGTCTGTTCTAAATCCTCCTTCAATGGTCACCAGCTGAGTTCTGCATGGTGTTGCTTTCCACTGTGACAGGGTAGCACTGAGTTCCAATGCAAAGTCCCACAATCACTGCACTTTCCCTCCCATCAAGCACACAGATTCTCTCTCCACACCATACAGCCATTGCTGAGGGGGTTAAGGGAGGGGTTATGTAGGCAATTCAAGACTGTCCTTCCTAACTCTTCAGTGCCTCTTTCAGTTACCTGAAGTTAAACCAGGTACTGTGAATGCTCATCTGGTTTTTCTTTCTTATGAAGGTGCTTTTTTGTGTGAATAGTTGTTCAATTTGCTGTTCCTGTGGGGAGGACAATTGGTGAAGGTTTCTATTTGGCCATCTTGCCCCACTATTTTTCCTTTGTTATTGTTTCTTCCATTGTTCCCAGAATCTATGTGATCATCTAAAAAGTGTACTGGGATTAAAAATCAAATGAGAAATCAGAAACAAGAGGATATTTCTTGAATTGCCAGATTCCACTAAGCAGACAATTGGTTGAAGAGAAAGTCCTGAAGATGGACGGCCTAGTCTCCAGGATGGAAGACATTAGCTGTTAAGACTTTGTCCAGTATAAAGTAGGGGGAGAGATCTGGATGCTTCCTTTTCCCCTGCAGGATTCCACTTTTTCCATCTGCAGACCATAACCACCCCAGGTTGGGGGTCACTGGATTACAAAACCTACCTCCCTCAGGGCACACTCAAGAAACTAGTGCATTGTTATTTACAATTTAAAATAAATCTGAGGGGAAAAGAAAGAAAACAATATCCAAATTCAACATTTAAATTTAGCTAGCTAAATTTTTAGAAGAAAAAAACAGAAATGGAAATTGCCAGAGATGTTAGAAAATGTTTACGTGGACATTGTTAGAAAGCTCTGTTATGGCAAAAATAAAAAATAAAAACAGAGAGAAATGTTAATATACTGTCCTATTTTTCTATGAAGCAGTGCTAATATGAGAATCTGCACAATTTACTTCTCTGAAAAGCAAACTGGAATTGATTTATTTAATTTC
Organism: Homo sapiens; assembly: GCF_000001405.40. Lineage (NCBI taxonomy): Eukaryota > Metazoa > Chordata > Mammalia > Primates > Hominidae > Homo > Homo sapiens. The sequence continues at coordinate 49,081,331 of NC_000004.12, read as the reverse complement.
TAATCTATAGATTTCCTCAGAAATCTTAAAAATAAGGAGAGCTAGGAACATAATTGTATTTTGCTGGATTCACAGATTATACCACTTCACTAATCATTTCAAGTTCGACCATGTCATGAAGTCTCCATCACTTCTTAGGAGGTCACCTCCCTCCCTGACAACTTACATAGTAGGCCTTAGCCTCCTTCCCCAAAGCTGTTCAGTGGGTACACTCAGAAGGGCCTCAACTGGAGAAACTGTAGTCAGCCACACTCTCACTCTGCCCATAATATCAGGACCTTTGTTTTACCTCGGGATTTTGCAACAACAAGCATCTGTGAAGTCAGGACACATAGAAGCACTGGAATAATGATCATCAAGTTAAAGAGGATTAACATAACACCAATGTTCCACTAGTATTGTGTAATAATAACTATACTAACTTTTTGTTCACTTGCACACAGCACACTACTGTATGAAGGTGTGAAGGGATTTTTAAATATGTGTTTATTTTTATATATAACAAACACAGTATCTTTGGGAATATTAAACAGATACATTTGAATTTTACCCCCATTTCCCTCTACCTTTGGATCTCAGTTTCTTCTGAGCCATCTTCCAGTTCACAAATTCTGTTCAATTATTTGTTTATTCTGTTGTTAAATCATTCCACTGAATTCTTAATTTCAGTTATTGTATTTAAGAGTTCTACAATTTTTCTTTTTTTTATTTTATCTTCACTCTTTTTTTAATACTCTTCTTTTTTTATTATACTTTAAGTTCTAGGGTACATGTGCACAACGCACAGGTTTCTTACATATGTATACATGCGCCATGATGGGGTGCTGCACCCATTAACTCGTCATTTACATTAGGTATATCTCCCAATGCTATCCCTCCCCGCTTCCCCCACCCCTCAACAGGCCCTGGTGTGTGATGTTCCTCTTCCTGTGTCCAAGTTTTCTCATTGTTCAATTCTCACCTATGAGTGAGAATATGCAGTGTTTGGTTTTTTGTCCTTGTGATAATTTGCTGAGAATGACGGTTTCCAGCTTCATCCATGTCCCTACAAAAGACAAGAACTCATTCTTCTTTACGGCTGCATAGTATTCCATGGTGTATATGTGCCACATTTTCTTAATCCAGTCTATCACTGTTGGACATTTGGGTTGGTTCCAAGTCTTTCCTATTGTGAATAGAGTCGCAATAAACATATGTGTGCATGTGTCTTTACAGCAGCAAGATTTATAATAATTTGGGTATATACCCAGTAATGGGATGGCTGGGTCAAATGGTATTTCTAGTTCTAGATCCCTGAGGAATTGCCACACTGTCTTCCTCAATGGTTGAACTAGTTTACAGTCCCACCAACAGTGTAAATGTGTTCCTATTTCTCCACATCCTCTCCAGCACCTGTTGTTTCCTGACTTTTTAATGATCTCCATTCCAACTGGTGTAAGATGTTATCTCATTGTGGTTTTGATTTGCATTTCTCTGATGGCCAGTGATGTTGAGCATTTTTTCATGTGTTTTTTGGCTGCATAAATGTCTTTTTTGGAAAAGTGTCTGTTCATATACTTTGCCCACTTTTTGATGGGGTTGTTTGTTTTTCTCTTGTAAATTTGTTTGTGTTCATTGTAGATCCTGGATATTAGCCCTTTGTCGGATGAGTAGGTTGCAAAAATTTTCTCCCATTCTGTAGGTTGCCTGTTCACTCTGTTGGTAGTTTCTTTTGCTGTGCAGAAGCTTTTTAGTTTACTTAGGTCTCATTTGTCAATTTTGGCTTCTGTTGCCATTGCTTTTGGTGTTTTAGACATGAAGTCCTTGCCCATGCCTATGTCCTGAATGGTATTGCCTAGGTTTTCTTCTAGGGTTTGTATGGTTTTAGGTCTAACATGTAAGTCTTTAATCCATCTTGAATTGATTTTTGTATAAGGTGTAAGGAAGGGATCCAGTTTCAGCTTTCTACATAAGGCTAACCAGTTTTCCCAGCACCATTTATTAAATAGGGAATCCTTTCCCCATTCCTTGTTTTTGTCAGGTTTGTCAAAGATCAGATAGTTGTAGACATGCGACATTCTTTCTGAGGGCTCTGTTCTGTTCCATTGATGTATATCTCTGTTTTGGTACCAGTACCATGCTGTTTTGGTTACTGCAGACTTGTAGTATAGTTTGAGGTCAGGTAGCGTGATGCCTCCAGCTTTGTTCTTTTGGCTTAGGATTGACTTGGCGATGTGGGCTCTTTTTTGGTTCCATATGAACTTTAAAGTAGTTTTTTTCCAATTCTGTGAAGAAAGTCATTGGTAGCTTGATGGGGATGACATTGAATCTATAAATTACCTTGGGCAGTATGGCAATTTTCACGCCATTGATTCTTCCTACCCATGAGCATGGAATGTTCTTCCATTTGTTTGTATGCTCTTTTATTTCATTGAGCAGTGGTTTGTAGTTCTCCTTGAAGAGGTCCTTCACATCCCTTTGAGTTGGATTCCTAGGTATTTTATTCTATTTGAAGCAATTGTCAATGGGAGTTCACTCATGATTTGGCTTTCTGTTTGTCTATTATTGGTGTATAAGAATGCTTGTGATTTTTGCACATTTATTTTGTATCCTGAGACTTTGCTGAAGTTCCTTATCAGCTTAAGGAGATTTTGGGCTGAGACAATGGGTGTTTCTAGATATACAATCATGTCATCTGCAAACAGGAACAATTTGACTTCCTCTTTTCCTAATTGAATGCACTTTATTCCCTTCTCCTGCCTGATTGCCCTGGCAGAACTTCCAACACTATGTTGAATAGGAGTTGTGAGACAGGGCATCCCTGTCTTGTGCCAGTTTTCTTTTTTTTTAAGTTTTTTTTTCTTTTATTATTATACTTTAAGTTTTAGGGTACATGTGCACATTGTGCAGGTTAGTTACATATGTATACATGTGCCATGCTGGTGCGCTGCACCCACTAACTTGTCATCTAGCGTTAGGTATATCTCCCAATGCTATCCCTCCCGCCTCCCCCCACCCCACAACAGTCCCCAGAGTGTGATGTTCCACTTCCTGTGTCCATGTGATCTCATTGTTCAATTCCCACCTATGAGTGAGAATATGCGGTGTTTGGTTTTTTGTTCTTGTGATAGTTTACTGAGAATGATGATTTCCAATTTCATCCATGTCCCTACAAAGGACATGAACTCATCACTTTTTATGGCTGCATAGTATTCCATGGTGTATATGTGTCACATTTTCTCAATCCAGTCTATCATTGTTAGACATTTGGGTTGGTTCCAAGTCTTTGCTATGGTGAATAATGCCACAATAAACATGCATGTGCATGTGTCTTTATAGCAGCATGATTTATAGTCCTTTGGGTATATACCCAGTAATGGGATTGTTGGGTCAAATGGTATTTCTAGTTCTAGATCCCTGAGGAATCGCCACACTGACTTCCACAATGGTTGAACTAGTTTACAGTCCCACCAACAGTGTAAAAGTGTTCCTATTTCTCCACATCCTCTCCAGCACCTGTTGTTTCCTGATTGTTTAATGATTGCCATTCTAACTGTTGTGAGATGGTATCTCATTGTGGTTTTCATTTGCATTTCTCTGATGGCCAGTGATGATGATCATTTTTTCATGTGTTTTTTGGCTGCATAAGTGTGTTCTTTTGAGAAGTGTCTGTTCACTTCCTTCGCCCACATTTGATGGGGTTGTTTGTTTTTTTCTTGTAAATTTGTTTGAGTTCATTGTAGATCCTGGATATTAGCCCTTTGTCAGATGAGTAGGTTGCGAAAATTTTCTCCCATTTTGTAGGTTGCCTATTCACTCTAATGGTAGTTGCTTTTGCTGTGCAGAAGCTCTTTAGTTTAATTAGATCCCATTTTGTCAATTTTGGCTTTTGTTGCCATTGCTTTTGGTGTTTTAGACATGAAGTCCTTGCCCATGCCTATGTCCTGAATGGCAATGCCTAGGTTTTCTTCTAGGGTTTTTATGGTTTTAGGTCTAATGTTTAAGTCTTTAATCCATCTTGAAATGATTTTTGTATAAGGTGTAAGGAAGGGATCCAATTTCAGCTTTCTCCATGTGGCTAGCCAGTTTTCCCAGCACCATTTATTAAATAGGGAATCCTTTCCCCATTCCTTGTTTTTGTCAGGTTTGTCAAAGATCAGATAGTTGTAGATATGCAGCATTCTTTCTGAGGGCTCTGTTCTCTTCCATTGATCTATATCTCTGTTTTGGTAACAGTACCATGATGTTTTGGTTACTGTAGCCTTGTAGTATAGTTTGAAGTCAGGTAGCCTGATGCCTCTGGCTTTGTTCTTTTGGCTTAGGATTGACTTGGCGATGCGGACTCTTTTTTGGTTCCACATGAACTTTAAAGTAGCTTTTTTCAATTCTGTGAAGAAAGTCATCGGTAGCATGATGCGGATGGCATTGAATCTATAAATTACCTTGGGCAGTATGGCAATTTTCATGATATTGATTCTTCCTACCCATGAACATGGAATGTTCTTCCATTTGTTTGTATCCTCTTTTATTTCCTTGAGCAGTGGTTTGTAGTTCTCCTTGAAGAGGTCCTTCACATCCCTTGTAAGTTGGATTCCTAGGTATTTTATTCTCTTTGAAGCAATTGTGAATGGGAATTCACTCGTGATTTGGCTCTCTGTCTGTTGTTGGCGTATAAGAATGCTCGTGATTTTTGTACATTGATTTTGTATCCTGAGACTTTGCTGAATTTGCTTATCAGCTTAAGAGATTTTGGGCTGAGATGATGGGGTTTTTCTAGATATACAATCATGTCATCTGCAAACAGGAACAATTTGACTTCCTCTTTTCCTAATTGAATACCCTTTATTTCCTTCTCCTACCTAATTGCCCTGGCCAGAACTTCCATCACTATGTTGAATAGGAGTTGTGAGAGAGGACATCCCTGTCTTGTGCCATTTTTCAAAGGGAATGCTTCCAGTTTTTGCCCATTCAGTATGATATTGGCTGTGGGTTTGTCATAGATAGCTCTTATTATTTTGAAATACGTCCCATCAATACTTAATTTATTGGGAGTTTTTAGGATGAAGGGTTGTTGAATTTGGTCAAGGCCTTTTCTGCATCTATTGAGATAATCATGTGGTTTTTGTCTTTGACTCTGTTTATATGCTGGATTACATTTATTGATTTGCATATATTGAACCAGCCTTGCATCCCAGGGATGAAGCCCACTTGATCATGGTGGATAAGCTTTTTGAAGTGATGCTGGATTCGTTTTGCCAGTATTTTATTGAGGATTTTTGCATCAATGTTCATCAAGGATATTGGTCTAAAATTCTCTTTTTTGGTTGTATCTCTGCCCGGCTTTGGTATCAGAATGATGCTGGCCTCATAAAATAAGTTAGGGAAGATTCCCTCTTTCTCTATTGATTGGAATAGTTTCAGAAGTAAAGGTACCAGTTCCTCCTTGTACCTGTGGTAGAATTCGGCTGTGAATCCGTCTGGTCCTGGACTCTTTTTGGTTAGTAAGCTATTGATTATTGCCACAATTTCAGCTCCTGTTATTGGTGTATTCAGAGATTCAACTTCTTCCTGGATTAGTCTTGGGAGAGTGTATGTGTCGAGGAATTTATCCATTTCTTCTAGATTTTCTAGTTTATTTGCATAGAGGTGTTTGTAGTGTTCTCTGATGGTAGTTTGTATTTCTGTGGGATTGGTGGTGATATCCCCTTTATCATTTTTTATTGCATCTATTTGATTCTTCTCTCTTTTTTTCTTTATTAGTCTTGCTAGCGGTCTATCAATTTTGTTGATCCTTTCAAAAAACCAGCTCCTGGATTCATTAATTTTTTGAAGACTTTTTTGTGTCTCTATTTCCTTCAGTTCTGTTCTGAGTTTAGTTATTTCTTGCCTTCTGTTAGCTTTTGAATGTGTTTGCTCTTGCTTTTCTAGTTCTTTTAATTGTGATGTTAGGGTGTCAATTTTGGATCTTTCCTGCTTTCTCTTGTGGGCATTTAGTGCTATAAATTTCCCTCTACACACTGCTTTGAATGTGTCCCAGAGATTCTGGTATGTTGTGTCTTTGTTCTCATTGGTTTCTAAGAACATCTTTATTTCTGTCTTCATTTCGTTATGTACCCGATAGTCATTCAGGAGCAGATTGTTCTGTTTCCATGTAGTTGAGCGGTTTTGAGTGAGTTTCTTAATCCTGAGTTCTAGTTTGATTGCAGTGTGGTCTGAGAGATAGTTTGTTATAATTTCTGTTCTTTTACATTTGCTGAGGGGTGCTTTACTTCCAAGTATGTGGTCAATTTTGGAATAGGTGTGGTGTGGTGCTGAAAAAAATGTATATTCTGTTGATTCAGGGTGGAGAGTTCTTTAGATTTCTATTAGGTCCGCTTGGTGCAGAGCTGAGTTCAATTCCTGGGTATCCTTGTTGACTTTCTGTCTCGTTGATCTGTCTAATGTTGACAGTGGGGTGTTAAAGTCTCCCATTATTAATGTGTGGGAGTCTAAGTCTCTTTGTAGGTCACTCAGGACTTGCTTTATGAATCTGGGTGCTCCTGTGTTGGGTGCATATCTATTTAGGATAGTTAGCTCTTCCTGTTGAATTGATCCCTTTACCATTATGTAATGGCCTTCTTTGTCTCTTTTGATCTTTGTTGGTTTAAAGTCTGTTTTATCAGATACTAGGATTGCAACCCCTGCTTTTTTTTGTTTTCCATTTGCTTGGTAGATTTTCCTCCATCCTTTTATTTTGAGCCTATGTGTGTCTCTGCACGTGAGATGGGTTTCCTGAATACAGCACACTGATGGGTCTTGACTCTTTTTTTTTTTTTAGACTGTGAAGTACCTTTAATATATAAAGAAATCTCACAATCAGTAACAAAGGGGCTGTTGCATCACTGGAAAACATGGGCAAAGACAAGAGAGAGAAAACTTAACAAACTACAGAAACAGTCTCTGGAGAGCTTTTGAGAATTCAAACTGACGTATCTTGAGCCAACATTTGGTGTGTCTCTTGGATGTCTGAACAATTCGGTAACCTCAGACAGTTCACCATGACTAACTCCTATCAAACCTCTGCTCACTAATCTCTATAACAGAAGTATGTGTATCACAAGAACTCTCCAAAATCCTGACCCCAAATTAGAAGATTGTGTAAAACAAAGCCAGTTTAAAGACAGGAGAAAAAAAATCAAGAAGTAATCTTAAATCAAGTTCCAATGGAAACAACCCATAAGTAGGGCTCGCTGTCCAAGGTAATTTACAGATTCAATGCCATCCCCCTAAAGCTACCAATGACTTTCTTCACAGAATTGGAAAAAACTACTTTAAAGTTCATATGGAACCAAAAAATGGTCTTGACTCTTTATCCAAGTTGCCAGTCTGTGTCTTTTAATTGGAGCATTTACTCCATTTACATTTAAAGTTAATATTGTTATGTGGGAATTTGATCCTGTCATTATGATGTTAGCTGGTTATTTTGCTCATTAGTTGACGCACTTTCTTCCTAGTCTCGATGGTCTTTACATTTTGGCATGATTTTGCAGTGGCTGGTACCGGTTGTTCCTTTCCATGTTTAGCGCTTCCTTCAGGAGCTCTTTTAGGGCAGGCCTGGTGGTGACAAAATCTCTCAGCATTTGCTTCTCTGTAAAGTATTTTATTTCTCCTTCTCTTATGAAGCTTAGTTTGGCTGGATATGAAATTCTGGGTTGAAAATTCTTTCCTTTAAGAATGTTGAATATTGGCCCCCACTCTCTTCTGGCTTGTAGGGTTTCTGCTGAGAGATCCGCTGTTAGTCTGATGGGCTTCCCTTTGAGGGTAACCCGACCTTTGTCTCTGGCTGCCCTTAACATTTTTTCCTTCATTTCCACTTTGGTGAATCTGACAATTATGTGTCTTGGAGTTGCTGTTCTCGAGGAGTATCTTTGTGGCATTCTCTGTATTTCCTGAATTTGAACGTTGGCCTGCCTTGCTAGATTGGGGAAGTTCTCCTGGATAATATCCTGCAGAGTGTTTTCCAACTTGGTTCCATTCTCCCCATCACTTTCAGGTACACCAATCAGACGTAGATTTGGTCTTTTCATACAGTCCCATATTTCTTGGAGGCTTTGCTCATTTCTTTTTATTCTTTTTTCTCTAAACTTCCCTTCTCACTTCATTTCACTCATTTCATCTTCCATTGCTGATACCCTTTCTTACAGTTGATCACATCATCTCCTGAGGCTTCTGCATTCTTCACATAGTTCTCGAGCCTTGGTTTTCAGCTCCATCAGCTCTTTTAAGCACTTCTCTGTATTGGTTATTCTAGTTATACATTCTTCTAAATTTTTTTCAAAGTTTTCAACTTCTTTTCCTTTGGTTTGAATGTCCTCCCTTAGCTTGGAGTAATTTGATCATCTGAAGCCTTCTTCTCTCAACTCGTCAAAGTCATTCTCCATCCAGCTTTGTTCCATTGCTGGTGAAGAACCGCATTCCTTTGGAGGAGGAGAGGCGCTCTGCTTTTTAGAGTTTCCAGTTTTTCTGTTCTGTTTTTTCCCCATCTTTGTGGTTTTATCTACTTTTGGTCTTTGATGATGGTGATGTACAGATGGGTTTTTGGTGTGGATGTCCTTTCTGTTTGTTAGTTTTACTTCTAACAGACAGGACCCTCAGCTGCAGGTCTGTTGGAGTACCCTGCCTTGTGAGGTGTCAGTGTGCCCCTGTTGGGGGGTGCCTCCCAGTTAGGCTGCTTGGGGGTCAGGGGTCAGGCACCCACTTGAGGAGGCAGTCTGCCCATTCTCAGATCTCCAGCTGCATACTGGGAGAACCACTGCTCTCTTCAAAGCTGTCAGACAGGGACATTTAAGTCTGCAGAGGTTACTGCTGTCTTTTTGTTTGCTGTGCCCTGCCCGCAGAGGTGGAGCCTACAGAGGCAGGCAGGCGTCCTTGAGCTGTGGTGGGCTCCACCCAGTTCGAGCTTCCTGGCTGCTTTGTTTACCTAAGAAAGCCTGGGCAATGGCAGGCGCCCCTCCCCCAGCCTCGCTGCCACCTTGCAGTTTGATCTCAGACTGCTGTGCTAGCAATCAGTGAGACTCCGTGGGCATAGGACCCTCCAAGCCAGGTGCGGGATATAATCTCATGGTGCGCCGTTTTTTAAGCCCATCAGAAAAGCGCAGTATTCGGGTGGGAGTGACCCGATTTTCCAGGTGCCGTCCGTCACCCCTTTCTTTGACTAGGAAAGGGAACTCCCTGACCCCTTGTGCTTCCCGAGTGAGGCAATGCCTCACCCTGCTTCAACTCGTGCACAGTGCGCACACCCACTGACCTGCGCCCACTGTCTGGCACTCCATAGTGAGATGAACCTGGTACCTCAGATGGAAATGCAGAAATCACCAGTCTTCTGCATCACTCATGCTGGGAGCTGTAGACCGGAGCTGTTCCTATTCGGCCATCTTGGCTCCTCTCCCTTGTGCCAGTTTTCAAAGGGAATGCTTCCAGTTTCTGGCCACTCAGTATGATATTGGCTGTGGGTTTGTCACAGATAGCTCTTATTATTTTGAGATACATCCCATCAATACCTAAGTTTTTGAGAGTTTTTAGCATGAAAGTTGCTGATTTTGTCAAAAGCCTTTTCTGCATCTATTGAGATAATCATGTGGTTTTTGTCTTTGGTTCTGTTTGTATGCTGGATTACATTTATTGATTTTCATATGTTGAACCAGCCTTGCATCCCAGGGATGAAGCCCACTTGATCATGGTGGATAAGCTTTTTGATGTGCTGCTGGATTCGGTTTGCCAGTATTTTATTGAGGATTTTTGCATCAATGCTCATCAAGGATATTGGTCTAAAATTCTCTTTTTTTGTTGTGTCTCTGTCAGGCTTCGGTATCAGGATGATGCTGGCCTCATAAAATGAGTTAGGGAGGATTCCTTCTTTTTCTATTGATTGGAATAGTTTCAGAAAGAATGGTACCAGCTCCTCCTTGTTCCTGTGGTAGAATTCGTCTGTGAATCCATCTGGTCCTGGGCTTTTTTAGTTGGTAAGCTATTAATTATTGCCTCAATTTCAGAGCCTGTTATTGGTCTATTCAGAGATTCCTGGTTTAGTCATGGGAGGGTGTATGTGTCGAGGAATTTATCCATTTCTTCTAGATTTTCTAGTTTATTAGAGTAGACATGTTTGTAGTATTCTCTGATGGTAGTTTGTATTTCTGTGGGATCAGTGGTGATATCCCCTTTATCATTTTTTATTGCATCTATTTGATTCTTCTCTCTTTTCTTCTTTATTAGTCTTGCTAGTGGTCTATCAATTTCGTTGATCCTTTCAAAAAACAAGCTCCTGGATTCATTAATTTTTTGAAGACTTTTTTGTGTCTCTATTTCCTTCAGTTCTGCTCTGATTTTAGTTATTTCTTGCCTTCTGCTAGCTTTTGAATGTGTTTGCTCTTGCTTTTCTAGTTCTTTTCATTGTGACATTAGGGTGTCAATTTTGGATCTTTCCTGCTTTCTCTTGTGGGCATTTAGTGCTATAAATTTCCCTCTACACACTGCTTTGAATGTGTTCCAGAGATTCTGGTATGTTGTGTTTTTATTTTTGTTGGTTTCAAAGAACATCTTTATTTCTGCCTTCATTTCGTTATGTACCCAGTAGTCATTCAGGAGCAGGTTGTTCTGTTTCCATGTAGGTGAGCGGTTTTGAGTGAGTTTCTTAATCCTGAGTTCTAGTGTGATTGCACTGTGTTCTGAGAGACAGTTTGTTATAATTTCTGTTCTTTTACATTTGCTGAGGGGTGCTTTACTTCCAAGTATGTGATCAATTTTGGAATAGGTGTGGTGTGGTGCTGAAAAAAAATGTATATTCTGTTGATTTGGGGTGGAGAGTTCTTTAGATGTCTATTAGGTCGCTTGGTGCAGAGCTGAGTTCAATTCCTGGGTATCCTTGTTAACTTTCTGTCTCATTGATCTGTCTAATGTTGACAGTGGGCTGTTAAAGTCTCCCATTATTAATGTGTGGGAGTCTAAGTCTCTTTGTAGATCACTAAGGACTTGCTTTATGAATCTGGGTCCTCCTGTATTGGGTGCATATATATTTAGGATAGTTAGCTCTTCTTGTTGAATAGATACCTTTACCATTATGTAATGGCCTTCTTTGTCTCTTTTGATCCTTGTTTGTTTAAAGTCTGTTTTATCTCAGACTAAGATTGCAACCCCTGCCTTTTTTTGTTTTCCATTTGCTTGGTAGATCTTCCTCCATCCCTTTATTTTGAGCCTATGTGTGTCTCTGCATGTGAGATGGGTTTCCTGAATACAGCACACTGATGGGTCTTGACTCTTTATCCAATTTGCCAGTCTGTGTCTTTTAATTGGAGCATTTAGTCATTTACACTTAAAGTTAATATTGTTATGTGTGTATTTGGTCCTGTCATTATGATGTTAGCTGGTTATTTTGCTCCTTAGTTGATACAATTTCTTCCTAGCCTCGATGGTCTTTACATTTTGGCATGTTTTTGCAGTGGCTGGTACCAATTGTTCTTTTCCATGTTTAGTGCTTCCTTCAGGAGCTCTTTTAGGGCAGGCCTGGTGGTGACAAAATCTCTCAGCATTTGCTTGTCTGTAAAGGATTTTATTTCTCCCTCACTTATGAAGCTTAGTTTGGCTGGATATGAAATTCTGGGTTGAAAATTCTTTTCTTTAAGAATGTTGAATATTGGCCCCCACTCTCTTCTGGCTTGTAGAGTTTCTGCTGAGAGATCAGCTGTTAGTCTGATGGGCTTCCCTTTGTGGGTAACCCGACCTTTGTCTCTGGCTGCCCTTAACATTTTTTCCTTCATTTCCACTTTGGTGAATCTGACAATTATGTGTCTTGGAGTTGCTCTTCTCGAGGAGTATCTTTGTGGCATTCTCTGTATGTCCTGAATCTGAATGTTGGCCTGCCTTGCTAGATTGGGGAAGTTCTCCTGGATAATATCCTGCAGAGTGTTTTCCAACTTGGTTCCATTCTCCTTGTCACTTTCAGGTACACCAATCAGACGTAGATTTGGTCTTTTCACATAGTCCCATATTTCTTGGAGGCTTTGTCCGTTTCTTTTTATTCTTTTTTCTCTAAATTTCCCTTCTCACTTCATTTCATTCATTTCATCTTCCATCACTGATACCCTTTCTTCCAGTTGATCGCATTGGCTCCTGAGGCTTCTGCGTTCTTCACATAGTTCTCGAGCCTTGGCTTTCATCTCCATCAGCTCCTTTAAGGACTTCTCTGCATTGGTTATTCTAGTTATCCATTCATCTAATTTTTTTTCACAGTTTTTAACTTCTTTTGCCATTGGTTTGAATTTTCTCCTGTAGCTCAGAGTAGTTTGATCGTCTGAAGTCTTCTTCTCTCAGCTCATCAAAGTCATTCTCCGTCCAGCTTTCTTCCATGGCTGGTGAGGATCTGCATTCCTTTGGAGGAGGAGAGGTGCTCTGCTTTTTACAGTTTCCAGTTTTTCTGCTCTGTTTTTTCCCCATCTTTGTGGTTTTATCTACTTTTGGTCTTTGATGATGGTGATGTACAGAAGGGTTTTTGGTGTGGATGTCCTTTCTGTTTGTTAGTTTTCTTTCTAACAGACAGGACTCTCAGCTGAAGGTCTGTTGGAGTTTGCTAGAGGTCTACTCCAGACCCTCTTTGCCTGGGTATCAGCAGCAGTGGCTACAGAACAGCAGTGGCTGTAGAACAGCAGATCTTGGTGAACCGCAAATGCTGCTGCCTGATCGTTCCTCTGGAAGTTTTGTCTCAGAGGAGTACCCAGCCGTGTGAGGTGTCATTCTGCCCATACTTGGTGATGCCTACCAGTTAGGTTGCTTGGGGTCAAGGACCCACTTGAGGAGGCAGTCTGCCCGTTCTCAGATCTCCAGCTGCATGCTGGGAGAACCACTACCCTCTTCAAAGCTGTCAGACAGGGACATTTAAAACTGCAGAGGTTACTGCTGTCTTTTTGTTTGTCTGTGCCCTGCCCTCGGAGGTGGAGCCTACAGAGGCAGGCAGGCCTCCATGAGCTGTGGTGGGCTCTACCCAGTTCGAGCTTCCCGGCTGCTTTGTTTACCTAAGCAAGCCTGGGCAATGGCAGGCGCCCCTCCCCCAGCCTCGCAGCCACCTTGCAGTTTGATCTCAGACTGCTGTGCTAGCAATCAGTGAGACTCCATGGCGTAGGACCCTCCGAGCCATGAGCAGGATATAATCTCCTGGTGTGCCATTTTTTAAGCCCGTTGGAAAAGCGCAGTATTCAGGTGGGAGTGACCCGACTTTCCAGGTGCCATCTGTCACCCCTTTCTTTGATGAGGAAAGGGAACTCCCTGACCCCTTGCACTTCTTGAATGAGGCAATGCCTCACCCTGCTTCAGCTCACACACAGTGTGCTGCACCCACTGTCCGGCACCTACTGTCTGGCACTCCCTAGTGAGATGAACCCAGTACCTCAGATGGAAATGCAGAAATCACCTATCTTCTGCTTGGCTCATGCTGGGAGCTGTAGACTGGAGCTGTTCCTATTTGGCCATCTTGGCTCCCTTCTAATGTGGGTATTTTCTAATTGATTTCTGCTTCCAGTAATTCTAATAGTTCATCTGTAGATTATTTTTCATTCTTTACATAAACAATCATGTTGTCTGAAAATAATGACAATTGTATTTGTTTTTTTCTTACCTTCTATCCTTTATTTGTTTTTCTAACTGTATTGCACTGGCTAGGACCTCTAGTACAATAGCACATAGTAAGCATTTATGCTTCATGCCTGATCTCAAGAGGAAAGCATTCAATCTTTCACAGTTATCATGTTCACCATAAGATTTTGTACATATGCTTTATTAGATTAAGAAAATTTTCCTCTATTCCTAGTTTACTAAGAGATTTTTGGTGGTTTTAAAAATAATGAATAGATGTTCCCCTTCCTGTGTCCGTGTGTTCTCCTTGTTCAATTCCCATCTATGAGTGAGAACATGTGGTGTTTTGTTTTTTGTCCTTGGGATAGTTTGCTGAGAATGATGGTTTCTGTTGTGGGGTTGGGGGAGTGGGGAGGGATAACATTAGGAGATATACCTAATGCTAAATGATGAATTAATGAGTGCAGCACACCAACATGGCACATATATACATATGTAACAAAACCTGCATGTTGTGCACATGTACCCTAAAACTTAAAGTATAATAATAAAAATAATAATGAAAAGAGATTAAGTTTCATCAAATGCTTTTTAAATATATCATTACATATACTGTTGATATGGAGAATTACATTGATTTTCAAATGTTAAACCAACCTTCCATTCCTAGAATAAATTTAACTTGATCATAATGTAGTCCCTTTTCATATAGTGCTGGATTTGACTTGCTAATATTTTGTTTAGCAATTTTATATCCATGTGTATGATAGAGATTGACCTATAATTTTCTTTTCATTTAATATTCTTTTCAGTTTTGATATTGTACTAGTCTGGGTTCTCCAGAGAAGCAGAATCAAGTGTGTGTGTGTGTGTGTGTGTGTAGATAGAGGCAGAGGCAGAAAGACAGAAAAGACTATGAGAGAGATGTATGATAAAGAACTGACTTGTGTATTTATGGAAGTTGAGAAGTGCCATGATCTGCAGTCAGCAAGCTGGACCCTAAAGAGAACTAGCACAATAGTTCCAGTCTGATCTGAAGGTGTGAGAACCAGAAGAGCCAATGGTGTAAGTTCCAGCCAGAATCCAAATCTGAAGGCAGGAGAAGACTAATGTTCCAGCTCAAAACCAGGCAGGCAGAGAGAGTGAATTCTCCCTTACCCTGCCTTTTTGTTCCATTCAGGCCTACAATGGATTGGATGAAGCCTCTCCACATTGGGGAAAGCAATCTGCTTTACTCAGTCTATCAATTCAAATGTTAATTTCATCCATAAACACCCACTCCCGCACACACAGGATAATATATAACCAAATATCTGGGCACCTTGTGGTCCAGTCAAATTGACAATAAAATCAACCATCACAGTTACCAAAGTTATGGTGACTTCATGCAAGTTGGGAAGTATTCCTTTTTTTTATTCTTTGTGAAAAGTCTATAAGATTGGTGTTATTTCTTCCGTACATAGTTGCTAAAATTCACCGGTAATCTATCTGGGTGTAGAGTTTTTGCTGTGGGAAGTTTTATTAATCAGGATTTAATCAGAGAAAGGGAACTAGAATATATATAAGGATTTATTACAGAGACTTGACTTTACATAGCTGTGGTTGCTGATTAAGTCACCTGTAAGGCTATTGTCTTGAAAGTTAATATTAGAGTGTGAAATCTGCAAGGCAGGCCATGGAGAAAGGAAGATGGATGTAAAGTTGGGGAGATCAAGAACAAGCTGGAAGACACAGGAATGAGCTGGAGCACATGAGAGTAGACTGGAACTGATGTCAATTTTTCTTGCCTCTGACCTTGATGTGTGGCTCAGAAGTCCTGTTTTATGTTTGGTTGTTTAATTATTAATTTTATTTCTTTAGTAAGTTTTCTATTTTTTCTTGTATCTGTTGTGGTAAACTTTATTTTTTGAGACATTAATTGGTATAAAATTGTTAATAATGTCCTCTTATTTTCTTTATAATGTTTGTAAGGTCTATAGTTGTGTCTACTTTTTCATTCCTAATGTTGGTCAGTTTTGTCTTCTTTCTTTCCTTTTTCTTCTGATCGGTCCTACCAAAGAGTTCAATTTTATTAGTTTTTTCAAAAGAGTCAACCTTTGGTTTTGTCACTTTTATCTTTTGTAATTGTTTGTTTTCCATTTCACTAATTTCTGTTCTTAGCCTTTTTTCCTTTATTCTACTCTCTTTTGGGTTTAATTTTCTGTTCCCTTTTCAGCTTCTCTTGATGGGTACCTATGTAACTGACTTTTAGTCTTTCTTCTTTTCCAGTTCATGCATTTAAGTCTACATATTTTCCTCTAAACACAAAACTATATCGTATAACTTTTGATATGCCATATTTTCATTACTATTTAGTTCAAAATATTTTCTAACTTCCATTGTGGTCTGTTTTTGACCCATGGATTACCTAGAAGTTTATTATTATATTACCAATATTTGGGACTTTCTCATTATCTTTTTGTTATTTGTTTCTAGTTTAGTCTTATCACCATCAGAAAATATAATCCTGTATGAAGTCAATATTTTGACATTTGTTGAGCCTTGCTTTTTGGCCTAGCATATGGTCTGTTTTGGTAAATGTTCTGCAGGCACTTGAAAATAATGAGTAACTTGAAGTTCCTTGGAGCACTGTTCTACATATGTCACTTCAATTAATTGTGTTATTCAAGCTTTCTCCTTGTTTTATCATTTACTGAGAGAGGTGTATGGAAACCTCCCACTTAGATAAGCCATGGACATAGAAGTTAAGATCCCAAGAGCCTAATGAGTAAGCAGGAGGCTAAAACAAAAAGACAGTTAATCTGATTGGCATTAGAAATTAGTAGAAATTTGGGGGAGATATGAACAACTAGAGAAGAAAATAGGATATTGCCAAACTACATGATGTGGAGAAAAGATTTGCAAAGCAAGGGAATATCTAATTACCTCATTTGAATATGTTTTGAGTTCTACAATGTAAACCCTTCTCTATCTTCCCAAACATTCAGTAAAAGATGCTACCCACTAAGATACATAGTAAGAGTTTTTTATTTGTTTCTTTTGAGGAAGTCAAGAAAACAACCGAACTCTCTGCTTGGCATAGAACAGAGGCAGCTCCTGCTGTCTGTGTGTGGATCTGTCTCCCCAGCCACTAACAATGTGTTTTAAATGCATATCTGCTTGCATTTACCTTGCACAGTAGCATGATTCTGGTGTCAGAAATGCAATGAGACCACGTATAAATTGAAATATGACAGCAGAAGGAGATCAGTGAGAGAGATGCCTATAAGAATGTGAGTCTTGTCTCCTTCACTTCCCACAATTCACAGAAATCTTGGGAAGACACTCTCTTCTGGAAGGAGTGGAATGGGCATTCTGGCTGTCTTACCTAGAGCTTAAAGGTAGAGAGACCCCAGTTGGCACATGGGTTATTGCCTTCATTATTGTTGTCAGGAGATAACATTGGTAAAGCATCTAGCTCAATAGAGGGTAAATAATCAGTAGCTGCTATTCAAGATGTCTTCGTATTTTCCCATCTGCCATACTTGTGTTTAGGTTAATGTCTTTTTCAGTTAAGTGACACCTCCCACCACTGCCACATGCCTAGTACAGTATAATGGACAAAACGGACACTGAATAAATATGTTTGTTGTTCCCAGATTCCCAAAGTTTTTCAAATATAAGTAAGTTTAAGGACTGTGTTACTTATGTATTGATACAAAACAAATTACCCCATTACATAGTGGCTTAAAACAACAAATGGTTATTATCTGTCAAGATGTGGGACCAGTTAAGCTAGGTGCTTAGGGCTCAGGATCTCTCAAGAAGTTGTAGCCAACATGGGGCTGAAGTCATCTGTAGTTTTTCTGGGGCTGGAGTTTCCAAATCTAAGGTGACTCACTCCCATGGCTATTGGCACGAGGCCTCAGTTCTCACCACCTTTCCAAGGGGCTGCTCATGACACAGCAGCTGGCTTCTCTCAGAAGCAGACAGTGAGATTAAGACAAAGCCCCAGTATTGTTTATAACCCAGACTTGGAGTCACATACCATCGCTTTCACTTTATTCTCTTCATTAGAAGTAAGTCACTAAATCTAGCCCATACTAAAAGAGAAGTGAGTGAGGTTCCACCTTTTGAAGAAACTGCAGGATCATTCACGGACTCATCTTTAAAACTACTATAGGAATTCAGTGTTTTGCATATGGCAATGTGTTCAGTATATGATATCGTTTGGAGTTTGGATGTGTCCCCAGTCAAATTTCATCTTGAATTGTAGCTCCCATAATCCCCATGTGTCATGAGAGGGACCTGGTGAGATGTAATTGAGTCATGGAGGAGGTCACCCACATGCTGTTCTCATGATAGTGAGTGAGTTCTCATGAGATCTGATGGTTTCATAAGGGACTTTTCCCTTTTTGCTCAGCACTTCTCCTTCCTGCCACCATTTGAAGAAGGATGTGTTTGCTTCCCCTTTCACCATGATTGTAAGTGCCCTGAGGCCTCCCCAGCCCTGTGGAACTGTGAGTCAATTAAACCTCTTTCCTTTATAAACGATCCAGTCTTGGGCAATTCTTTATAGCAGCATGAGAACAGACTAGTATGATACAATTTTGTTAAATAGATCTAAGGAATCTCCTTAGATTGTGACATAATACTTTTAGAAACTTTCTTTCTGACAACTTTTATCCCTGCCCCCAAAAGATAAAGCAGCATTCAGTGTCCTTTCCAGTTCTAAGACCTCATGTGCCTCTATGACCTATATTCAAATCATTATCTTCTGTGGAGATGGTGCTGTTGTGTTGAATTTTCCCCTTTGCCTGCCTACTTGATTCTACAGAAGGAAAGTCACTTCATGGGACCCCTCTGTGTGTTAAGGTATGCTTGCTGAGAGTCTGGTGGCCTGACTGATGGGAGGCATCAACACAGTGTGCCATGTACAGCCATGAAGTGACAGAAGCATGGGGAAAAAGACAGACGACCCCTCACAGTTCAGGGAAGGTTGGTGATGGGCTGCTGCTTATGTTAAGTCAATAATAGTCACATGCACATTATTCTTCTAGTAATTAGACTTAATTTGTTGAACATTTTCCCCAGCTTTGTCCCAAGAAGGGTTTAAAGTGCTTGATTTTCACAAGTAGTCCTTCCAGCTCATCCACAAATCAATGTCCAGCTGGGTGCAGTGACTCAAGCTTGTAATCCCAGCAGTCTGGGAGGCTGGTGGGAGGATTGCTTGAGCCCTGAAGTTTGAGACCAGTTTGGGAAACATAGTGAAACCTCTTCCCTACAAAAAAGTAAACAATTAGCTAGCCATTGTAGCAAGCACCTATAGTCACAGATACTCCAAAGGCTGAGGTGGGAAGATCACCTGAGCCCAAGAGATCAAGGCTACAGTGAGCATGATCACCCCACTGCACTTTGGCCTGGGCAACTGAGAGAGATCCTGTCTCAAAAAAGAAAAAAAAATCCTATTTTTAAGCCTTAAAGATCAAGGTGGCAGTGAGCAGCGATCAAACCACTGTACTTTGCCTTGGCAACTGAGAGAGACTTTGTCTCAAAAAAGAAAACAAACAAACAAAAAAAATTTCCTATTTCTAAGCCTTCAAAAGGTAAGACATTTTTAATTATTTTAACTCCATAGTGAAACTTTCTTATATTACCCCAAATTCTATTTTTTATCAAAATTTAGGGAAAACAATTTAGAGAAATGTTTTTATTAAGCAACATAGTTTACAAATGGAGGTAATTTCCCACTGCATAGATACCATGTGTTTTTTAAGTTGAGGTTCTTCATGTGTATTTTCCCACTTTCATTAATCTCTTCTTTTTATCTTACATACTTTTTTTCTTAGATTTTCCCAGCCAATAACTTCTTGTTTTAAATGTTTCATAAAAAGTATTTGGGAGTATTCATATGAAAATGATGGTTGTTTTCATAATTGTGTCCTTCTTTGTAGGATCCAAATCTAAAAAAATAAAAAATAAATAAAAAGTTATTGGCATGTAAAAACCATTCAGAAAGGTATGTTCTTATGTAAAATTTCAATCATAAAATAAAATAGCAAATGAATAAATAAAAAAGATTCATGCATATAGGAAAGGCAAACTAAAATTTTAACCCCCAAAGTCCTCTTTCCATGGTTATGGATAATTCCAAAAGCACATCTGTTTAAGAATTATTGGCTAGCATTGCTGAAAAATAAGTCCAGATTTTCTCTTTCATCTTGAGTTTGAATAATATTCTCTTATAGGCAAAGGGGCCATTAAGCCTGAAATGCTATTCATGTTACATTTATGCATATAAAAATCTATTTTGGCAGAACTTCTAAATTGTCTACATGTGTTAATGTGCTGCAGATTAACTCTTTGCACATGAATAACTATTTAATTATACAGCTCTGGTTGATATGATAGAATACAAAAGACACTAGGAAGAAAGCTAAGACTTGCACATAAGAGGCCACTTCCTTCCTTTTCTTCATAAGCAACCATAATATCTAACCTCTATAATGTAAGAGACAGGAGACCTGCTTCCTTTGTCATCTTAAAAGAATAATAACAAGGAATATCAAATTTAACATCACCTTTGATTCTGCTATTTCACTTCTAGAGCTAGACCCTAAGGAAGTAATCAAGGTTATGCTCAAACAGATAAGAATTCCTTAGAAGACTTTTTATAATAATAAAATAATAAATATGCAAAAATAACAAAATCGATTAGCTAAATGTTGGTGCATCCATACAATGAAATATTATGCAATGATTAAAACATATTTTAAGAAGAATACTTTATTATGGAATGAAGTTCATAATATACTATTTGGATGAAAGAATCAGATTAGCAAATAGAACAAAAACACACATATACACACAGATATACGCACATACATATATGTGTCATACATTTACAAAAGAAGGATAATTGTGTGATGTATAGATATATATAAGAGTTGTGTCAGCAAGATGGCAAAATAGGACTTTCCAGTGCTTGTCCCTGTAGAAACATCCATTTGAACAACTATCCATGCACAAAAATATCTTCACAAGAGCTAAAGATTTCAGATGAGAGATTATAGCATTTGAATGTATTAGAGAAATAAGAAAAGTCTCATTGAGAAGGGTAAGAAGGACAACTTCACATTACTTCTATCACTCCTCCCCCAAGACTAGGTAGCATAGTAAGTAGAGAGATAGATACTCTCTGCATAGGGTAAAATGAGTGAAGTAAGCACCCAACTTTGCCACAGACTCCAGCACCAGGTCCAGGCCAATGAACATTGGCACCAGGCTGGCACCCACAGACCAAGCTTCCAGGCCCACCTAAACACCAGGCCAGCCCCAACAACCCCAGTCCCTAAGCCGGCCCTAGCAAATTCAGGCTCCATCCCCACCCAAGGCTCCAGACTGGCATCAGTTTCGGGCCACCCCCAAAAGCCCCAGATTCCAGGCCAGAACACATGGACCCAGCCTTTATGCCTACCCCAGCTCCAGGCCAGCCCTGTGGTCCCTGACTCCAGTGCCCATGGACCTGGCCTCCAGAGCAATACCCACAGACCCAGGCTCCAAGCCCAACCTGGTGCTAGGCTGGCCCCTATGCAACCAGCTCCAGGCCACCCCTTATAACCCCAGGCACCAGGACAGCATTGCCAGTTCCAGGTTCTAGACTGGCCCTGTGAACCCAGGCTTTAACCCACCCGAGCTCCAGACCAGTCCCTGCAGCCCAGGTAACAGAATCTAGGCCTGCTCCACCAATTCCAGAGTACAGGCCCATAGGACACCTATGGAGGAGACCCCAGCACTGAGTTTAACATAGGAGGCCTAGGCTCCATGGGCCCAGGTTCCAGATCTATCCCAATGGATCCAGGCACCAGGTTCATTCCAGCACCAGGGTGGCTCCTGCAGACTCAGGCTGAAGGCCTAACCCCACACATCTACCCCAGGAATCAGGTTGGCTCTCATGGACCCAGACTTCAAGTCCAGTCCCTATTGACACAGGCTCCAGGCCCATCCCAATGGACCCCAGCACCAGGCTGGCCCCCAGAGACCCAGGCACAAAGCCTATCCACTTGCTGATCCAGGCACCAAGCAAGTTGGCCCAAGAACTCTAGCATAAGTCCACCCATGAGCCCAGCTAGATAGCCCACTGAGAATCTTTGGACCAGCCAACTGGTAAAGGCATTCCCTGCCAAGCCAATCTGTAAAGACTAGAAGAGATGCCCACTTTTTCAAATGTACAGATACCAGGGCATGTCCATAAAGATCATAAATAATCAAGGAAACATGATACTACCAAAGGAACAAATAAAGCACAAGTAACTGATGCTAATGAAAAACAGCATAATGAAAAATTCAAAATAATCATCTTGAAGCTAAGTGAGCTACAAGAGAACACAGATGGACAACTAAACAAAATAAGAAAAAAGAGTACATAAACAGAATGAAAAGTTCAATAAAGAGATAGAAATCACAAAAAAGAACCAAACAGAAATTCTAGAGCTAAGGAACATCATAACTAAACTGAAAAATTCAATAAAGAGATTCAACAGCAGACTCAATCAAGGAGAACAATCAGAGAGCTCAAAGTCTGGTCATTCAAAATTACCCAACCAGAGTCATAGAAAAAAGAATGAAAAAGTGGAGATAGCCTACAGAAATTATAGGTCATCATTAAGTAAACCTTATTGGTGTTTCAGAAGAAGCAGAGAAAGAAGGAAAAAGGGAGAGAAAGCTTATTTTAAAAAAAGCAGCTGAACTTTCCAAATTTGGAGAGGAAGATTCACATGCAGATCCATGAAGCCCAAATAACTCCCAAATATATTAAATATAAAGAGAGTGCTACCAAGACACATTATAATCAAATTTTCAAAAATCAAAGACAAAAAGAAAATTTTGCAGGCAACAAGAGAAAAGCAAAGAGAAAAAACATTCAAGGGAACACCTATAAGACTATCAGTGTGTTTCTCAGTAGAAACCTTGCAGGCCAAAAGAAATTGAGATGATGTATTCAAAGTGCTAAAAGAAAGCAACTGCCTACCAAGAATACTATGTAGCAAGGCTGTCCTTCAGGGACAAGGAAAGGTAAGGACTTTCCCAAAGAGACAAAAGCTGCAGGAGTTCATCATCATTAGATGCACTTTATGAGAAATGCTAATGGGAGTTTTTCAAGTTGAAATGAAAGGACATTAAAAATGTGAACACATATGAAAGTATAAAACTTATTGTAAAGGTAATAATAGAATCAAATTCAGAAAACATTAATACTTTAATGCTGATGCAGCATCATTTTTAACTCCAGTGTAAAAGTTAAAAGATAAATATTAAAATAACTATATCTACAAAAATTTGTTAATGGGTACATGATATATAAAATACATGAATTGTGACATCAATAACATAAAATGTAGTGGGAGGAAAAGCTAAATCTCAGTTTTTATATGCAGCAGACAAAGTTGTTTTCAGCTTAAAATAAATAGTTATGTTTTATGTAAGACTCATAGTATCTACAAATAAAAAACCTATAGTAGATACACAGATGATAAAGAGAAAGCAATCAAAGCATACTGTTACCAAAAAACTCATCAAATCATAAGGGAAAAGAGGAAGAATAGAATGAAGGAACTGTAAAACAGTCAGAAAACAATTCTTTAAATGGCAATACTAAGTCCTTAACTATCAGTAATTACTTTAAATGTAAATGGATTAAATTCTCTAATCAAAAGACAGAGTGAAAAAAATAAGTTATAAGAAATTGCTGCCTATAAAAAAAACTCACTTTAGCTTTGAGGATATACATAGACTGAAAGCGAAGGTTTGGAAAGATATTCCATGCAAATGATAACCAAAAGAGATGTGGGATGGCTCTACTTAGACAAAGTAGACTTTAAGTCAAAAACTGTCAGAAGAGACAAAGAAGGTCATTATACTAAAGTGCTCAATTCATCAATATAATATAATAATTATAAATATATGTGCACCCACCATCAGAGCACCTAAATATATGAAGAAAATATTAACAGAACTGAAGGGAGAACTAGACAGCAATACAATAGTAGTAGGGGACTCCAATAACCCACTTCCAACAATGGATAAATCATTCAAATAGAAAATCAACAAGGAAACAGTAGACTTGAACAACACTATAGACCAAATCGACCTAACATACATAGAGAGCATTTCACCCAACAGCCGCAGAGTATACATTCTTTTCAAGTGCAAATGAAAGGAAAATAAATCTTGGGACCCCAAAATCACTAAGCTAGAGGGAAAAGTCAAGCTGGGAACCGCTTAGGGCAAACCTGCCTCCCATTCTATTTGAAGTCATCCCTCTGCTCACTGAGATAAATGCATATTTACTGCCTCTTTCAGAGAGGCTAATCAGAAACTCAAAAGAATGCAACCATTTGTCTCTTACATATGAACTGAAAGCCTCCTTTCTGCTTCGAGATGTCCTGCCTTTGCTTCCAGTTGTCCTGCCTTCCCGGACTGAACCAATGTTCATCTTATGTATGTTGATTGATGTCTCATGTCTCCCTAAAATATATAAAACCAAGCTGTACTCTGACCACCTTAGGCACATGTCGTCAGGACCTCCTGAGGCTGTGTCACAGGTGTGCATCCTTAACTTTGGCAAAATAAACTTCCTAAATTGACTGAGAACTGTCTCAGATTTTGGGGGTTCACATGTTCATGGAACATTCTCCAGGACAAATCTTATGTTAGGCCACAAAACAAGCCTTAACAAATTCAAGAATACTGAAATCATTTTGAGTAGCCTTTCCAACAACAATAGTTAAATTATAAATTAATAAGAGGAAAATTGGAAAATTCACAAATATGTAGAAATTAAACAAAACTTTCCTAAACAGACAATGGATCAAAGAAGAAATCAAAAGGAAAGATTTAAATTATGTTGAGACAAATAAAAATGGAAACACAATGTACCAAAACTTACAGGATGTAGCAAACACGGTTTTAAAAGGGAATTTTGTAGCAATAAACACCTACCTTAAGAAAAAATAAAGACATCAAACAACCTAACTTTATACCTGTGGGAGTAGAAAAAGAACAAAGCCTGAAGTCAACAAAAGGAAGTAAATAATAAATATTAGAGAAAAAAATAATGAAATAGATGATAGAAAAATAAAAAAAAATATGAAACTAAGAGTTGGTTTTTTGAAAAGATAAAATGGATAAAGTGTTAGCTAGACTTACTAAGAAAAAAAGAGAAAATCAAATTAATAAAATTATAAATCAGTGTGGAGATGTTACAACTGATACCACAGAAACACAAATAATCATAAGTGACTACTATGAGCAATAATATGCCAAAAAATTGGATAGCCTAAAAGAAAGAAATGGACCAGTTCATAGTAACAATCTACCAAGACTGACTCATGAAGAAATTCAAAATCTGAACAGTTCAATAATGCATAAGAAAATTGAACTGGTAATCAAAATCCTCCTCAGAAGCAAAAAGCCCAGACCCAATTGCCTCACTGGTGAATTCTACAAAACATCTAAAGAAAAATGATGAGTTCATATCCTTTGTAGGGACATGGATGAAATTGGAAACCATCATTCTCAGTAAACTATCGCAAGAACAAAAAACCAAACACCGCATATTCTCACTCATAGGTGGGAATTGAACAATGAGATCACATGGACACAGGAAGGGGAATATCACACTCTGGGGACTGTGGTGGGGTCGGGGGAGGGGGGAGGGATAGCATTGGGAGATATACCTAATGCTAGATGACACAGTAGTGGGTGCAGCGCACCAGCATGGCACATGTATACATATGTAACTAACCTGCACAATGTGCACATGTACCCTAAAACTTAGAGTATAATAAAAAAAAAAAAAAGAAAAAAAGAAAAATTAGATTGACCATAGTGGCTCATGCCTGTAATCCCAGCACCTTGGGAGGCCAAGGCAGGCAGATCACCTGAGGTCAGGAGTTCAAGACCAAAGACCAGCCTGGCCAACATGGCGAAACCCTATCTCTACCAAAAGTACAAAAATTAGCTGGGTGTGGTGGTAGGCGCCTATAATCGCAGCTACTCAGGAGGCTGAGGCAGGAGAATTGCTTCAACCTGGGAGGTGGAAGTTGCAGTAAGCTGAGATCGTGCCATTGCATTCCAGCATGGGTGACAAGAGTGAGACTCTATCTCAAAAAAAAAAAAAAATGAAAGAAAAATTAATGCCCATCCTTCTCAAACTCTTTCATAATTGAAGAGGAGGGAACACCTGCAAATTCAGTTTATGAGGCCATTATTAGCCTGATACCAAAGCCAGACAAGGATGCTACAAGAAAATGATAAGCCAATATCCCTAATGAACACACATGTAGAAAATCCTTAACAAAATACCTGCAAACTGAATTCAACAGTACCTTAAAAGGATCATACACCCTGATCAAGGGGGATTTTTCCTTGGGATGCAAGGATAGTTAAATATATGCAAATCAATAAATATGATACAATGTATTAACAGGGTAAAAGACAAAAATCATATGATCATCTCAATAGATGCAGAAAAAGCATCTGAAAAATTCAACATCTTTTCATGATAAAAACTCTCAACAAATTAGGCATAGCAGAAATAGACCTCATCATAACAAAGGCCATATATGACAACCCACAGCTAACATCATACTCAGTGATTAAAAGTTGAAAGCTTTTTCTCTGGGATCAGGATCAAGAGAAGGATGCCCACTCTCAGCACTTCTATTCAACACAGTACTGAAAGTCCTAGCTAGAGCAATTAAGCAAGTAAAAGGAATAAAATACATCTAAATTGGAAAGGAAAAAGTTAAATTGTCCCTATTTGCAGGTGACATGATTATATATATATATATATCCCTAAAAACTCCACTGAAAAAAACTGAAAAACTGTTAGAATTAATAAATTCAGTAAATTTGCAGGATACAAAAGCGGCATACAAAAATCAGTAGCATTTCTATGTACTACCAATGAACTATCTGAAAAAGAAATCAAGAAAACAATCCCATTTACAATAGCATCAAAAAATACTTAGGAATAAATTTAACCAAGGAGGTGAAACACCTGTACACTGAAAACCACAAAATAATGATGAAAGAAATTGAAGACCACAAATTAATGGAAACACATCTGGTGTTCATGAATTGGAATAATCAATATTGTTAAAATATTCATACTACCAAAAGCAATCTGCAGATTCAATGTAATCCTTATCAAAATTCCAATGACATTTTTCACAGGAATAGAAAAATCAACCCTAAAATTTGTATAAGACCACAAAACACCTCAAGCAGCCTAAGCAATCACGAGCAAAAAGAACAAAGCTGGAGGCATCACGCTACCAGATTCCAAAATACACTACAAACCTGTAGTAATTAAAACAGTATGGTACTGGCATAAAAACAGATATATAGATCAATAGAACAGAATAGAGAGCCTAGAAATAAATCCACACATTTACAGTCAATTGATCTTTGACAAAGGTACCCCAAACACACAATGGGGAAAGGACAACCTTTTCAATAAGCAATGTTGGGGGAACTGGGTATCCACATGCAGAAGACTGAAATTGGACTCTTACCTCATACCATATACAAAAATCAACTCAAAATAGATTAAAGATTTTTGGGCTTGAAACTGTGAAACTACTAGAAGAAAACATCAAGAAAAACCTTCAACATTGGTCTGGGCAATGATTTTTTAAATATGATCCCTAAAGCACAGGAAACAATAGCAAAAATAGACAAATGGGATTCTATCGAACTAACAAGCTTCTATATAGCAAAGAAAACAATCAACAGACTGAAGAGACAACCTATGGGATGAGAGAATATATTTACAAACTATATAGGTTGAGTATTCTTTATCCAAAATCACTGGGACCAGAAGTATTTCAGATTTTGGATTCATTTTTGGAATATTTGCATTATACTTACTGTTTGAGCATCCCAAATCCAAAAGTACAAAATCTGAAATGCCCCAAGCATTTCCTTAGAGCACTGTGTCAGTGCTCAAAAAGTTTTGAATTTTGGAGCATTTCAGATTTTGGATTTTTTTACTTGAGATGTTCAACCTATATATGATAAACGGCTAATATCCAAAACATATAGGGAACTCAAAAAACTTAATAGCAAGAAAGCAAACTGATTTTTTTAAATGAGCAAAGGACATGAAAAATATTTCTCAAAAGAAGACATCCAAGTGGCCAGCTAGTATGTGAAGAAATGCTCATCACTAATCAAAGAAATACAAATTAAAAGCGCAATGAGACATTACCTCACACCTGTTAAAATGGCTAGTACCAAAAAGGCAAAAGACAGCAAATGCTGGCAGGAGATGTACAGCAAAAGGAACCCTTGTTCACTGTTGTGGGAATGTAAATTAGTATAGCCATATTATGGAAAACATTACCAAAGTTCCTTTAAAAATTAAAAATAGAACTACCATATGATCCAGCAATCCCACTTCTTGGTATACATCCAAAGGAAAGAAATTAATGTTGAAGAAATATCTGTACTCCTACATTCACTGCAGCATTTTTCACTATAGCCAAGAAATATAATTAACCTAAGTGCCCATTGACAGATGAATGGATAAAGAAAATGCAGCTATACACAAACATACATATGTATGGAATAGTATTCAGCCTGAAAAGAGGAAATCTTGTCATTTGCAACAACATGGATGAACCTAGAGGACATCATGCTAAGTGAAGTAATCCAGGCACAGAAAGGTAAATACTTCATTATCTCATTTATATGTAGAATCTGAAAAAATTGAACTCATGGAAGCAAAGAGTAGAATGGTGGTTGGCAGGGGCTGGGGGAGATGAGGGTTGAGAAGATGTTGGTGAAATGATACAAAGTTTCAATTAGACAGGATGAAAAATTTCTGGAGATCTATTGTAAAGCATTGTGACTATAGTTAATAATAATGTATTGTATATGTGAAAATTGCTAAGGTGTGATTAATATTACTTGTATATTTGAAAATTGCTTAAATATTCTCATCACAGTTTTAAAATTAAGGCATGCCTTCTATTTATGCCTTTACTATTTTCGTAATTAAACTGAGTGGGAAAGCAAATCTAGCTCCCTTCACAGTTGGTTTGGATCAATCTGCAGTTGTGGTTAGCCAAAAATATTTTATTTGGATTTCTCCGCACTCCTGCTATGTGAAGAATAACGACACAAGAAAATCCTTTTCTTCTCTGATTTTTTAGCTTCCATTTAAGAAACCATCTCAATCAGCAAAAGGAGGGAATCCTTCTATTTTACTTCTACCATTACTACTGCAAATACTAATGTTGCTATTGCAGCTACTGTTAAACAATAAGCACTCACTATGCACTATTCTAAAAACTTTTTGTGCCATTCATACCTCACATAGCCTTAGGAAGTAGCCACTACTATTTTTCCCATTTTTAGATGAGGCACTTGAGGCTCAGAGAGGTTAAGCAACTGGCCCACAGTTACCAAGCTGTTCACTGGCAAGAGTGAGGATTTGAACCAGACAGATGACCCTAAGGCCCGCGGTTTCCTAGTCACATTACACTTACACAGGGCAAGATCAATACAGGAATTGGAACAAATCTAGACTTGGTGATAACTCTCCTCATATTCATCACCTACACTTTGGTACAATTTTTTCTTGTTGTAAGGAGGGACAAAGAAGAAAAAGAGAATGGAGAAATTTCTTTTTTCCCCCAAAAAAATGAGAAATGTTTATTAGCTGGTAAAAGCGGTAGAAATGTCAAATAATAATAATGTATACGATATGTTCTGTCTTTGGCTTTATGTAGAAGTTTCCTCTCATTATCCAGTCATGGGAGAGAAAAGAGCACATACTCCAACTCATATGTTTTGCTGCAAATAGATTTCTCTTTTAAAAACAAAACAAGGCCGGGCACGGTGGCTCACACCTGTAATCCCAGCCCTTTGGGAGGCAGAGGCAGGTGGGTCACCTGAGGTCAGGCTTTCGAGACCAGCCTGACCAATATAGTGAAACCCTGTCTTTACTAAAAATACAAAAATTAGCCAGGCATCAGGGCGTGCACCTGTAGTCCCAGCTACTCAGGAGGCTGAGACAGGAGAATTGCTTTAACCCAGGAGGCAGAGGTTGCAGTGAGCTGAGATCATGCCACTGCACTCCAGCCTGGGTGACAGAGCAAGACTCCATCTCAAAAAAAAATTGTATTTCACATGGTAATGAATTTTTCACATGTGATGTAAATGAATTATCCATCATCCACAGTCTCAATCCTAACTGCACATTAGAATAACCTGGAAATAATTTTTTAAATTCCACAGCCCAGATACCACCCCAGGAGGTCCTGATAAATTGGTCTGGGGTGGGGCCCAGGCAGTGGTATTTTTTAAAAGCTGTCCAGGTGAATCTAATGTGCAGCCAGAGCTGAGAATACCAGCAACCCAACGATGCTAATAGGCTGTCTCCCCACTTATTAGTTCCATCACTCACTAGCCATGTGACCCCAGTGAAGTTACTTCATGTTCTTAAGCTTGAGCTTCCTCATCTATTAAAAGGGGATAATAAGAGGACCAACCAATAAGGATTAATTGAGACAACACAAAAAGCACCTATAACAGGGTCTGGGACATAGGAGCATTCAAATACTAGCTATCGTGGAGGTGACAGTGATGATGATGGTGATGATGTTCATGATGATAATGATGATGATGATGCTGTGAACTTTTTTAACCTGAGGTTACAACATATTTCTTGATTCCAGAAAGCAAGCACCGTAACTTCAACCCAAACCAGATTTTATCATCTTTGTCACAGTCTCCCTTACCTGGAATAAACCTCTAGGACAAAATATAATTTCTAGCTCATTTTGAGGTAATATGTAGGTTCCATAGAGGGATGCAGTAGCTCATAACTGGAACTACAGCATAAAGGAACTCACCTGGGATTAAAATGAATTTTCTCAGAAACTTCTCTGTGGTCTATGACCACTTTCTGGTTGTCTCTATAATTAGTGGGGTCATCAGGGATCCTAAATTTTGCCATCTGAATTTCTGAATCACTCAGTTCAGCATGGGAGATTCTTGCATAACCCAACCTGTAGCAGAAACAGAAATGGTTTGTAACAGTTTTATTATTGTATAGAAATCTAACGAGATCCAAGTGATACCCCTTTGTTATTAAACCAGTTTCCCACTTCTAACTCTACTCTGTATATCACAACTGGAATTAACTTAAATTGTTAATCTAAATATTGGCAAAATATTGCTTTTATGATATAAATGAATAAAGAATATGTACATAGATTTAATTAAGTAACTATTCTTAGCAACCTTACTTTACTTTTTTTATACTAATGAATATTCTAGCCATACAAATTGCCTCCCACACAATCATGTTTTGAGTTAATAACAGGAACTCTTCAGAATGACAGGGGTGTTCACCTTCTTTCTTACCTTTAAAAATCCAAATGCCACATGCATATTTTCAGCCTACTTTCAAGTCTGAAATCAAAGATTTTATATATCTGAAAAAATTCCATATCCCGTTTTGGCTTAGAGCTTTCAATTCCTGGGGAAATTCAATGCACTTTGTAGACATTATGCAAAGAGTTCTTATTTGAGAAGCTCGTGGAAAACACGGGGAACCATGAACAACAAAGAATTCATTTTATTTTATTACATTGTGCTCTTCCAGAAAAAAAGACTTAGGTCAGCTTCAGTCATTCATTTATTCAATGAAGCACATATGTATATATATGGAGTGCCTACTACATGCAGGCACTGTTCTGGGTGTTGGGGAATAAGTCGTGAATAAAATGAAGTCCTTGCCCTCATGGAACTTTCATTCTAGTAGGGAAGGATGCATTAAACACATATGTATGTTTACAATAAGTCAGGTAGTGATAGATAAGTAAGCACTGGGGTGAATGCAGTGTAAGAAGGACAGGCAGTGATGAGTAGGAGAGGTTGCTATATTATGGTGGATGGTCAGGGCATACCTCTGCAATAAAGTGACACTATAGCAAAAAATTCAACGAAGGGAGGGATCAAGCCATACAGATACTGGAGGAATGGTGTTTAGGGAAGGGGAACCACAAATGCAAAGGTCCTGAGGTGGAAATATGCTTGGTGTTTTGCGGGCCAACTCCACCATGACCGGAGTGAAGTGCATAAGAGGGAACATGCAAAGCCTTCCTCACAGGCCACTATGAAGACCTCAGTTTGTTGTTGTTGTTGCTGTTGTTGTTGTTGTTGCTGTTTTTTTTTTTAGAGTGAGATAAGAATCCATCAGAGGGGTTTGAAGCAGAGGTCTGTGACAGCTACCAGGTAGAGAATCACCTTCAGGGAAAGGGTCAAAGCAGGGAGACAAGTTATGAGGCCACTGCAATAACTTAGGTAAAAGATGATGGGGGCTTGGACCTGAGTGGCAGGAGAAGAGAAAAACTTAAAACAAAGCCTATGCCTGTAACTCCATGCAAAATAGAAACAGAAACCCAGAGCAGGACCAGCAGAAGCAGCAAGTCTGCCCATTGGGAAAGGTAAGTAGAGCTGTGACTGAACATCAGATGTGACTCTGAGCTGTCAGACAGCTTAATGCATTGTCTGGGCTCAAGTCCTAAATCTGTGCACTTCTGTGTAATTCTAGGTCACTGTCTTTAGCAAATCTAGGTTATTTATTCCCAAATCTCTAAGATCAAAGTTCTGACCCATTTAACAGACACTGCCTTCAAAAATACACCAAAAGCCTTGAAACTGAAGAATCTGACAATCCAAATCTTCCATTAAAACAGAGGATCTCCCATTGTTGTCCAATAAGTATTTATTAAGCACCTAATACCTACTACATGTAGGGCATTGAATTTGGTGATTGAGATGAAGGCTTACAAAATTAGTTTTGTGGACAGAAACTGAAAAACCCTAGTTCCTAACTTCATTAATGTGGGAATTTTTAAAATTACCTTCCTATTTTGTGTTCCCCCCAAAATTCATTTGTTGAAGCTCTAACCCCCAGTGTGGCCATATTTGGAGACATATCTTCTAAGGAAATAATTAAGGTTAAATGAGGTCATAAGTGCAGGGGGGGCCTGATCCTAAAGGATTAATGGCTTTATAAGAAGAGACACCAGAGAGCTCACTCTCTCTCTGCAGGCACAACCCAAGGAAAGGCCATGTGGGCACATGGCAAGAAGGCAGTTATCGGCAACCCAAGGGGACAGTCCTAACCAGACACCAACCCTGCTGGTACCTTAATCTTGGTCTTAGAATCTACAGAACTGCAAGAAAATTAATTTCTGTTGTTTAGACCACCAAGTCTATGGTATTTTGTTATGTCACAGAGTATTAAATTCATACATAAATAAATATATATATGATATCATATTTTATATATATACTTTATATGTACATGTATGTGTGTGTATATATATACAGAGTGTATATATATATACACACAGAGTGATACACACAGAGTGTATATATATATACACACACAGAGTGTGTATATATATATAAACTCTGCCATCCCATTCTCCTAAGGAGAGGTAATAAAGGTTTCAGAGCCCAACAATGAGCTATTATGGGTACCAGTTACTATAAATACCACTGTTCCTTGGTTCCCAACATTTTTTAAAACTTGAAATTAAACCTATTTCAGCCTATATGAAAAGTCGTTTTCTAGAATTTCCGATATCTCATTTAAACAATTGCTTTAACAAATATTTAAACAGAAACAGTGTTTTCAATCTTAGATATAAAATACTTAACAAAACTCACCCTTCAGCACCTTCTCTCCTACCGTAACACTTTGGAAACACCAAATTATAGTCAAGCTATCTGTTCCACAGCTATTTGGGCATGTGATGCTCCTTTTAGAGTTTCTGAGTTAGTGGTGTAAACCAAAACAATCTTAGCATCTCAAGGGCCTCCTTGGCCCACCTCAGTAAGCATATGGCTCCATGGAGTTGTCCAAGAACGAGTAAGGTCACTATTTTACTTAATAATGTCCAAAGTGCTTGCTAAGGATCCCTAGATCCTTACAAGATCTGTTCTCTTCCCTGCCTGCCCACACACTCTCTCCTTCCCTCCTCGGCCGCCCCTCACCCCACTCCACCCCAACCCTCTCCAGCCCCACTAACCTCACTTTTCCTCAAACATATGCAGCACTCCTGCACTGGGGCTTTTGCACTAGCTCAGCCCTCTACCAGGAGGTATCTTCTGCCAGGTGGCCAAATGGCTCCCTCCTTCCAATCTTGGCTGAAATGTCATCTTCTTAGTAAGACCTACCCAGCTCCCTACTTACAATTGCACCCCACCTCCATATTCTGGAAGCTCCTTCCCCTGCTTAGTTTTTCCCACCACTCTCATCATCTTCTAAAATAGATCATCCTGCAATTATTTATCATGATTTTTGTCCATCCTCCCTCCACCAGCATAGAGATCCTTCTCTGTTTTGTTTACAGCTTTATCCCTATTGCCTGGCATCCATTCTGCTAGATCGATACTTGTTGAATGGCAAATGGAGTCTAGAGCAAGAGAAACTAACAATTTGCTTTCACTGGACTATAATTCATAACCAAACAAGCCATATCCCCACTGGGAGAGGAGTTGAATCCATGATTCTATATCATCCCAGAAAGCAACCATTTTCTCTCATAAATGTAGGCCACAGATCTTAGAAGATAAGGTTACTTAAAGAGATCCATTAACGTCGGCCCCTATCTTCAGGCAGGCAATGCCAAGATGCCTTTTGGTGATGAACTGCTCTATATGGAGAAAAGACTAAGGCTCAGGGAAGTCAGTCCTAGGAGCCCACACCAGGGCTCCCCACATTGTCCCCAAGATGGCAGTTAGAGGGCTCAGGTCAAATACCTCCAGACAGATTCTGTCCTAACAGGAGAACCCTTGAGTGTTTCAGGGAAGGTCTCCAGCATGTTCCCTCTGTGGAAGAACTTTGTATGTAGAGGAACCTGTGAATCAACTCACTGTGTACATCATCTACCACCACCTGCCATACTCACATCACTTCTCTCACTCTACTCCAGCGACACTGGCCTCCTTGCTCTTACCCCGCAACATCCAGCATCCTCCTCTCAAACTTTCCCCGCCTCCCCTGCCTGAAGTGCTCTTCCTCAGGGTATGCACAGGTGGGGTCCCTCCTTCCACTTGAGGTGCTGCCAAGATTTCACTCCATCATTCCTCACCCACTTTTTATAACCTACCACAGCCACCCCCACACACCCTGCCTTCTCACCTGGATTTATTATTTTTCTTTCATCATGCATATCTCCACCTGTCATAGCTTGTCATTTCTTATCTGCTTATTTTATGTTTCCTTCCACTGCGATGTAAGTTCTACCACAGTCAAGGATTTTGTTTTTTTCCTATTATATTCCCACTCCCGAGAACAACACCCAGTACATAAAGAGGATTTAGTAAACACTTATTGGATAAATGAATGAATGAATGAATGAATGAATGAATGGTTAGTCCCTCTTTTTTGGCATTAAACTGTTCCTTGCTTTATTGATACAAATACTGCCTTCAAAACTGATTTATACAGCTACATATTTGAATTTTAAAATCTCAGCTGTATTATTTTGGATCACATATGTATGTATACAGTCATGTGTCACTTAACAACAAGAATGCATTCTAAGAAATGTAGATTGTGCACATGTACCCTAAAACTTACAGTATAATAATAATAAATAAATAAATAAACAAATAAAAAAGAAGTTGAGAGTAGAATAGTGGTTACCAGCAATGGGGGAGAACAGGGAGAAGGGAGAGATGGGGAGATGTTAGTCAATGGGTACAATGTTACAGTTAGGAGGAATAAGTTCTTATATTCTATTCACAGTAGGTTACAACAATGTACTATATATTTCAAATAGAAAAGAGGATTTTGAATATTCTTACAACAAAGAAATGATAAATGTTTAAGGTAATTGATATGCAAATTATAATGATTTGATCAGTATACATACAAGTATTGGAATACCACATTGTACCCCCCCAATAAATGTGTACAATTATTATGTGTCGATTTAAAAAATAAAAATATATTTAAAAAAAAGAAAGAAATGTGTCATAAGGCGATTTTGTCATTGTGTGGACATCATAGTGCATACTTACACAAGCCTGGATGGTATAGCCTACTACACACCTAAGCTATATGGTATGGCCTATTGCTCCTAGGCTACAAACCTGTACTGCATGTAACTGTACTGAATATTGTAGACAACTGTAACACCATGGTAAGTATTTGTGTATCTAAACATAGAAAAGGTACAATAAAAGTATGATATTATAATCTTATCAACTACCATTGTAGATGTGGTCTGTTATTGAACAAAAATATCATTAAGCAGCACATGACTCTATGTATCCAAATATGTATTATCCAAGTATATCATACACACACATACGCATGTATGTGATATACTCGGGTAATATTTTTATGTGGAATGATATTTTTTAAATACAATTTACCTATAGAGCTCACTACAGTATAGTAATGGCCCCATCAAATTAGTTAACTTACCCAGGATTATTGATTAGAAGCTGGCAAGGCTGGAACTCAAGCCCAGGACTTTCTCATCCAATGGCCTGTGATGTTTCCACTAACCCATACATTCAAAAATGGTGCCATTCCTCCCATGTGTTGACAGCTACATATTCACCATGCCTAATAGCCTACACAGTACCCTCTTATATAATTAAACTTAATTTGCTTAGCTATTTCTACTTTTGTAAATTATGAGACTATGCCTTGAAAAAGATGTTAAACTGTATAGTCAAATCAATGTTTATAAACATTGATTGCTTTTTATAAAAAGCAACAAAAATTAATTGCTTCCATAAAGTTCTTTTTCCTTCTCAGACAGACCCAAAAGATCACATTAATAATAGATTAAAAACAAAATCAAACCCCTGTGCTCACCTGATCAGCCCTCGATACATAATGTATTCACACCATCTGTCATGATCAGTGCTGTCGATATCCTAATAAAGAGCAGAGAGGAGAATGTTTAAAGCATAAAAAGCAAAGCTCTATTCCACATTGCCAAAAAATGTGTGAGCTACATGATAAATATCTCTTTGTACATGCTGTTTTCTCTTCCTGGCTCCTACTGATCTTTTTTGGTCCAAATTATTTGCTCATTCTACATATATTTATTGAGCACCTACTGTGCGCCTATCTAGCTTCTGTACCACATGCTAAGAAAACAAAGAGGAAGGAGGTCTGGAGAGTGACTCAGATAAATCAACGATTACAAAATAGCCCCTGACTCCTGGCAGCTTTCCAAGTCTCTCATCCCCAGCAGCACTGACTGCACCTTCATTGGTCATCCTGTACAGTACTTTACACACACTAGTTATGCCATCGTGCCAGGTATCTGTTTCTATGTCTCCATCCTCCCACACCTGCACAGAGGGAATCTTAATCACTTTTGTCCAACCTGTCACTTAGCATAAAACCTGGCATTGAGCAGGTGTTCCATCTGTGTTTCTTAAATTGAATCATGGAAATAAGAACATCTGGGGAGCAATCATGAGTCTTTTTGATGTTGAGGGCTTGGGACCAGGGTTATTATTCATCAAAGAAAGAGAACAGAAACATATTCTTTTCTATCATGTGTTGGGAAAACTATAAATATGAGGTGTTTATTCTGAAGAAAGAAATCTCCATTTTATTCTGTTTAAATATCTTATAAATAAAAAATATACCTGACTTTTCACCACTTCTGAATTTTACTATTAACATTTAATTAAAAACACATTTTTAGATCACTAAAAGAATACATCACAATTTATTATATAATTCTTCATTTTTTTCTTAAGCTTAGTGGTAGACACATGGATGTCTATTAATCTTTATTGTTGTTTATAATACACACATACATATACCTTTTGTATACATAAAAATTATAATAAATGTTTTAAATTAAATTTAAAATGTTGATGAAGGAAATAAAGAAGCACTGTTCCGGTTTGTCTTGGGAAAATAGAAAACTTTAGTATTGGGAATAATTAAATAGATAAATAAATGATAAATAAATCTATTTAACTATCATTTTGTTTATCAGATTTTTTAAAGATGCTGTAAGACTTGCAAAAAAATTTTAAAAATAAAGATGCTATAAAGTTTTAAGACTGCAGAATTTAAATACTCATTTCTTTAAGAGAAAAATCTGTTCATCCAAGCATTGATGATTAAAACTCTTCTCCACATTAATAAACTTCCTCCTAGAGAAAGCAATATAAGAATCCACTACCAATTTTGACACAGCTTTTGATCACGACAGTGGAAACCAAGAGAGGATTAGATGAAAATCAAATCAAATTCTCCTTCCTTAATACCATGTACATCCCTCACACACACTCACGTGCACATGCACACACACCATATAAGAATGCCCTATTAGGATGCCATTTTTACATAGACTTGCCAAATTTCATCTTGTCTAATATTCGTTTGTGCTTCATAGACCATGTACTTACGCGTTTCTCTTATTTGATTTTCAACATACAGCCAGACACACATAATATATGTCATGTAAGTCTGAGGGCTTTGCAGATGTTATCTTCTATTTCATCATCAAACAACCCTATGATTCCATAGATATCACTCTCACCACTTTGCAGATGTGGAACTTGAGGCCCAGAAAGGCTAAGTAACTTTCCCCAAGGTCACACAGCTGGTAAATGCAGCATCATCTAGGCTAGTAAATAATGACAGACCATGAGAAGAGAGAGAGGTCCAGCACCAGGGCCCAGACGCCTGTGTGGGGCTATCTTAGACCCTCCTGCCATAAGTAAGCCATCAGATGACTGCATAGGAGAACCCAGGCAAGAACAGAAATCCACCCAGTCAACCCAAAGAATCATGAGAATATTCAATTATTACTGTTTTAAGCCACTACGTTTTGAGGTGGTTTGTTACACAGTGATAAATAACTGATACAGTCTCTGTGATTACACACTTTCCAGGTTTTCCTCTTCTGAAATCTCCTTACTCCCTTTCCTGAAATAATCTGTCTTCTCTTCCTTCACCTACACCCCCATGATAGCCACATTCAATGTGACTTCATCAGGGCTTTATTTGGTCTTCCTTCTGCACTTCTCTAACTCTAGCACTCTAATTTGCACTTCTCTAATTACTAGCAATACCACTCACTTCCATGGCTTCAACGCTTCCCTACATGGTGGCCACTCCTTAATCTATAACTCTAGTTCTCACTGCCCTTCTGGATTCCAGATCTGTATATGCACCTGCCTATTGGACATCTCCATTAATGTCCCACAAATGCCTCAAACTCAGCCCAAAGCTGAACTCATCTTCCTTGTAAAACATTTCTTTCTTTTGTATTCTCTATAAAAATAAATGTCAGTATCATAATCCCTCTGACCAGACCCAGAAATCAGGGATCCATCTGTGGCTCCAAGGCTAAGTTATACAAGGCAATACAGGCTTTTTCTTGTTCTCTTGGGATACTCACTATTGGAAATCAGCTGCAAGGCAGAGAGGAGGCCCAAGTAGCCCATGGTGAGGAACCCGGGTCCACAGCCCAAAGCACCAATTTGCCACCTGTGACTCATCTACTGAGTAGGTCCTCCAGTCCCTAGTTGAGCCTCCTAGCTGATCCTGCATGGAGCAGACATGAACTATCCCCATTGAGCCCTGTCTGAAGTCCAGATTCATGAGCAAATAGATGACGGCTGTTGTTTTAACACTCTAATTTCTGTCTATCCAAAAAATGCAGAGACTAACTCATCTTCCTAATATCTGCCTTACCCTTCTTCCAAAATTATGGTATTTTAGCTGTGAATATGGCCATCAGGACTAAACATTGCACCTCTCAACTTTCTGTACAGCAAAGTATGGCCATTAGACTAAATTTCTGCCAGTGAAATATAAGTAGAAGTGTTACAGATCAGTTTCTGGGACTTGCCTTCAGAGGAACTGGCATATGCTCTTGGCCCCTTCTTTATCCCTTCCTCTATCCTGCTAACTAGAACTTAAAGGCTGCTGGTTTGGGAACAGAGTCCTTGTCAAATGGAACCACAAGGTAGAACACAGATTCCAAACACCACACAGTGCCATTCCAGTGCTGATTCACCTGCCCACACTTTTACATAAAGAAATACATCTCCTTAAGCGGATGAGCAACTTCAGCAAAGTCTCAGGATACAAAATCAATGTACAAAAACCACAAGCATTCTTATACACCAATAATAGACAAACAGAGAGCCAAATCATGAGTGAACTCCCATTCACAATTGCTTCAAAGAGAATAAAATACTTAGGAATCCAACTTACAAGGGATGTGAAGGACCTCTTCAAGGAGAACTACAAACCACTGCTCAAGGAAATAAAAGAGGATACAAACAAATGGAAGAACATTCCATGCTCATGGGTAGGAAGAATCAATATCGTGAAAATGGCCACACTGCCCAAGGTAATTTATACATTCAATGTCATCCCCATCAGGCTACCAATGACTTTCTTCACAGAATTGG
Organism: Homo sapiens; assembly: GCF_000001405.40. Classification (NCBI taxonomy): domain Eukaryota; kingdom Metazoa; phylum Chordata; class Mammalia; order Primates; family Hominidae; genus Homo; species Homo sapiens. The sequence continues at coordinate 49,041,266 of NC_000004.12, read as the reverse complement.
AAAAAACTACTTTAAAGTTCATATGGAACCAAAAAAGAGCCCGCATTGCCAAGTCAATCCTAAGCCAAAAGAACAAAGCTGGAAGCATCATGCTACCTGACTTCAAACTATACTACAAGGCTACAGTAACCAAAACAGCATGGTACTGGTACCAAAACAGAGATATAGATCAATGGAAGAGAACAGAGCCCTCAGAAATAATGCCACATATTTACAACTATCTGATCTTTGACAAACCTGACAAAAACAAGCCATGGGGAAAGGATTCCCTGTTTAATAAATGGTGCTGGGAAAACTGGCTAACCATATGCAGAAAGCTGAAACTGGATCCCTTCCTTACATCTTATACAAAAATTAATTCAAGATGGATTAAAGACTTCAATGTTAGACCTAAAACCATAAAAACCCTAGAAGAAAACCTAGGCAATACCATTCAGGACATAGGCATGGGCAAGGACTTCATGTCTAAAACACCAAAAGCAATGGCAACAAAAGCCAAAATTGACAAATGGGATCTAATTAAACTAAAGAGCTTCTGCACAGCAAAGGAAACTACCATCAGAGTGAACAGGCAACCTACAGAATGGGAGAAAATTTTCAAAACCTACTCATCTGACAAAGGGCTAATATCCAGAATCTACAATGAACTCAAACAAATTTACAAGAAAAAAACAAACAACCCCATCAAAAAGTGGGCCAAGGATATGAACAGACACTTCTCAAAAGAAGACATTTATGCAGCCAAAAGACACATGAAAAAATGCTCATCACTGGCCATCAGAGAAATGCAAATCAAAACCACAATGAGATACCATCTCACACCAGTTAGAATGGCTATCATTAAAAAGTCAGGAAACGACAGGTGCTGGAGAGGATGTGGAGAAATAGGAACACTTTTACACTGTTGGTGGGACTGTAAACTAGTTCAACCATTGTGGAAGTCAGTGTGGCGATTCCTCAGGAATCTAGAACTAGAAATACCATTTGACCCAGCCACCCCATTACTGGGTATATACCCAAAGGATTATAAATCATGCTGCTATTAAGACACATGCACACGTATGTTTATTGCGGCACTATTCACAATAGCAAAGACTTGGAACCAACCCAAATGTCCAACAATGATAGACTGGATTAAGAAAATGTGGCACATATACACCATGGAATACTATGCAGCCATAAAAAATGATGAATTCATGTCCTTTGTAGGGACATGGATGAAACTGGAAACCATCATTCTCAGCAAACTATCGCAAGGAGAAAAAACCAAACACCGCATGTTCTCACTCATTGGTGGGAACTGAACAATGAGAACACATGGACACAGGAAGGGGAACATCACACTCTGGAGACTGTTGTGGGGTGTGGGGACGGGGGAGGGATAGCATTAGGAGATATACCTAATGTTAAATGACGAGTTAATGGGTGCAGCATACCAACATGGCACATGTATACATATGTAACAAACCTGCACATTGTGCACATGTACCCTAAAACTTAAAGTATAATAATAATAAAATTTTAAAAAAATCAGAAAAAAAAAGAAATACACTCTCTGTTATTTTCTGTCACATGCAGAAAATTCTCATCATGCCATGCTCTTTAACCTGTCATCCAAACTCTGTAAATAATGTTACACCCTAAGAAGAGTTAAAGTAGTAAAATCAACATAAGACGGATAAGATTTTTTCTCTGCAGATATTATCTCAAGACATGAAGTTGAAAATGGAATGAAAGGGACCAAGACATCTGCATAGGGCATAACTAAACATAACAATCATATTTCTCATTCTAAATTAATTCATTTGGCATTATAGTATATATATATATATATAAGTGTATATATATATCAGTATATATATATATCAGTGTGTATATATATATCAGTATATATATACATCAGTATATATATATCAGTATATATATACATCAGTATATATATATATATATATATATATATCAGTCTCCTGAGAATTTGATTTGTGTGGCAGTTCCCCAGAACATGATTATATTCTGGTACACTGACAAATTCAAGTGTTTCAGACCTGAAAAGGTAGAGTAATTCAGTGTCATCTGCTGGGGCCCTGTTGGCTAATTAGCCATTCTCTCTGTGTGGCATTTCATTTTGTTTTACTCTCAATTCTTTTTTTAATTTTTATTTATTTATTATTTATTTATTTATTTATTTAATTTATTTATATATTTTTTTGAGACAGAGTCTCGCTCTGTCACCCAGGCTGGAGTGTAGTGGTGCGATCTCAGCTCACTGCAAGCTCTACGTCTCAGATTCCTGCCATTCTCCTGCCTCAGCCTCCCGAGTAGCTGGGACTACAGGCACCTGCCACCATGCCCGGCTAATTTTTTGTATTTTTAGTAGAGACGGGGTTTCACCATGTTAACCAGGATGGTCTCGATCTCCTGACCTCGTGATCCGCCCGCCTCAGCCTCCCAAAGTGCTGTTATTACAGGCGTGAGCCACCGCACCCAGCCCCATAATTAACTTTCATAATGTGGCAGATTGTGTTTTCTAAACATGGCTACAACAAAATCTCACTTTCCATTAGTATTCTTATCTTGTGTTTTTGATATTCCTCCCATCAAGAATTTAATGTGATCAGAATTGTGATGACAGTGGAAGTAACAGTATATGACTTACAAGGCTATGCCATACAAAGCAAAACAGATTTTTTCTGGTTCTCTTGGGATTTTCACTATTGAAAGCCAGCACCATGCAGGGAGGAAGCCTAAGTAGCCCATGGCGAGGAACCAGGGTCCCAAGCCTAAAGCACAACTTGCGACCTATAAATCACCTATGAAGTAGATCCTCCAGTCCTTGGTTGAGACACCTAGTTGACCCTGCATGGAACAGAGATGAGCTACCCCCATTGAGCCCTGTCCACATTGGAGATTCATGAGCAAATAGATGATTGCTGTTGTTTTAAGCTCACATGTTTTGTGGTGATTTTCTAGGCAGCAGTAGATAGACTGCACATGAAATTTTTAGGTGAGGTTGGTTTTTTTAAAAACATGAAAGAAAAAGAAATGTTTTACTTAATAAATTAGAAATCCTATTAAGATTATGTTACCTTCACATTGCCATGTTCAGTGAGCTGTAGATAATCTCTGGAGCCAGGTGCTGAAGTGATATATCCCAGAAATATCACTTGATTAGAGCTACTTTTCAGTAGTTTTGAAACAGCAATAGCCTGCAGTTTCCTGTCGAGGTCATCTCTAAAAAATGTAAAAATATGACCCTTTATTGTATTTGTAAAACAAACTTTAAAAAGCCTTAGGTACCTAAGTTGCCAAAGACTATCTGCATATAGTGAAGAAGCCCAGAGTCATTCCTACTCGGGCAACTGTCTTAACATTATACAAATGAACAAGACCTAGATACAGCACTTCAAATGAATAGGCTGACAGACATTTGGCTAAGAACATGACCTTTCTTCACAAGTCATTTGGAGTCAAGTCAATTTAAAGATCTACTCTAAATACAGCATTGTTCAACTTTTCATCAGAAGAAATGAAATCACTAACGTGATAACTCACCATCAGTATTACAGCTAAAGAATTAGTAGTTTAAAAAAGTAAAAAGAGCCAGGAATACTGGTAAGATGAAGAATCCTGACATTCACAGAGCCCATCAGGCTTATGTAACCTAAGCTCCTTCAACTGAACACTTTTTTTTTTTTTTGAGACAGAGTCTCACACTGACACCCGGACTGGAGTGCAATGGCACAATCTCGGCTCACTGGAACCTCCACCTCCCGCATTCATGCAATTCTCCTGCCTCAGCCTCCTGAGTAACTGGCATGACAGGTGCACACTACCATGCCCAACTTAATTTTTGTATTTTTAGTAGAGACAGCATTTTGCATGTTGGGCAGGCTGGTCTTGAATTCCTGGCCTCAAGCAATCCACCCACCTTGTTTCCCAAAGTGCTGGGATTACAGGCGTGAGCCACTGCGCCCAGCCCAACTGAACACTTTCTGAAAGCCTCCTTGGCTCTCCTGCTCAAACACCAGCTGAACATGGTGCTTTTATTATGCTAAGCACTGTAAACCTATAACTGAGATACTTAGGTGGGTACATCAAGCTTCTGGGGAGTTTAGGGGAAAATAGGACATCATATTTTACATGATCCAGCCAGGAAAACAGAAACACCCTAGATGTTTCAAACAAAGTGAACTTAATATAGGGAATTGGTTAGCTAGGCGATGGGAAGCCAGATAGGAGTCAATGAGGCAATCAGAGATTAATAACAATAAGAAACCAGTACCACCTCTACAGCTACAGGGAAAACAAGAGGAGGTGATATTATCAGAGTCCAGAAGCCAGCACCGACTAGTGGGAGATGTAGCAATGGAGGAGGCTTCCCAGAGGAGCTGGGACCATACAAAGAAGAGCTGGAGCCGCAGAAGAGACTCAGCTCCTCCCAGAGACACCAGAGGAAGCAGAGAGAGAAGGAGAGAAATACACTCGCTTCTCTACTCCCTCCAACCTTGCACTAGTGCCTCCCATTGGCTAAACCTACCCAGAAGCCAGAAGGCAAGGGACTGTGGGAAATGCAGTTCTCTGCAATGCATAGCTGAGAGTAAGAGCAAGGAATGGTGCCCAGAACAGATAGGCAGTAGTCAAACACAGGTATTTACATAGAAAGGTAGCTAATACATGAGTGTTAAGGGGGAAAATGACAAAGAAAAATAGAAGATCACCAAGCACTGAGAAGACTGGAGAAACCTTGTTGAGTTAGGATCTCAAGACAGGACTGAATTGGATAAAAATAGCTGAGGGCTATTAAAAGATGTCTCAAGAAATAAAAGAGTGAAAAGGACGGCCATTTGTTAAACCCCTTTGCTACTGAATTCTCACAACAGAAGGCAGGTGGTAGCTCTATTTTTAAATGAGGCTAATATGCCTATGGTTATTTTTCATTTCCCCAGCCCACATTCATCCTCTGTCCTTTCTCTATGCCCTGAGAGGCTGACCCCTGCAGATTTCATCTCCTGGACTTCCTTCTCTGCTGGTTTCCAGTTAGGTTTGGCCAATCGGAGGCATCAATGGGAGATTAAACGTTGGGAGAAGAGCAACATTCAGGGATTCCTTCCCCAGTCCCTCTGGCAGTAGCTGCATTCTATGCCAGGTGGTCCCTTGTCCTGGTTCTGGGTCTCACTGGGCTCTGGGAACACTGTTTTCTCTGCCTGTTCCTTCGGCCTTAAGGCAGGTAATGATTCCCCACTGTTAACTAGTGTCTGAGTGCCTCAGCCTCTCTTATTTGTTCCATGGGTCCCTCCAGCATCTTGTTAAGTAGTTCTTTCATTAGGTCTGCAGGGAATTCTATTCCTTCTGATACCTACAACAAGGATTCAAATCCAGATCCAGAAAATTCCAAAGCTACTAACCACAGGCAGTGTTTTCAATCCAATATATTTTAGTAGAATATATTGGATTCCAATCCAATATATTCTAACTGGAAGTAATCTGTGAATTTGGTTTTACATTTTCTCAGGAGATAAATCTTACCTAGTGAGAGTAATAAAAGTAAAAAGTATATGTATAAGGAAAGAGGTCAAGACAGAAAGAGAGAGAGCTCACATATGCTTTATGTTTTCTTATCTGTTAATATTTTGTTGGTCCAATAACCCTATAAAGTAAGCTGGAAAAGAGAATTTTATCCCATTTCCAGAGACACAAGAACTGGAACTTACCAAGGTTAACCGCCACGGAACCAAATCTAGAACATAGGTTCTGTGTCACATAGTGTCAGACTATGGATTCTGTGTTCTCTCCTCTTTGTATATGATGCATGTTATAGATTTCTTTAAATGGTGATTAGTGGCTCAGTTAATTACCTAAAATAATATCAATTTTCATTATGGTGTTTGCCTGAGTGACTTCTAAAAAATGCTGCTATTTCCTATTTAGTGGTTGTAAAAGACATATTTGTGCAGTCAGTACTTTTTAAAATCTTGTTGAATCAGCTAATAACATGCACAAGCATTAGAAATTATTCATTCCTAATAGGATTTTCACATTTATATGCCATAATCACTGGAAAACGAAATCTCTAAATATTTATTCACAGTAAGAATTTGTGTATCTAGTACTGTAGAAAACAAAGACAAATAAAACATGTCGTGATCACGTCACAAATTATTCAAGGTGTTAACTTTCCTATGTCGCTTGTTGGGAGGCTACAGTGTCCCAGACAGTACTTCTGGGGAGTGGCTCAGAGCAGTGGTTCCTAAAGCAAGGAATGAGTCTAGCTGTGTGCTTGGGACATGTCAGATGCTTGATTCATGTTTGACAAATGGATTATTTTTTAAGCTGCCCAATATACCTTATATTCATAGTTGTCTGATTTGGTTTAGTAATGGCCAGTGTTAATTGAGCACTTACTACATTCATGTACTTTGCATGAGGTAATATGGGCACAAGAACCCCATGAAATAGGTAGGACTATTGCACTGATTTACAGATGAGAAAACTAAAGCTCAAGGTAGTTAAGAAACTCAGCAAAGGATACACAGCTAGTTAATGAATTAGATTTCAAACCAGATTGTCTGATTCCAGGTTCTGGAATCCCATGCTCTTAATCATTAAATTACACTGCCTTCATTCCTGGAGTTATGTATCATCAATAAGTGTTCACTATTATTGTTACTGCTATTGTTGTCATTATTATTGAATCAAATGAGCAAGACAGCAAGTAAAGGATATGGTGTTATCCAGAGAGCTTTAAGTAGGTGGTTAACAGAAAGTGAGAAAAGGCAATCCTTCCCTCCTCTTTTCCAAGCATATTCCTAGGGCTCTCTTTTAGCTTTCTCTTCCTTTTCAAACCTATTCTTTACATTTTGGGATATATTGGAGAGAGTTAAAGGAGACGGGGAAAAAGGCAAAGGAAAAAAGGGAAGGAGTTAAACTGTTTCTTAGGTTGAGAACTTGCAACCTTTAAACATGAAAGTATTATTTTTTTTAAAGATAAACCCAATGTTAAGTACAACATAAGGTCATGGGAATGATTTCTGAATGCCTGTACTTGCTACATGAAAATCACTGGGAAAAAAAGAAAGCATTTCTTCAAACAGCTTTTTTAAGAGATATGAACCATCTATATCATCCATCCTCCAAACACTCTTCTTATTTCTAAGGAGGTAAGCAAGAGTCTGGTTCATAAATGGTTCATATTAATTATATTTGGATGGTTTATTTATATTATTTATGATCTGAGTTTTTTAAGAAAATATTCAAATATGCTTTCACGGATTCACATAATAGTGTTAGAAACAGTGAGGTAACCAGGGAAATAAGAGTGGCACACACACCAATTTGTTTAAATAAAACTTATAGTACAACAACGTTGTTTTCCTAAAGTATGTCTCTTTAAAGTTCTGTGGCCTCATGTCATTAATGCAGGCAAAGCTTGCATGTGAATGTCATAGCACATAGCTCTTTATATTCATGTTTAAATTATTGTGGTTTAGTATGGTCAAGTATAAGTTACATACTTTTATGTTTGCTTTTACAATATATTGCTGGGATTATTCATGATTTATTCAGTACTGTCACTGGTTGTAAATGTTATTCTTTGGGGATAAAACTCATTCCCCACTCTTCATGTTGCGTGTAGAGGGACTTCTTTAGAAAACCATCACTGGCCTCTCTCCCCATTCTTTACTTTTTGGGAGGACTTTTCTAATTCAATAATCTTGAAATTAACTTCACGTGCTTGTCTCAAATCCTTCTTTTCTATTCTCCTTGGAAGCTGCCAGTTTGCAGACAGGCTGTTTTCCGTCCTCTTCTTTCCATCAAGGAGAGAGCTTGCCAGGGCAAGCAGGGTAGGCCCACCATTTAGGGGGAGTCAGTTTCGTGTATATTTAGGCATGTATTCACAAGTCCATATGGGCACTTAAGCCAGGTTGTCCAAATAGGCTTATCAGTATTCAAAGTGATATTTTGATCTCCCTCTTCCAGATTCCTCTGCCTATCTGTTGTTTGTGAAAACATGAGGGAGAGAAGAGATGTCATTTAACAACCTCAAATCCCAACAGTACTTCCATTTGTAGCAGTAATCCTGCAGGAAAAGGAAATTTCTTTTTCTGTTGTCTGGTTTATTGTGTGGTTGCAAGCACTTGTAACCCTGGGTTTGGGACTGCCTATGCCCTGGCTGTGTGCTTGCTCCTGGTTGGATGGGTTGTCTGACCTCTCTAAGCCTAGTTTCTTTACCTGCAAAACGGGGCTCTAAGAGTGCTTACCCTACACAGAGTGAAGAGCAAACACAGTAATGCACTTTGGACAGCCCCTGCACAGGGAATTGACTGTACAGCTCAGTAAATGCAGACTAACACGGCCTGTCCCTACACCAGCACTAACGGCTGCCTGCATCTTAAATGCTTCTGTCTGATTTTTAAAACCAGCAACGCAGGGAGAAATACTTTGGGAGGTAAAAAAGAAGAAAATGAGAAAGGTGATTTCATAGAAATCAAAGTACATTGTTAATAACATTTCTTGGCATTTGTGTAATATTAGGTGGGCCAAAGAAACCCACTCGTGGTTCCCAAAGTGTGTCACGACAAAATCCACCAGCTTGCCCGAAATGTTAACGGTCAATGTGATGGCTGGTGCGATCTCGCCCTCTGGTGACGGAAGAAGGTGATGCTCAGATTTCACAATTGGGTATCTTGACAAAGCCATAATCCTGTATTGGAATGAAAAGAGACATGGGCATCATTGTCAGTCCCATTCTACCATGCACTGGGACTAAGCAAATGCATTAAAAAGGGATGTGTCCCACTGCACACATCCCACCAAGGGACATTCAAAGCAATGCGGCAGAGACTTATATGGCAGTCCATTTGTCAGATCATTTCATCTGATAGCATGTCTCACTGTGTCACTAAGGAAACACCATCAACTCTGTTTTAATAAGTGCTATGGACACATGAAAAGGGCAGCATTAGTAATACAAAAAACCCATTGTATTTGCAGTTACTCTGGCAACACATTTGCATAAACAATTCTAATATTAATCAACACATATGGGAAGGTACAATCTTGCCAGCTAGAACATGGAGTAACAACTTACAAAATTAGAAATGAAAAACTGTCCTATAGGCATATGAAAAGGCATTCCACCTCACTCTAAGCCACAGAGCTCAGTCCTTGGCAGGCTTCTCTTCCATAGCTAGACGCATTCTCTGTCACCTTCATGGAGTCTCTGAGACAGGTCTATCTCTATACGATGATAGCTGAAGGTACATCTCCAGCCTGGTCTGTCCTTCTCAGCCCTCCAGGCCATACCCAACTGCCTACTGGGCATGACTTGACTGTCTTGGGGTATCTCACACTTAGCACAAACCTAAAGGTCTCCTGATGGTTCCCATTCCATTAAAGGGTATCATCTCTTAGCGGGTACTCAGGTCAAAAACCTAGACATCACCCTTGATTCTTCCTTCCCCTCCCCTGACATCTAAACTATTGTAAGTTCTGTTGGTTCTATTCTAAAATAGTTCCTGAGTTTGTCCTCTTCTCACCATCTCCACTGTTCCCATTGTCATCTCTCATCTGTGCTATTCCACCTATCATCTCTGCCTCCTGGCTCCCACTCTTGCCCCTGAGAATCTGTTCTTCCAGATCACTATCCTGTTTAAAATCCTCCAGTGGCTTCCAATCACAACTGGATAAAATGGAGCTCTCTATGATCAGGTTCCCATCCTTGACTTCCTTTCTTACCAGTTGCTCTTTGGCCCCCCATGCTCCAGGCACACCAAGATGGATCCTGCCTCAGTCTTCACCCTGACTGTTCCCTCAGCTCTTCCCAAGGCTGGTCCTGGGTCCTGCTCACCATGATATCTTTGCAGAGACCTTCCTGACCACCCTACCTATAGTAGCATTTCCATGGCCACTGCCCACCCACTTATTCTCCCTCAGTGGTTTCTTTTCTACACAGCGCTTATCATGATTGTGAAGTACCTTATTTATTTTTTTGTGTACATGTTGATTTTCTGTCTTACACTGGAAGGTAAGCTCCATGAGGACAGCATCCAGGCCAGACATGCTTGGTGCTGCAACCTCAGCTCCTAGATTGATTGGTTTATAATGCTGAAGAACTGGAAATATCCAGCCACAGAAAAACCATTTGAAAAATTACAGAATGTGCATATCTCCAGCACCTCCTCATCCCCCAAGAAGCATCACTGGGGCACATTCACCAAAGATATTACAATATCAACTTGCCACTCCAAGCCTATGCAGCCTAGCCTTTCATGACTATCTTCGGGATTAACTCCCAAGGTATACTCACCCCCAAGTGTGATACCTTGTGCTTGGACCAAAGTCTGTATAGAAACCCAACTTTTCCCCTAGCCACATGGTTAAGTCATTGTTCCCCATATAGGGCTTAGAAGCATCACTCTCCAAAATTGTTATGAAATCTGCACCTGTTCAGAAAAAAAAAAGTAGCATACAGTGATGAATCACAGCAAGGCAAAAAACAATTAGCAACACTTTACTCTTGACCCTTAACCTTTTTTTCTTTACTGATAAACCCAAAAACAAAGTAATTATTAGTGAGTCACTAGAGAGAAGTGGCTCAAATCTGAGCTCTAAAGGAATTTCCCCACGTTTAGAATGCAATTAAAACATGAAACACCTCCAGGAACTACCAAGAAGGATAAAAATTTTCAAATGTGCTCAACATCATTCCCAAAATTTCAAATAATCTTAATGCATTTCTCAAATATCCAATTTATGTTCAGAAACAAGAGAATGGTGCACCATAGCATTTTATTCCAGCACAAACAGCTCCATAGTACTGACCCAGAACTAAGTTGATTGGCTTTATTAGATCTTGACCAGGTGTGCCTTGGAAGCCTGTAATCAGACTAAAAAAGGGCTAAGGGGCAAAAAAATGTCTTAGTGGTATTACATCCATATAGACACTCATATGTCTCAGGAGGCACGCTTATCATTAAGAATAACCAGAACAGGTTAGTCCTTTACTTATCCTGCTCCATACACCCGTAGTTGGTCTACAAACCAAAAACACTCTCAGATTTCAAAGATGCTTCACACAAAAATGAGCACCCCGGAGCACTGAAACAAATCAAATCGGCCCTAGGCCTGTTGAAAGCAATTTGCTTCACAAATCAACCTCCCTCTGACCCATGAAGGGGGCCAGCCCCTCCACACCTGTGGGTATTTCTTGTCAGGTGGGATGAGAGACTGAGAAAAAAAATGAGACACAGAGACAAAGTATAGAGAAAGAACAGTGGGCCCAGGGGACCGGTGCTCAGCATACAGAGGACCTGCACTGGCCCCAGTCACTGAGTTCCCTCTGTATTTATTGATTACTATTTTCACTATCTCAGCAAGGGGAATGCAGCAGGAGAACAAGGTGATAGTGGGGAGAAGGTCGGCAGGAAAACGTGAGCAAAGGAATCTGTGTTACAAATAAGTTCAAGGGAAGTTACTGTGCCCGGATGTGTAAGTAGGCCAGATTTATGCTTCTCTCCACCCAAACATCTCAGTGTAGCAAAGAGTAACTGAGCAGCATTGCTGCCAGCATATCTCACCTCCAGCCACAGGGCGGTTTTCTCCTATCTCAGAATAGAACAAATGTATAATTGGATTTTACACCAAGACATTCCATTCCCAGGGACATGCAGGAGATGGAGGCCTTCCTCTTATCTCAACTGCAAGAGGCCTTCCTCTTTTACTAATCCTCCTCAGCACAGACCCTTTACGGGTGCCGGGCTGGGGGACAGTCAGGTCTTTCCCTTCTCATGAGGCCATATCTCAGGCAGTCTCAGTGGGGGGAAACCTTGGACAATACCCAAGCTTTCTTGGGCAGAGGCCCCTGTGGCTTTCCGCAGTGCATTGTGCCCCTGGTTAATCGAGAATGGAGAATGGCGATGACTTTTACCAAGCATAATGCCTGTAAACATATTGTTAACAAGGCACATCCTGCACAGCCCTAGATCCCTTAAACCTTGATTCCATACAGCACATGTTTCTGTGAGCACAGGATTAGGGCTAAAGTTACAGATTAACAGCATCTCAAGGCAAAACAATTTTCTTAGTACAGATCAAAATGGAATTTCTTATGTCTTCCTTTTCTACATAGACACAGTAACAGTCTGATCTCTCTTTCTTTTCCCTACAACCCATTCTGCCTTTTGATCCAAGTCTTCTGGTCCCCAACAGTGGGTCCCCAGGTGACAGAAGCTACTAGCAGAGGCATCCCTAAGAACAAAAACACAACATGAATCCCCTAAAGATACTCAGTATGAGGAGTTGCTCAGAATCAACTGAATTAATTGCTCTCAAACAAAGACAGGAGTGGTTACAGAAGCTCAGTCCCCCTGCAGCTGCGTGCCAAAGTAAAGCATTTTTGAGGTGAGTTTATGATCATCTGCTGGTCATAAATTTAATCTAATACCTGCATTAAGTTATGGCTTATGACCCTGCTGAAAATAAAAGTAACAATAATAGTTTCTCAAAACCTGGAACTAATTCCAGGAAGACTTACCTGTTTCATTGAGCAGGTGAGCTGATCTTTCTAGACTAGACCACCCTTCATTGTCATATCCAAACCTGAAAGGCCAGATGGCAGCAGAGACCTCTTTGGTTGGTGCCTGAGGAATTGTTTTAATGGTAGTTTAGGATGACTGTGAACAATGGCAGTTTCAGTGACCCACTTTTCTCCACTCCTCTCTACCAAATTTCTTATTTCAGCAAAGGAATTTCCTTAGACATTTTCCCACATTTAATCCATGAAAATAAGGAGATATTTGCTATATGGCATTCTCAAATTAGTCTTCTGTGAACTTCTAGCTTAAGTTTGGAAGTTAGGAGGGATGTTTGAAAAGTGAGTTTTGTAATAAGCACTGCTTATAACAGTAAAAAGTTAGAAACAGCCTGGCTGTCCATCAACAGGAAAATGAATAAACAAATGGTGCTATGTGGAATGGAACACTACACAGCCCTAATAAATGAATTAGGGCTACATAGGTCCACAAGGAGGAATCTCAGAAAGATGATTTTAAATTTAAAAAAAAAGTATGTTGCAAAATAGATACATCAGATGTCATATAGAAAAAAATATTGTCTAGGGATCTGTCATATATAGTAACAATAAAAAGGAATTCATGAAAGTGCTAAAAAAAGTCACAATACTCAGGATAGTGTTTACTCTTGCATGGGAAATAAATCACACAGAGGGATACAGAGGGGCCTTCAACATATTGAAGAAGTGGTCAGCCTATTTTAACCTAGTTATGAATGATGTAACACCCTTGCTGTACTGGAAAGGTCAAGGCCCAGGAGCACAGCCCCCTTTACAAGGTCCTCTCTTAGGTCGTGAGTGAGTCAGATAATGCGCTGCCCAACCCTAAGTATCCATCTCAAATGATTACCTACTAGGGTAGTGGGGAACTCAGGGAGGGAGGTGGCAATGGTTAATGGGTCAAAAAAAATCAGAAGAATAAGACCTACTATTTGATAGTACAATAAGGTGACTATAGTCAATAATAACTTAATCGTATATTTTAAAATAAAGAATGTAATTGAATTGTTTGTAACCCAAGGGATAAATGCTTGAGGGGATGGATATCCCATTCTCCAAAATATGCTTATTTCACATTGCATGCCTTTATCAAAACATCCCATGCACCCTAAAAATATATACACCTACTATGTACTGACAAAAAAATTTAAATAATTTTTAAAACGGTAAAAACAGAAAAAAATCTAATGACTGCCTGG